>NC_000007.14:66446172-66749203 GCF_000001405.40 Homo sapiens
CGGATTGAAACGAGTCTCCTGCCTCAGACTCCCAGTAGCTGGGATTGCAGGCATCTGCCACCACGCCTGGCTAATTTTGTATTTTTTTAGTAAAGACGGGTTTCTCCACGTTGGTCAGGCTGGTCTCGAACTCCCAAGCAAAGGTGATCCACCCACCTCGGCCTCCCAAAGTACTGGGATTACAGGCGTGAGCCCCCGTGCCAGCTGTATTTCTCTATTTTACTAGTTAAATTAACACACGGATTATTATTTTGTTCAGTTATACTTCATTTATTGTCCTTATTTATTGATTTCTTCACTTTATTTTTTTTTTAAGACGGAGTCTCGCTTGTTGCCCAGGCTGGAGTGCAGTGGCACGATCTCAGCTCACTGCAATCTCCACCTCCTGGGTTCAAGCCATTCTCCTGACTCTGCCTCCCAAGTAGCTGGGATTACAGGCACACACCTCCACACCTGACTAATTTGGTATTTTTAGTAGAGATGGGGTTGTGCCAAAAAAAAAAAAAAAAAGACAGAGATGCGGTTGCACCATGTTGGCCAGGCTGGTCTCGAACTCCCGACCTTAGGTGATCTGCCTAACTTGGCCTCCCAAAGTGCTGGGATGACAGGTGTGAGCCACCGTGCCCGGCCTTATTGTCCTTGTTTATTTTGACACTCAAATTATCCCAGACTTGGCCAGTGGAAACCCCTCCAAGCTGGCTTCTAGATCTTCTGAAATGTAACCAAAATATTGAAGGGGCCTTTTTTTCCCTGCCCCAGCCCCAGAATCAGTCATTTCTCTAAGAAGCCCTGGCTCACTTTAATGAATAATACTATTTAGAATCTAAGGTCTGGGTGGTATTGGTATTTTAACTCTAAAAAAGAAAAGATACGCTTTGGAGGATCACTGTCTTTAGATCTGTTTGTGAAAGAGGTACACAAGATTCTACTTGGGATGACAAGATTATAGGAGTTCTGAAAGAAAAGGGCACTTTGGAATGTATAAGCAAGTGATCTCAGCTTGGCCAACCACTATGACTTCCTCTATACAGCTCACTCACCATGACTGTGGAGACTAAAACACTTTAACTGAGTCTTTACAGTCAAGACATTCCATTTACTTTCTCTGAAAGTGAATCCAACTCTAAAAAAATGTGAAAATATTCTTCAAATTCCTTAGAAGGTTATTTGTATTTTGTCTGCTACCAAGCTGCTGTGTATGGCGAAAAGCTTTCCTTTATGTTACTAACAGAAACAAGCAAAATACCAAGAGCAAGGGCATCACGGACTAAAGAAGATCAAGAATACAAAATCCAAAAAGTCTGTTTCTAGTCTAGACCCAATACATTAAAACTGCACTTAGGCTAACCTTATCCAAACACGATGGCCAAACAAGTAATCAGTGTGAAATGCAAAATTTACCTGGCTAACTTATATTAAGTGATCTGTGAAACAAAGACATAATGGAATCTTCTCTTCTAACATAAATTTTCAAATACTTTAAGATCTTTATCCCCAAAGCTTTCTACTGACAAAAAGCAACTAAAGAACAAAAAATAGAAAGTACAAATCTACCATTCAAAAAGATGCGGGGTGGGGAGAAACAAGAACAAAGGTAAAAACCATTCTGCATACACATTTTTAAAATAAAAGTCACTTGGATTGTTTCTTTTTTTAACTAATTAATTTTTTCAAAGATGGTGTCTCACTCTGCTGCCTAGGCTGGAATACAGTGGCACAATCACAGCTCACTGCAGCCACTAACTCCTGGGCTCATGTAATCCTCCTACCTTAGTCTTCCAAGTAGCTGGGATTATAGGTAGGTACAAGCCACTGCACCCAACTCGAGAATGGTTTCTTTTTAAAGTACAGACTCTGCACTAAATTGTAAATCTTCTTTCCATAGTATCATGCACACTGTACAGAGGCTTTTGGGACACAGGTTTTTAAAACCACCAAGGAGAGTCAGCGAATATAAATGACAATTATGTACTTAAGTAACAGAAACTTGATTATATATATATATTTACTATTTATTATATACATTAAATAACCTGGGTTTCTGAAGTATACACATTGAATAAAGGAATATAATGGAAAAATATTGACCCAGGAGTTAGGAAACCTGAGTTCTCATGCACAAACTCATCGTTCAACCTTGGGTAAATTAGTTAACCTTTATGGACTTTCATATTGTCATCTGCAAAATGAGGCTATTAGAGCTGATAATTCGATGATTTTTTTTACTATTTCATCTGTTATCATACTTACCATTTCACTACATATCATCAAGAAACAGACTTTAAGCTAAATAGGAATGAAGGAACTTAATAATAAATGGCCTTGAGCTCCCTGCAAGATTATTCTATCAGAAGAATAACTTGCATTTTAAAAAAGCTAACACTTACTGGAGATCTACTGTGTGTGTCGGGCACTGTGCTAAGCTCTTTACATATGTCAACTAACTGAATCCTCATCAAATGTCTCTGATAGGTATTACTGTCCCTCAGTGTGGACAAGACTTGGTTAGTCCGCCCAGGGTCACAAAGCTGGTAAATGACAAAGCTAGGACTCAAATCAAGAGTGACTCCAAAGTCACCTTACTAACCACCTGAAAATTTCACCTCCTAATAAATAAATCATAAGCTGAATACATTCTTATTTAATCTCTGGCAGGTGCTAATTTTTTTCCCCTTTTTAGTAGAGACAAAATAGCTAAAACTGGCAGCCAACCAAGAAACAACTTCAAATTAATCATGTAATCATGCCACTGTGCCCAGGGAATTTTTGTATTTTTTGTAGACATGGGATTTCACCATGTTGCCCAGGCTGGTCTCAAACTCCCGAGCTCAGGTGATCCATCCATCGTGTCCTCCCAAAGTGCTGAGATTACCAGGCATGAGCCACTGCACCTGGTATCAATGTCTTAAAGAGAACTGTGTTTTTGGTAAGCAATATTTCCTTTTATTTCCTTATAATAAAACAAAAGGAAACAGCAAAAGTCACAAAACCTAGAAGACTGGCAAGGGTCTTAAGGGTAACAGTGTCTTATTATTCATTCCCCTGCCTCCAGGGGAGACCTCATTACAATTACCCCAGGGTAGGAACTGGGGAGCAAGTGATGGGGCTCCCAGAGAACAGGTCTTCTGACAGCATCAGTGTTGGTTCCCAGTCTCCCTCATCATTTCACATTAACTGTATAACTGAGTACCAACATAAATTTTCAGAGACCGAGGCCTAACCACAGAGATTCTTTCTTGCTTCACGTTGGGCCATTCAACTGGCTTGTCTGCTCAATTATAGAACAACTGTGACTTAAGTGACAATCTTCTTGCTGGTCATATGGCATTTTAAGAAGCCAGGTGAATATGATCACCTACATACAAATCCATGCACTGGAAAATAGCTACTATGGCTCACTTTCATCCCTCCAGGAGCCCAATGTGGGCCTTTTCCTATATGTTCTCAAGACACAAGCTGTCTCTCAAATAAGCTCTCGGGCAGAAAATCTCTCTCTCAGATGACTTTCAAGCCTAGAAATCACCATTTCTGACAAGCTATGAACAGTGAGGGTATTACCACAGAACAAACCAGGATCCACAAATAAAGGCACAAAAACCAAAACATCCAAAGAGATAGTCATTTGGATGGGGATGAATTTCATAAACAAAACTATCTATTTCAATTCTCTTTATTCCTCCTACAGAGTAAACAAATTTCTCTAAAACACAATGTCTTTCAACTAAAGAGAGTATTGGTTTCATATATTGTCTGACCCTCAAGCCCAATTTCAGTGTCAAATCTGAGCTGATGATCTCAAAAAGTTGACAGAAATTACAAAGCTGAGCCTATGAGCATTGGGGATCTCCTCTGTGTCTCACTCAGGCAGAGAAGAAAAAAAAGAGTATCACAACATTACCCTTCTTTGATCCGACCCTGGAAGACGTACTGAAGATTTCTTCACTGTGGTAATCTTGCGGGTCTTCTCGTTGGTTTTCTTTCCTTCAAACTTGGAGAATGTGAGGGATTGGGCCCCTTGGCTGCTCTGACTGCTGGCAAAGGCCTCTTCTTCCTCCCGCTGGAGTCTGCAATTCAAGAGAGGATTAGAATGATCTAGATATTCTCCAAGATTTCTCTGTATCTGAAGGTTATTACTCCATTAATTCAGGAGGATCTAAAGATTTTAGAACTAGAGACTAAATACGCCAAATCAGTCTGAGGTCTCACATAGCTACAGGATGGACGGCTCTTCATGCACTACAGATTTCAAATGGCATCTTCTCATGCTCATTCAGCAACTGGTCTAGGGTTACATGAAAGAAATCAAGTCTAGTCCTTTTCCCCAACAAGCTCAGTGAAATAAATAAAGTCTAGTCCTTTTCCCTAACAAGCTCAAGCTTGGAACAAACAAAAAGGTAAGTAAACAACTGCTATATAATGGGACAGCTGCTACATCAGAGAGTAAAAATTGAGTGCTATGAGAACACAGGAAAGAACAACACAATCTGCTGGAGGAGTCTGATGAGGCTTTACAACGGTGATGTTTGGGGTGAGTCTTAAAGGACAAATAGGATCCTTTTTTGTTTCTGTTTTTTTTTGTTTGTTTGTTTTTTGAGACAGAGTGTCACTCCATCACCCAGCCTGGAGTGTAATGGCACGATCTCAGCTCACTACAACCTCTGCCTCCCAAGTTCAAGCAATTCTCATCCCTCAGCCTCCCAAGTTATTGAGACTACAGGCACACACCACCACGCCTGACTGATAAGGATGATTAGGATTCTAAGTGAAAGGACATTCCAGGAAGAAGGAACTACAAATGTGCAAGCCTGTGGTTTGCTTCACAATAAACTGAATGTAGCCAGAGCACTGGGCGTGTGATGAACTGTGATGCTGGATACACAGGAAGGCACCAGAGGGTAGGGAATCTTGCCTGCTAAGCCCATTGCTAAGCCTATTCTGGATTTCATCATGTGGTGGGGAAGCAAGAAAAACTGCAAGTCCAAAAAGTTATTGTTGTCAGATCTGTGCTTTAGAAAGATCATGCAGGTAGCTATGTGAACAACTTGAAGGATAGAGAAACTAGAGACACGGACAGGAATTAAGCGTATATTATAAAGGTTCAAGTAAAAGAAAATAAATACCTGGAAAAGAAGAGGAGCAAAGATAAAATGCAAAAGACTTTTCTAAGTTGGAACAAATGGAACTTGGTCAAATTGTAGGTGCCAAGGGAGGTTAAAGAGAAATCAAGAATGAAACCAAGGTTTTTTAGCTAACTTGGTAAACAATGATGCCATTAATTGACTCAGGAGAAGGGTTAGGAGGAAAATGTTCAGAATGCGGAGAATAATAAATAAAAGCAATAAATTTGGGTTTGGATTAGCTGCATGTGAACCATCTGTAATAAATCCCAAAAACAGGCCGGGTGCGGTGGCTCACGCCTGTAATCCCAGCACACTGGGAGGCCAAGGCAGCCGAATCACTTGAGCTCAGGAGTTTGAGACCAGCCTGGGAAACATGGTGAAACCCTGTCTCTTCATAAAATACAAAAATTAGCTGGGCGTGGTGGCATGCTCCTGTAGTCCTAGCTACTTGGGAGGCTGAAGCAGGAGGATCACTTGAGCCTAGGAAGCAGAGGATGCAGTGAGTTGAGATTGCACCACTGTACTCCAGCCGGGGTGACAGAGCAAGACCCTGTCTCAAAACAAAACAAAAAACTCAAGCACTATCTATAAGACAGTGGTTCTCCAAGCGTGGTTCCCCAGACAGCAGCAGCACCATCACCAGGCAACTTGTTAGAAATGCAAATTCTCTAGTCTTACTCCCAAACTACTAAAATCAGAGACTCTGTGGGTAAGGTCCAGCAATCACTGCTTTCACAAGCTTTCCAAGAGATTTAGCAGGGTCACAATTAAAAGCAGTAAGAAATAGAAACAAAAATCACAGGGGAGGTGCTAAGTCTGAGTATGGAATCGGGACACTTCTTTCTCTGGGACGGACAAGAAGTTAATATAAAGGTATTAGTACATTTT
The DNA here is from genome assembly GCF_000001405.40 of Homo sapiens. Taxonomy (NCBI): domain Eukaryota; kingdom Metazoa; phylum Chordata; class Mammalia; order Primates; family Hominidae; genus Homo; species Homo sapiens. The sequence goes on from NC_000007.14 coordinate 66,452,181, forward strand.
TATGTGGCGAAGGGAGTAAGCTGAGGCAGTTCGTGCCTAGTGGCCTCTACTCTGTTTTTGAAACAGGATCTGCTACTGACAACATCAGGCATGCAGTGGAAACCCTGAGGAGATCATTCATGTTCTTGGCTAAAATTTTCTCTTTGATGACCACAGTCACTGAAAGCAATGTGTAATTTCTAATTCTCTGAGCTCACCACAGGTGCCAGCAAAGTAGTCACTCAACAAATATTGGCTGACTGGATGAAAAAACAAAAAAACTAGCAAGAAGAGTTGGCAGAATTCCATTTGCCTTTCTTCTGTTGAAGCAGTTTTAGAATTTCTAAAATGCTCTGGCAAAGAATTAACATTATTCATGGCATTTTATTAGTTCCTATGCTCAGTAGCCATCCCATCATTTAATTTTTTTTTTTTTGAGACAGAGTCTCACCCTGTCGCCCAGGCTGGAGTGCAGTGGCACAGTCTCAGCTCACTGCAACCTCCGATACCTGGGTGCAAGCAATTCTCCTGCCTCAGCCTCCCAAGTAGCTGAGATAACAAGTGCACACCACCACGCCTGGCTAACTTTTTAAATATTTTTAGTAGAGATGGGGTTTCACCATATTGGTCAGGCTGGTCTCAAACTCCTGACCTCAGGTGATCCTCCCACCTCAGCCTCCCAAAGTGCTAGGATTACAGGCATGAGCCACTGCGCCTGGCCCATTATTTAATTTTTAACATCATTATATTTCCAGATAATACAAACTGCCTTTGAGTAACCTAATTTTTAAGGAAAAGTTAAATTTCTATAATGCAAGGACTATGTATACAAGTCAACAGATTTCTACTACTGTGTTTTATCACTGAGCTAGATGCCACGCTGAATATATTAAAAGAATGAGGGAAATAATGCTTGATGAGTGCCATTTGCAAGCCCTGCACTGGGTACATCATATTTATTAGCTCATTTAATCTTCACCAGGAAATATGCCTATCTCCATTCTTCCATTCCAAGGAGCTTATTGTCTACATTTGAGAACCAAGATTAACATAACCCAAAGAATATAATCAGAAGTTAAGACATACAAAAAATGAAGAAAATACTCAAAGCTGTTCATTAAAGGTTGACTGAGAAGAAGAGGGGAAAACATCCTTTTCCTTAATTTTAAACTGACTTGCTGATAGGTCAAAGCAGAAATTTAAAAAAATGTATTTGGATGGTGACAGAAGTATGTATCCAGTCACGCCACTGTTCAACCGCCCCTAGTTAAGTCCTTTTACCACTCCGCCAGCTCCCAGTCCTCCTGAATCTCCTTCTGCCTAGCTTTGTGGTACTCTTCCCTCCAGCACTTGGAGCAGAAACCCTGCCAGTCAGGGTTGCCGTAGTAACCACATCCTTTCTTGCACAGGAGGTCCGACTGATGCACATGAATTCCTCAGCGTTCAGACTTAAGGCTCATCTTCTTACTGCTAACCAATGAACAAATGACAAAGTGCTGTTGAAAAGGAATTATCATTCTACTAACTAAAGTCTTAGCAATTATGAAGAAAAAGTGAGTGCTTCCATTATCTTCAGGCTGTAAGAGAGGGAAGAAGGGAATGAAGGAGGGAGGGAATGAGGGAGGGAAAGAGAGGAGGAAGGAAGAAGGAAAAAGGAAAAGTTAACTATGGTAAATTCCTGAAACAGTCATATTAAAGACTTATTCCCTGCCGAAAATACACAGAACCCATTAAGAAAGGGCTAACATTGGATTAAATACCTAAATGTAAAGGCTGGAAACTAGAAAACTTAGGGGAAAAGCTTCCCAACACTGGATTTTGCAATGACTTCTAGGATATGACACCAAAAGCACAGGCAACAAAAGCAAAATCAGACAAATATATTAATTACATCAAAATTTAAAATGTCTGCACAACACAGGAACCAACTGACAGAGTAAAAAGGAACAACACACAGAATGAGAGAACATATCTGCAAACCACATATATAATAAGGGGTTAATATCCAGAATATAAAGGAACTCCTACAAGCCAATAACAAAAAAAATAATAATAATAATCTGGTTAACAAATGGGAAAAGGACTTCAATAGACAATTCTCCAAAGATATACCAACAGCCAACAAACATGTGAAAAAATGCTCAACATCACTAATCATCACGGAAATGCAAATCAAAACCACAATGAGATATCACTTCATACCCATTAGGATGGCTACTGTAAAAGAAAACAAACCCACGATGGGCATAGTGGCTCATGCCACTTTGGGAGGCCAAGGTGGGAGGATCACTTGAGGCTAGGAGTTCAGGACCAGCCTGGGCAACACAGCAAGACCCCATCTTTACAAAAAAATACAAAAACTAGTGGGGTGTGATGGTGTATGCCTGTAGTCCCAGCTACTCGGGAGGCTGACAGGAGGATCGCCTCTCCAGGAGATGGAGGCTGCAGTGAGCTATGATCACATCACTGCACCCCAGCCTGGGTGACAGAGCAAGGCCTTGTCCAGAAAGAAGAGAAGAGAAAAAAATTGAAGTAACATCATAATTTCCAAAGTCAGTTTTCTTTTCCACTGTGTAATATTTAAACTCATTTGTTCATAGTCTCACAGCTGTATGGTAAATCGCTATGTAACAATTTCCTTTCAAACTGAAACCACATGGTCCTCATTCTTCTCCACAATAACAAACTGCCAAAGAAGCACAGTAAAAAAGCAGCACTCTACAGCATTCATTCAAGAGACTCACATGTGCAGATAAAATTAGGCCCTATATCTTGGAGGTCTCATTAATTTAACTCAAACATTTACTAAGTGCCAACTGTGTGCAGAGAATTAAGCTAGATGGCACTGGTGATGCAACGGATAGAACACGTCCTTGCCCTCATGAAGCTCATAACCAAAAGTACAGCCAGACTGAAAAACGCGGAAAAAGGGAAAGTGTTAGGAAACTGTTGGGGAGTAACACACATACAAATTCTGACCTAGTGAGTATAGAGAGACCACTTGGGGATGCTGGTGATAGACCTTAAAGAGCCTTGTGTTGAAAGGGTCTTGGAAACATGACAGAAAGAGGAAGGATATTCTGGACAGGAAGAATGCCTTTCACAAAAAGCTCAGAAGCAGGAAGGCAAATGTAAAATATGAATGATGTAGTATAGACAGAAGGTAAACTAAAGAAGTTAGGTGGGAAGTCAAATCATCATGGATTTTTAAAACTCGAAGCTACCAAGTGCGGATGGAGAGTCACCAGCTATCAAACCTGACAGTATACAGTGTGCACTACTTTTGAGGATTCTGAAAAGCAAAATGGAGATGTGGGGAAGACCAGAATTGAAAGTATCACCCAGCCATCTAAGAGATTACCACTTTCTCCCATTCAATACCACCAGCCAACCTGGAAATGGGCCCCACAGCACAGAGAAAGCTCTTCTAGTTGGGGCTTCAGGCATGTGAAAGGGAAATCCTAACAGCCAGAGAGAATATGGGGATCCCCCCACTTACCATCTCCTCCTTCTCTTGAGCCACAGTGCCCAGCAATCGTGTGCTTTGTCTGCAGCTATGGCTGAAATGAGAGTGCAGGAGCCAAACTCTGAGGCAGGAGAACTATCAATTTTTCCCAATCTCTATCCTTGGTCTCAAATGTGCAGGCAGTGGTGGAAAGACATGGCAGAGTGGAGTAACTAAATCCACAGTTTTCTGGACAAAAGAAAGAAAATATGAGCCCTTTGAGAACAAAAAGTGTGGGAAAAATTGCTGAGGAGAACTCAAGAAAGCAATTTCTAGGCTTACCCTTAGGCTGCATATGCATGGATCTGACGCTATTCCGTACCAAAGGTTTCCAAATTGGAACTAACGGAGAGACCACTATGCAGGTCTCAGATCAGCACATACATGAAACAGATGGAAACAGCACTACAAAACTCTAAACAATATACTGACATTAAAGCCACAGCCCACAGAACCTGTATACCAAACTTGGCAACACAACAAAACACTTTTGCTCTGGGAATAACTGTTTAGAAAATGAAAAGACAAGCTACAGAATGGGAGAAAATAATTGCAAATCACCTATTTGGCAAAGAACTTACATACCCAGAATATATAAAGAACTCTCAAAACTCAGTTGTCAGAAAACAAACCACCCAATTTAAAAATGAGCAAAAAATCTCAACAGACACTTTACTAAAGAAGATATACATACTGGTGTCCCACATTTCCGTGAGAAGCCTTTGCTACATACTGTCCAGTCAAAGATGTTTGTATATTGAACATCCTTACAAGAGAAAGATGATAGCTCCTTCCACAGCAGAAGACAATTTGTTAACTGTCCAGTACAGTAAATATAATGTCTCCCTTCATATCAAAGGTTTGAGACATTTGTTTGCCACCCCTTATGAGATCTGAGTTCCCTGAGCTTGGATTTCCTACTTGTGTCGTTGCCCACAGGGAATTTACAGGGCAAAGGTAGTCCACGTGGACATGAAGCTGGTTCTGCTGATGTCCTGTGACCTGTGTCCTCCTCTTTTGCCTCCAACCCAGGAGTTTCATGTCTTGGGCCAATATCCATGAAACCATGGAGACTAACTTGCTACATTTAAGTAGGGAGAACTCAAAATTCAGGTCCCTTGCAGTTATTGACATGGTGGCAAATAAGCATATGAATACTTGTTCAACATTGTTCAGTCATTAGAGAAATGCAAATTAAAACCACCATGAAATATCACTCAAATCTATTAGAATGGCTAAAATAGAAAATACTGACACAGCCTGGGCAACATGGCAAAACCCTGTTTCTACCAAAAAAAATACAAAAAAAATTAGGGAGCAATGGTGGTGCATGGTTGTGGTCGCGGCTACTCAGTAGTCTGAGGTGGGAGCATCACTTGAGCCTGGGAGGTGGAAGTTGCAGCAAGCCAAGATCACACCACTGCCCTCCAGCCTGGGAGACAGAGTGAGACCCCACCTCAGAAAAAAAATAAATACTGACAATACCAAGCGGTAGCAGGGATGCAGAGCAACTAAAACCCTCATACCTTCCTAGTGGAATGCAAAATAGTACAGACACTAGAGAAAACACTTTTATGGTTTCATAAAAATGTATACATACAATGACCATCCAACCATGCAATCCCTCTCCTGGGTATTTCCTCTAAAGAAATAAAAACTGCTATTTACTCAAAATTCGGTACTTAAACAGTTATAGTAGCAATATTTGTGATGACAAAAAAATGACAACTAAAATATCCTTCAATGGGTGAATGAATAAACAAACTATGGTGCCTCCATACAACAGAATGCTACTCAGGAAAACAACAACAACAACAGGTATTAGTACACCCAACAACTTCGATGAATCTCAGAGGCTTTATGCTGATAGAAGCCAGAATCTTAGTTCCTTCTGGCTGCAGTAACAAAATACCATAAACTGAGTAGGTTATAAAAAACAGAAATTTATTTCTCACAGTTCAGGAAGCTGGCAAGTTCAAGATCAAGAAGTCAACAGATGTTGGTGTCTGGTGGTTCACTGAAGGTACCTTCTCCCTGTGTCCTCACATGGCTAGGCTCTCTGCCGTCTCTTACAGGTGCACTAATCCCAATCATGAGGGCTCCACTTTCATGAACTAATCACCTCCCAAAGGCTCCACCTCCTAGTAGCATCACCTTGTGGTTTAGAATCTCAACATATGAATTTGGGGGACACACAAAGATTCAGACCATAGCAGTCATCTTAAAAGTTTACATACTGTATGATTCCATTTAGGAACTAGGGGTAGGAAAGAATGTGACTATAAAGGATTAGCATAAGAAAGTTTTTTGGGGTGATGAAACTGTTCTGTATTCTGATTGTGGAGGTGTTTACATAAATCTAATAAAATTAAAAAATTCGCAGAACATTATACTCCTCCCAAATCAATTTTACTCTATGATTAAAAAAAAAAAAAAAAAAAAAAACCTCGGCCAGGCATGGTGGCTCATGCCTATAATCCCAGCACTTTGGGAGGCCGAGGCAGGTGGATCACATGAGGGCAGGAGTTCAAGACCAGCCTGGCCAACATGGCAAAACCCCATCTAGTCTATTAAACATACAAAAATTAGCTGGGCATGGTGGCAGACATCTGTAATCTCAGCTACTCGGGAAGCTGAGACATGAGAATCGCATGAACCTGGGAGATGGAGGTTGCAGTGAGCCAAGATCATGCCATTGTGCTCCAGCCTGGGCAACAGAGGGAGACGCCATCTCAAAAAAAAAAAAAAAAAGAAGAAGAAACTTGAGAGGCAATTTCTAGGTTGGATTAGGGAGAAGTACAGAACAGGAGACACGGATACTGACCAAGAGACAACTACAATTAGAGGACTTGAGGTAACACAGTGGGTAGCCAGGCGTGGTGGCGCTTGCCTGTAATCCCAGGTACTCAAGAGGCTGAGGCACGAGAATCGCTTGGACCTGGGAGGCAGAGGCAGAGGCTGCAGTAAGCCGAGATCACACCACTGCACTCCAGCCTGGGCAACAGAGTGAAATCCTGTCTCAAAAATAAATAAATAAATAAGAGGTAACACAATGGGAAGGGAAAGATGACGGGTGGTAATCTACCTTAGAGGTCAGATCTGTAAGAGTTATTTAATGAGACCTCGCGGGGAGAGGGAAATCTAATTAGAAAGAACTCTCAAGTTCACTGTTTACTTCGTCTACAAGGTTAAAGCCTCCCATAGTCAGGATTTAGATCTAAGACACCAGCCATTTATAAATAGTAGATGAGGCTTAGGTAGAAACAAAGAAAATGAGAAGTAGAAAAAAAAAAAAGAAAAGAAAAATAGTCCTAAAATGTTAACCTGCAGAAACTTTAAAGACCATCTACTACGTCCTATTGTAAGAGATGAAGATATTAACATTAAGAAATCATAACTTATTCCATCAAAAAGATATTAAGTGGCAGAGACATCACTAAGCTTCCTTTTTTTTTTTTTTTTTTGGAACACAGGATGTGTCATTCAAGCTGGAGTGCAGTGGCGTGATCACAGCTCACTGCAGCCTTCACTTCCTGAGCTCAAGCAATACTCCCACCACTCAGCCACCATGCCTGGCTAATTGTTGTATTTTTTTGTAGAGGCGGTGTTTTGCCACGTTATCCAGGCTGGTCTTGAACTCCTGGGCTCAAGTAAGCCTACACTTAGTATACCAAGTCCTGGGTTTCAAATTATTTTGAAAGTCTGAGCTAATCTTCTCGCCATTATCATCCTGATGTCCCTTTTCTTCCCTTCCAAGAGAAATGAGCAAAAGGAAATACCTATTTTTTCCATAGATCAATTAAGTTTTTAAAATTTTGTACTACAAGTATGATAATACTAGTAGATGTTACTAAAATGAACATAATTTGGGGAGTCTGCCTAGCACATGTGCAAATATCTCCTGTGTATCAGGAAACTGTCCTCCGAATCCACAAAGATAAGCTGGCAGAAGCTATGTTTGTATAATTTGAATGGTCCCCCAATTCAGGGTCACAGCTGATTGCCCCAAACTGTGTCAGAGTCTTTTGCTTGGAGTTTTGCAAATGGGACTAAGTCGGGGCTGTTCTCTTGAATGATGGAGCTGTGTGACATGACCATCTTCCATCAAGTGGTCCAAGTATCAGGACAGTCCACAGAGTGAAATAGACATACGCCAAGAAGCAGAGAAAGGTAGAAGGTCCTGTACGTCCTGAGTGACTTCAATCTCCCAGTTCCAATCCCTGGCTAAGGTTTAGGTGCACGCCCACCCTCAGATTCTGAGTCATACACCCTGGTCCCCTAACTGCTTTTTTCTTTTTTTATCAAGCTAGTTCCAGTACAGCCTATTATCTATGCCAAAAGACTTGTACAGATGCTCTTTAAGAGCTAGAAAAAAAATAAAGGAGTGCTCTGTGGATTACTTGGCACACATTAAAAGCTCAGTATGAATTAGACAGAAACAATAACAATAGCTCCGAGTCTAAGAAGACTTATTTGGTGTGGACCATGAAATCACAGAGATCAGTCAAATCTGCACTCAAACCCCAGCTCTGCTACATACTAGAAATGTGACTTTAGGCAAACTATGTAATATTTCTGAAACTCCCTTTGCTATCTCCCTCTCCAGCCTCTCTGCTCCTATCATTCTCTATCTTTTCACCAAACTAAGCCTCATAGGACCTGTGCACCCATAACCTTCACTCTCTGGTGCTACAACTGTGATTATGTCACCTTACACTGCGAAAAAGACTTGGCAGATATAATTAAGTTGACTGATAATGGAAATAAGGAGATTATCCTAGATTATCTAGATGGGCCCAACAAAAGCACATGAACCCTAAAATGCAGAAGAGAACAAGGACCCAGAATGGCCAAAACAATCTTCAAAAAGAATGTAAGAAAACTTACATTTCCTGATTTCAAGTTACTACAAGGCCACAGTAATTACTACAGTGTGGTACTGGTACAAGGACAGTCATAGAAATCAATGGAATAGAATTGAGATTCCAGAAATAAACCCACACGTCTTCTGTCCACTGATTTTCCACAAAAGTACCAAGACCATTCAATGGAGAAAAAAGAGTCTTTTCAACAAATAGTGCTGGGAAAATTGGATAGCCACGTACAAAAGAACGATGTTAGATGTTAGATGCTTACTTCATACCATGTACAAAAATTAACTCAGAATCAATCAAAGACCTAAATGTAAAAGCTAAAACTAAAGCTCTCAGAAGAAAATATACAGGTAAAATTTTCACACTGGATTTGACAAAGGATTTTTAGATATGACACCAAAAGCAGGAGCAAAAAAAGACAGATAAATTGTACTCCAACAAAATTTTAATCTTTGTGCTTCAGAGGACCTTATCAAGTGAAAACAGAACCCACAGAATCAGAGAAAATATTTGCAAGTCATTTATGTAATAAGGAACTCGTAAACCAGAATACATAAAGAATTCTTATAACTCAATAATAAAAAGTAAGTAACAACTGTTTCAGCGGGTAAAAGATCTGAATGGACATTTCTCCAGAAAGAAAGGCAAACAGTCATGAGTATGTGAAAAGATGTTGCACATCATCAGTCATCAAGGAAATGCAAAACGAAACCACAATGAGATGCCACTTCACATCCAGTAGGGTGACTAGAACCAAAAAGTCAGAAATAACAAGTGTTGGCAAGGATGTGGGGAAACTGGAACCCTCATACATTGCTTGTAGAAATGTAAAATGGTACAGCCATTGTGGAGAAGTCTGGCAGTTTCTCAAATGATTAAACAATATTACCATAGAAACCAGCAATTTCACTCCTAGACTAAGAGAAATAAAAACGTGTCCAGAGAGAAACTTGTACATCAATGTTTGTATCAGCATTATCCGTAATAGTCCAAGAGCAGAAACAACCCAAATGTACATCAGATGATGAATTAATAAACAAAATGTGGTATATCCATAAAATGGAATATTACTTGGTCATAATAAGGAATGAAGTACTGATATATGCTACAACATGGTGAACCCTGAAAACATGCTAAGTGAGAGATGCCGGTTATAAAAGACCACCCGTTATATGATTCCATTCATCTGAACATCCATACCAGGGAAATCTAGAGACAGAAAATAGAGTGGTGGTCACTGAGCACTAAGAGGGGAGAGGATGGGAATAAAGGGGATAGAGAAAGGGCATGGGTTCCTTTTTGAGATGATGAAAATGTTCTAAAGTTGACTGCGGTAATGGTTGTTACTTAATTGTGCACTTTTAAAACGGAGAATTGTATAGTATGTGAATTACACCTCAATAAAGCTGTCTTTTTAAAAAACAGAAGAGACACAATGTGAAGTTAGAGTCAAAGCACTATTTATGGTTTTGAAGCTGGAGGAGACTAAAAGCCAAGAAATTTGAGTGGCTTCTAGAAGCTGAGAATGACTTCTGGCTGACAGCCAGCAAAGAAATGAGGACCTCAGACCTTCACCACATGAAAATGAATTCTGCCAACATGAGTGAGTCTGGAAGGAGACTCTCCCTATCACCTCCAAATAAAAACCCAGGCTGGCCGATGCTTAATTCTGACCTCCTGAGGTCCTCAGCAGAATACCCAGCGGAGCCTGCTTGGACCTCTAATCTACAGAACTTAAAGAGATAATAAATGAGTGCTATGGACTAGGGGCGATGGCTCATGCCTGTATTCCCGGTACTTAGGAAGGCTGAAGTAGGACGACTGATTAAGACTAGGAATTTGAGGTTGCAGCGAGCTATGACTGCACCACTGAACTCCAGCATGGGCAACAGAGACCTTGTCTTTTAAAAAAAATAAAAATAAAAAATAAATGAATGTTGTTTTAAACTGCTATCCTTTCCACTTCCCCCTTTGCTGGGAGAGCCTTTGCACATGCTGTTCCAATGTGAGGAATGCTATGCTCCTTGCTGTCCAGGTTGTGGTTTCTTTCTCATTGTTTAGATCTAAGCTTTCACATCAAACTGTGAGAGGCCTTCCCTAGCCTCTGTGAAATACTACCTACCCCAACCTACCCAACCCTCTCCTCTGTCCTGGGCCAAATGCCGCTTCTCCATGTCCTATTTCTTATTATTCTTTGGGAGGGGTAGAGGCGGGGTCTCACAACATAGCCCAGGCTGGTATTTAACTTCTTACAGATGTGAGCCACCATGCCTGAGCTTCATGTGCTATTTCTTTCTCTTTTCCCTTTTTTTTTTTTTTTTGAGACAGGGTCTCACTCTGTCACCTAGGCTGGAGAGCAGTGGTACGATCATGGGCTCACTGCACTCGACCTACCCAGGCTCAAGCGATCCTCTCACCTCAGCCTCTTGAGAAGCTGGGACTACCAGCATGTGGCACCACACCTGGCTAAGTTTTGAATTTTTTTGTAGAGACAGGGTTTCGCCATATTGACCAGGCTGATCTTGAATTCCTGGCCTCAAGTGATCCACCCACCTTGGCCTCCCAAAGTGCTGGAATTACAGGCATGAGCCACTACACCCAGCCTCCATGTCTTATTTCTAGTAAATATTTTTTATTTACTTATTTACCTGTTGGTCTGTCTCCCTCACTGCCAGAATGCAATTTAATGAGGACAGAGACCTTATTTTCCTTCTCCACTGTTACATTTCTAGTGACTCAAATAGTACCAGTGTGGTGTTATAATATATATTGACTTCTGTCCACGGTTCCTGGCTGGTAACTACCATAGCGCTCATATTAGGCATTTTTTTTTTTTTTGAGACAGTGTCTCACTCTGTTGCCCAAGCTGGAGTGCAATGGTAAGATCTCGGCTCTCTGCAACCTCTGCCTCCCGGGTTCAAGAGATTCTCCTGCCTCAGCCTCCCGAGTAACTGGTACTACAGGTACCTACCACCATGCCCAGCTATTTTTGTATTTTTAGTAGAGACGGGGTTTCACCATGTTGGCCAGGCTGCTCTCGAACTCTTGACCTCAAGTGATCCACCCACCTCTGCCTCCCAAAGTGCTGGGATTACAGGCGTGAGCCACCAGTCCCAGCCCCAGGCTTTTGTTACAAGGTTGGGTGTGTTAGGCCTCGTGGGCAGCTTCTCTGATTTTCTTCTGCCCTCCTTTCACCTGCCCCAAGGCAGGACTCTACTCCCCGTGCCTTTCTGATGACTGGTCTTAAACCCTCCTCAGGGAGGGGCCCGCTCTATACTCTCAGGGATGAATGCTGATGTCAGGAAACCTCCACAAAAACCCAAGAGCACTGGGCCCAAGAAGCTTTCAGATAGCTGAACACAGTGGAGGTTCCTGGAGGGTGTGCACCCAGGGAGAGCATGGAAGCTCGCATCTTCCCCCATTCTTCGCCCCCAGCATCTCCTTCCTCTGGATCCTTTGCAATATTTGTTGTAATAAACCGGAAAACAGAAGCATCTCCCTGAGTTCTGTAAACCACCTCAGCAAATTCATCGAACCTAAAAAGGGAGCCATGGGAACCCCAACTTGAAGCTGGTCAGTTAGAAGTCCTGGAGGCCCGGAGTTGCAACTGATGGGGGTTAGGAGGGGCAGTCATGAGGACTGAGTCCTCACCCTGTGCGATCTGACACTACCTCCTGGTAGATGGTGCAGGAAGTAAACTAGAAGACACCCAGCTGGTGTGGTGTGTAGGGGAAGAATCCCCACACATATGGTCACGGAAGTCTTCTGTGTTGATGATTACTGTGGCGTGAACAGAGGAAAAATACAGTTTGAGAATTGTTTTTCCCTACACAACCAAGCATATCATACGTTCTCAAATCTTTGTTGAAAGAATAACTGAATGAATAAGGTTACTGTAGAGACTATAGAATAACATGGCTATAGAGCAATGATACATACTAAATGCTTAATAAATACAAAAGTCCCTTCCCCCAGGGTCAGGTGCAATGGTTCACGCCTATAATCCCAGCACTTTGGGAGGCGAAGGTGGGAGGATGGCTTGGAGCCAAGCGTTCAAGACCAGCCTGGGCAACATAGCAAGACCCTGTCTCTATTATTTAAAAATGTTTAAAAATCTCTTCCCCTCATGAGTGATTAGCAATTACGTTAAAATTATACATGCTGGCCGGCCACGGTGGCTCACGCCTCTGATCCCAGCACTTTGGAAGGCTGAGGCGGGCAGATCACGAGGGCAAGAGTTGGATACCAGCCTGGCCAACACAGTGAAACCCCATCTCTACTAAAAATACAAAAATTAGCTGGGCATGGTGGTGCGTGCCTGTAGTCCCAGTTACTAGGGAGGCTGAGGCAGGAGAATCACTTGAACCCGGTAGGTGAAGGCTGTGGTGAGTCGAGGTCATGCCACTGCACTCCAGCCTGTGCAACAAAGCAAGACCCCATCTCAAAAAAGAAAAAAAATTATACATGCTCATCAACTTTACAAGGGAAAATAAACATCTATGGGATGGTTAAACAAACTGGGGCATGACCACACAAGAGAATACCGAACACTAAAAAGAACAAACTGTTAACACATGCAAAAGCCTGGATGCTCAAGAGCAAGATGCTGAGTTTTTTAAAAAGTCCATCTTAAAAGGTCACATACTCTAGGATTTATACTACCTTTCCAAATGACAAAACTACAGATATGGAGGACAAATTAGTGCTTTTTCCAGGTTAACAGTGGTGAAGGCAAGGGAGAGGAGGGGAAGGAAAATAGTATAAGCAGTTAACTCAGCAAGCTGAGTTGCTCAAATGATGCACATTCTCAGACGAGCCTGCTTCTGAGACTGGCCCTTGGTCAGCGCCTAGAAACTGAGGTCTTGTACTAGCCCTATGCCCTAAATGATAAGGGTGTTTTGTATGCTTACGGTACTGAACCACACTGTACCAGCTTCTCTAGATATTTTATGTGAACTGTATGATTTATGGTAAACACCTGCTTTCCTTCTGGAGTTGCTGTAATAGTGATCAGTCGCAAAGGAACTACATGCCTATGTGATATGGTCTGAATCTGTGTACCCACCCAAATGTCATGGTGAATCGAAATCCCCAATGTTGGAAGTGGGGCCTGTGAGAGGTGATCTGATCATGGGGCAGTTACTCATGAATGGTTTCACACCATCCCCTGTGGTTCTGTGCTTGTGAGATCTGGTTGTTTAAACGTGTGTAGCACCTTCTCTCTTGCTCCTGCTCCCACCAGGGGAGACACTTTGCTCCCCCTTTGCTTTCCACTATGATTGGAAGCTTCCTGACGCCTCCCTAGAAGCAGAAGCTGCAATGCTTCCTGTACAGCCTGTAGAACTGTGAGCTAATTAAACCTCCTTTCTTTATAAATTACTCAGTCTCAGGTATTTCTTTATAGCTATGTGAGAATGAACAAACTAATACACTATGTGACCCATCTCCAATAAAAGCCCTGGATTCTGAGGCTCATGTGAGCTTTCACAATAGAAAACACTTCACATGTGTTGCTAGAGTTTATGGCTGGGGAAGTAAGCACAAACTGGGCAACTCTACGGAGAGAAGACTCCGAATCTTCACAATGCTCGTGTCCTATAGAATCTTCTCAATGCACAACTACCCTTTATTAATCCTGCTTTGTATCCCCTCACTGTAACAAACCATAGCAAAGAATGTCCTGTGAGAGCCTTGAGCGAATTACGAAACCTGGGGGCAGCCCTGGGGACTGCTGACATAGGATGTGACTAAAAGGGCATAAGGGAGGTCTTTCGGGTAATGGAATAGTTCTGTATCTTGACTATGGTGGTGGCTACAGGAATCTATGTATGAGATAAAATGTGCATGACACTATACACATACATTGCACAAATATCAAATTCCTAGTTTCGACATTATATTATAGTTATGTAAGATGTAACCATTAAGCAAACCAGAAGAGTACACAGGACCTGTCTGTATTATCCTTACAGCTTCCTATGGATTTGACGTTATTAATTATTCCAAATTCTAAAGTTTTGTTAAAAATCACACATGAATGTTTTTTAATAAAAATAAACACCTATCATGGGACTAATGTGTATCAGTTAAACACAACACTCAGATCATTCTGCTGCTTCTAAGTATAAAAAGAGAGCAAGGGTACCACCAAAAGAGAGTGCCATCATTTGAAAGGCTATGTGGTGGTGCCGACAGCTGTTATGGTAGAAGGCAGGAGAGTCGGCACACCCAGATTGGACATCAGAGCTACAGACAGCATATCCTGTAAACACAGGAAGAAACATGGGGGATCGACTGCATGAGACTCAACTCTTTCCTGGGCAGACAGACCTGTCCCTAGACAGGTAACCACCACCAGCACTGCTTCCAGGAGGGAGCTCCAAGGGGCCACATGCCACTCCTGTTTGAGCACTGCACTCCAATAAATAGGAGCTTGATTGAGCAACCTGGGCATAAAGAATGCACGATTCAATTGGTCCCACTTATGTCAGGGAAGACAGAGTAAAAATGATCTCTGCTGCTGGGACAGTTAGGATTCTATAAATTGTGCCCCAGGGCTAGGATTTATTCTAGGTCCAGGTACCTACAAAGACCAGAGAGGTACAAAGCTTACTTACAAAGCTCACAGAACTATTAGTGTTCTTTCTTAAGACTCTGGATGCAAACCAGTTTCATCTCAGAAAAGCAAAACCAAAACACTTTACAGATGTGAGTAGTTTCCCTCTATCCTTGAGCGGGCCCTGCTTCCTATTCTTGGGTTCAATGTCATGCCCTCAGAGGTCATTCCTATCTCCAGACAACTCATCTGGGACTTACAGGAAACATCCAATCAATTCCAGCAAAATGATAAGCTATCCATTGACCTCAATTAAGAAATAAAACTTACAGGTGATTTTTTTCCCTTAAATTTGTTTTTTTTTTCTAGTTGAAGCAAAGAATACTCATTATTTACAAAACCTGATATATATAGACAAGTAGAAAAAAAAGTTTTAGTCATAGAGTCACTGTATATGGTACATATTCTTATAGTGTTCCCTTGCACTCATTCAACAAATATTTATATACTGATTGATTACTGAATGACAGGCACTTAGGACACAAATATAAGTAAAAATAAATCATTTCAGTCCTTGTGGAGCTTACCGTGTAATATAAGAAATATGACTGTATATCTGGAAGGCCTAAAGAAAATAAAACACTGTTACTGCTGAGAAATTAACTTTAAAATGGCTAACTTTCATAAAAGAATTCATATTTATGTGAAATAAGCTAAATAGGTACACGAAATCTGTGGAACTCTTGTAACAGACAAACAATAACAAGTTAGAAAGTATAAAAAGAGATATCAGTCAAAATAGCATGAATATGTAAAGACTTATAGAAAATATTTTAATGAGAAAATTATAATCCACATGGAAACACTGAGATATACTTAACGCAATGTGCGAAAATAAAATCTTATAACCATGTCAAACATTCCAAAATGTGTAAGTTTACTACAAATGGCAATAAAAATCCCACAAGACTTTCTGGAACTCAACAAAATGATTCTGTCAGCAAAAATAAACACTAAATTATTTTTTGATTTTCTAAATTAATTTTCTGAATTTTTATTTGCAAACTAGTTAGAAGACTGTGAACTCAAGAACAGACCTGTCAAACCACTACAGGACAGACTGACTCAAAAATGAATCTAATCTAATCTAATCTAATATAAGGTAATTTAATGTTAGAAGAAGGAGGGGAAGGGGAAATTTTCAATAGTGTTGTAATAACTGGTCAGCAATCTGATACCCCCTACATTAATTACAGGTATCTTTAAAAAGTTAAAAGTTTGTAGAAACAAACAGAAAATAGAAAGAACTAAAATGAAGTATTCATGAAAGTTCTAAAGAGGTGAGGGTTATCTAAGTTTACAAACTGCAGGGAAAGTCAAAATGGAAACAAAACTTAAAATACATAAACTGAAACATCTAGCTGGTTCTTGATAGGCTATCTGTAGCCAAAACATAAAAGCAAATAAGGGACTAGAAAAAAAATCTGAAGTAAACAGGACAATGAAGTATTTTATTAAATTCAGAAATAGTACTAACAAAATTTATAAACCTTTGATAGCCAAGCAGGACAAGGTTATGAGCAGATCATGACCTTGAGCAGACCGCAAAATGTGAGCAGTTTGCTAGAAACAGAAACGGAATGCCAAAGGGTATGTGCATTTAAAATTCTGACATATACCAAACTGGTCTGACAAAAAGGCTATACCATTTACATTCCCACCTACAGTGTATGAGGGAATCTGGTCTCCCATAACCTCATAAGCATAGCATTATCGAACTTTAATTTTTGTCAGTCTGACAGGCAAACAAAAAAAATTCATTTAACGTGCTTTTCCCTAAGGTTAGCCACCTTTACAGATATTTATTGGCACTAGTATAATTTCTTTGAATAAATTAACTGTCTTTGCTCAGTTTTCTATGTCATTACTGTTTTCTTTCGATTTATAGGTACTCTTCTTAAATATTTTTCAGTCCTCAACTTGATGGTATGAAGACACCGTAATTCTAATAAAAGACTTATTAGCATTTGCAATCTGTAATCCAAGTTTCACCAACTTTCATATGATTAAATACAATGCTTCCAAAATGAATGTGAATGTCACACAGAATCAATGTCAGAGTTTTAATGTTAAATATAACAAAACAAAGTATCCAAACATTAGTCTAGACAAATAATTCCAAATGATAATCAACTCCCTGGAATAAAATGTAGAGTTGATTGCTGCTGGAATGAGCAGAGCAAGCAGGGGAGCATTCTTAAGGAATGAGTTCTAGACAATGGTCTTCTATTGTACTAGATCACGCCCTCCTTGATTAAGCAAAATTATAACTCTAATCTGAGCATGCCATTCTCCGGACTAATAGCTCAAAATTACATACAAGATTATCTGGCTACTGTAGCCTACTTTGTACCATTCTCTATGCCCTCGCCCAGGGAAGCAGCACAAATGGTCAATTTATTCAATAAGTCACTGACCAAAAATTATTTCTCTTAACTCCACTAAAGTAACAGCAACCTGCAATACATGAGGTGGTCTCTGTGTTAAAGGCATTTCTTTATTTTTTCTTTCCTTTTTTTTTTTGGCACAGGGTCTTGCTCTATTAACCCAGGCTAGAGTGCAGTGGCATGATCACAGCTCACTGTAGCCATGACTGCCCAGGCTCAAGTGATCCTCCCCACTTCAGCTTCCCAAGTAGCTGGGACTACAGGTGTGCACCAGAATCCCTGGCTAAATTTTTTGTTGTTGTTTTTTGTAGAGACAGGATCTCGCTATATTGCCCAGGCTGATCTCGAGCTCCTGGCCTTAAGCAATCCTCCCACCTTGGCCACCCAAAGTACTGGGATTACAGGCAGGAGCCAATGCACTCAGCTCAGTTTTTTTTTTTTTTTTGGGGGGGGGGTTCCAGCGGTATATTTTATTTCTTTAGAACATCGGTTGCAAAGCTGTTTAGATCTTTCAAAAACATCAACTCTTCTTTTTGACGACAAAATGGTGAATAAATTCAGAACTACAGTTTGTGAAGACACATGACATTTATGATTCATGAAATAGAAATCATGTACTGCTAAAATAAAGTTTCAACTGAGAAATGCAGATTTAATTAAAACTGCACTCTATTCAGTGTTTGAATCCCTACTACGAAAATCAACTGTACAATGATTACTGAATAATCATCTCAAATATAACTTCGGGTGCTGTTTAATGTCACCTTACAGCAGAGTTCTTAGACTCAGGTGTGCATGGGTACAATATCAGAAATTTGTTCAAACTGTAGAAACCCTGAGGCCTGGTGAAACACAGCCTTAGAGTTCTGGAAGGTCACTGAAAAACCATCACTTCTCCTCATGCCAAGGAATGAAGGACTAATGCATAGAACATAAAGGTACATAAAAATGTACATGTCTTTGTTGTGTTATCAACACAGTTATTGCATTTGAACTCTATGCATTCAAACCTTAGACTCAATTACAAAGTGACTCTAAGCATTTCATAATTTTCTAAAAATGTTGATAGTGCAGGCATGTCTACTATTTTTAACTCAGAAGGGAGTTCCATGGAGTTTAGCCCAGTATTTTGGAGCTAGAAGAGAGAATCAGTCATTGAGTCCAAAACTCTACAGGTCAGAAAATGAAGGAGAGAGGGGTCACCTGTGCTCCTTTGGTCAAAGACTTCAGTTGAAGGGTCAGAGAGAATCCAGGCCATCTCCTGACTCGGGATTCTTCCAAGTTAGCAAATACATGATGTTTTCATTACTCAGGGAAAGTGTATAGAACTACTTTCAAAAATATTTTAGGGACAATACACTAGAAGTGTTATCAAGAGATAAATCGCTTTGTAGTTAAAAAGTGAAAACTACAGCCTAAATGAAAGGAAGGGAGAATAAAAGGAAAATCGTATTTTTTTTCAGCTGTCATTATACAAGAGATGTTGCCCCCATTTACCAATGAAAAGACACTGAGGGCCACAGTGTCCCTCTGAGACCCACTTTCCAGGGTCACATAGCTGAAATATGTGGCCAAAACAGTATCTTTCCCAAGGCTTACAACTGTAGGCCCTTGTACTACACTGTGCTATACCTGGTAGGAAAGAATATAGATACACAAACTAAAAAACATCACTTATTTTAAAACTCTTGTTATTTCATGAAATGGCAGACCATAATGATTTGGTGTGGACATTAAACAAAAAGAGTTTATACGCCTCATTAAGACAATTTTCTGGAGCTTTGAATCCATGGTTTATACATAATTGTTCAGTATATTTTGTTTAGCCACAAAATCACAATTGTTAAATCTTTAATTACTGAAATATGAAGTTATGCAATTTATTTTTGAAATCTGTGTATGCTACTCACCAGATTTTTGTTCTTTAAAAAATATTTTGTTTTGCAATTTTCCAAATACAGTAGCCTCACAGTGCATATAGCAATCGTAAGACTTTATCAACCTCTGGTTTCCGAACTCACATCCAACATTCATCACTTTCCTCTATTGAAATTATTCCCCACTAGTGGAGTATTTCTTTTCTTTCTAGTGCAATGACATGCTACAGCACACCATCTTATTGTTTGTGAAATCAATATTTAAGTTGATTCAGGAAAAGTGTATGGAACTAATTTCAAACATCTTTTAGGGACAATTCACTAGAATTGCCCCTAAAACCAGTTATAAGATAAAACCAGGAATTGGATAACAATGATGGACAATATTGTCATTGTCATCCAAATCTTGGTTTTATCTTGTAACTTAATTCAGAATGTTATTTGATGCCTACTTAATGGCTAGTGTTGCTATGTTTCTTAAATACTCACATTGTTTTTCTAATGGTAATACCATAAATCTAAGCCTGGATCTTTCTTTTTACAACTGATAAAAAGTGCATTATGATATTTTAACTGCTATTTACCTTCCTCAGAGAACTGCTGATTCTTCTATGCTGCATAAATATTTATTATTTTAAGGTAATTTGTAATCTAATATTTTGAAGATTCCAAATACATATTTGAAAATACTATTTTCCTGGATTCTAAGTTGCAATAGGTTGAATTAACTTAAAGAAAACAACTTTCCATATGCAATAAGCTATTTATCTGATTACCAACACCTATACAAGGGAAAAATAGCGTTAACTGAAAAAATTATTTTTACTAATGGTTTTTTTTTTTTTTTTTTTTTGAGATGGGGTCTCACTCTGTTTCCCAGGCTGGAGTGCAGTGGCGCGGTCTCGGCTCACTACAACCTCCGCCTCCCAGGTTCACACCATTCTCCTGCCTCAGCCTTCCTAGTAGCTGGGACTACAGGCGCCTGCCACCACGCCTGGCTAATTTTTTGTATTTTTAGTAGAGACGAGGTTTCACCATGTTAGCCAGGATGGTCTCGATCTCTTGACCTCGTGATCTGCCCGCCTCGGCCTTCCAAAGTGCTGGGATTACAGGCGTGAGCCACCGTGCCTGGCCACTAATGGCTGTTCTTTAAATGCTTTTTTGTATGTTGACTTCAATAGGGGTTTGTTTGAAATTGTGCAGTTTCACATGTCAGATACAATAAAGCAGCTTCAGCAAAAAGATTCAACCAAAGAGAAGCTACAAGTCCCTCAACTTGCCCACATTCACATTCCCACATTTCCAATTTGTTCCTCCTGCTTCAGTCAGTACCTAGCCTTGGCACGGCTGCTTCCTCTTCTCTATTTTTTTTTTTTTTTTTTGAGACGGAGTCTCACTCTGTCGCCCAGGCTGGAGTCCAGTGACATGATCTCGGTTCACTGCAACCTCCACCTCCCGGGTTCAAGCGATTCTCCTGCCTCAGCCTCCCGAGCAGCTGGGAATACAGGCGCCCGCCATTACGCCTGGCTAATTCTTTGTATTTTTAGTAGAGACGGGGTTTCACTATGTTGGCCAGGCTGGTCTCGAACTCCTGACCTCACGATTCGCCTTCTTCCGCCTCCCAAAGTGCTGAGATTACAGGCATGAGCCACCGTGCCAGGCCCTCTCTCTTCTATTTAAAAGGATAGGCACAGCCTTTGGAACTGAATGTCTTTCCTCAGGCCTCACAATAGAAAATGAGGAAAGTTCATTGTGACAACTGGCTGCCTTAAGAAACAGAATTTGGGATTCTTTCCCTTCCAGCTCCTGTTGAGTCAAAGGCAAAGGCAATAACCCAATAAATGTGGTGAGACAATAAACGGAAACTGACATAAACATAGCAATAAAAGCCTACTTCCTTCTTGACAATCAATACATAATGGAATGGGTATGATTTCACACCATAAAAGATCAGAGAATAACAGAATTTGGGCTGAAGAAAGCTTAGAAAGAAGCCACAACATTTTCCATACCTTTTGATTTTCAAAACGATATCTTAAGATTTGTCCAGAGTATTTTTCAATTGTTTCAGTGAGGCTCAGTTTGACCACATGTAACCAAAATAGAGAATTTCATGGAGGATGGTCACAGGATTGGCTTAGAAATGTAATCCTGTGAGCTGTCCCGTTTTATAAAGGATAAGGTTCGGATGGCTGCACCGAATGTTCCTCCTTTCAACGAGGCTGGGCCGAGTTGGGCTCCCAGCGGCTAGGGCATTTTTAGTCCATCTTGGTCTCTCACCTCTGCCTCCTGCTTAGCTGTCAGAATGCCAGGTGGCTGTGCAGCCCAAAGCAGCCCACTCCGTTTTAAACTTGCTCAGTTTGCAATCAGGTAACCCGCTACTGACAACAGAACCCTCAAGGCCTGTTTATATGCGGTTCTCAGGTTTAGGTCTAGGGAAGTTTCCAGGAAGCTTAGTGTTCAGGGAGGAATTCGTTTTGCTTTTGCTAATCAAAGAGACACAAAAGCACAGCTGAGTCCCGAAGCTGGCACACGGGAAATGGAGTACAACTGTCCCCTCACCAGAGCATGCAAAAATCATTTGGGGAGCGGGGAAAAGGTCCCCACCTTCCCCGAGCCTGGGGCACCCTTCATGCCACGGCCCCAGCCAGTGGTGGTCTCGACACCATGCTCAGTGCAGTGTCACACGCCAGAGCTGGAAAGGGGAGGTCCAGGCCCAAGTAAAGTGACAGAGTAAGGACACGGTGGTGGCCAAGGGCTGTCCCCTAACCCCAGTTCCGAAAGACAGTGTGGAAGTCCGTCAGCGTGGCAGCCCTTGAAGCGCTCTGCTGGTCTGGCTGCGGTCCCTCCCCTGTGCACCCCCACCTGCTGTGAAGCTCCCCAAGCTCCTTCTTGCCCAAATGCTTTGGAAACTGCCAAAGGACACTCAGAGGCCAGGGAATGTGACAGGCAAGCATAAATATGCAGAAGAGATGGCACCAACATAGCAGGCACGCAGGGCCGGCGCTCGTAGGGGTCGGGGATCTGGAGCCAGGCCTCCTACGCGGCGGCTGCGCCAGCGGTGCCAAGACCGACAGGCGGCATCGATGCACACCGGGCACCGAGTCTGCAAAAGGGGCCCTGAGCGGACTGCCGGACATCTCGCAGACTTCGGGCAGCGATCGTGGCGGCCGCCTCCCCGGGGCTCCACGGCCGACCTGCCGCCTGCCGCGGCCATCCCCGGCCCACTCCTGCCAGGCCCCCGACCGGAGCCCCGGAGGCACCCGCTCTGAGCGGCCGCGCAGCCCGGCTGCATGGAGCCCAGCGCGGTGCTCCGGCTGGCCAAGCCAGACACGGCGCAGGAAACCGCCACCCACCAAGGCAAGGGCAGGAAGAAGATGGCGGCGGCTGTGGCGGCCGCGACAGCGGTGGCCTCAGCTCAATATTTTTTTCTCAAAGGCATATCATAGTTTTAGCTTTGCTGCAGCCATTTCATCCATAATCATTTGCTGTGGCTGGGTAAAGTGATACACACATACTGGTTTAGAGAAATACATGCGCACACTGGTTTAGAGAAATACAAAACGCAATGCCTAGACCTGAAATGTATTTATTTAGATTTGTTAGATGGTGCAGTCAAGTAAATATTTGTGTTATGCTTTAAGCTTTTAAGAAATCTCTTGTATCTAAGATATAAGACACATATGTAAATGACATCCAACTAAGCTGGATCAGGCCAATGTACTGAAAAAGGGCTACCATATGTTGCTACAGGGCCTCACCTGTTGGCCAGGCTGGTCTCCAACTCCTGAGCTCATGTGATCCACCCACCATGGCCTTCCAAATTGCTGGGATTACAGGTGTTAGCCACCACGCCCGGTCTAAATTCTCAACATAAATAATAAAAGCCAGAAGATAATTTGACAGCGCTGAAAGGTTCTAAAGTATGATGGCTTAAAAAAAAAAAAAAAAAAGCTGAAAGAAGAAACCTGCCCACCTAGCATCCAGTGCTCAGTAGCTGTTTCCTTTAAAAACTGATGGCAAAGGTCTGGCGCAGTGGCTCACATCTGTAATCCCATCACTTTGGGAGCCCCAGGTGAACAGATCACGAGGTCAGGAGATTGAGACCAAACTGGTTAACATGGTGAAACCCTGTGTCTACTAAAAATACAAAAAATTAGCCGGGCATGGTGGCACGCGCATGTAATCCTAGCTACACGGAGGCTGAGGCAGGAGAACCACTTGAAACCAGGAGGCGGAGGTTGCAGTGAGCTGAGCTCGTGCCACTGCACTCCAGCCTGGGAAACAGAGTTAGACTCCATCTCAAAGAAAAGAAAAGAAAAAAAGAAAAACATAGCCCAGCGCAGTGGCTCACGCCTGCAATCCCAGCACTTTGGGAGGCAGAAGAGGGTGGAAATGAGGTCAGGAGTTCGACCAACCTGGCCAACATAGTGAAACCCCAACTCCACTAAAAAGACAAAAATTAGATGGGCTTGGTGGCGCACGCTTGTAGTCCCAGCTACTCGGGAGGCTAAGGCAGGAGCATCACTTGAACCCAGGAGGTGGAGGTTGCAGCGAGCCAAGACTGCGCCACGGCATACCAGCCCAGGTGACAGCGAGAGACTCCGTCTCAAAAAAAAAAAAAAAAAAAAAAAAAAAAAAGATGGCAAAATAGACATTTTCAGATGAGAAAAAAAAAATTGTTATGGGAAGACATCCACTGGAAGAAATACCAGGGGGAGCTCTTCAAACTGAACGGAAAATTACCCTACCCCAACTGAAACACAGAGATGCAGAGGGAGCCTGGCCCAAAATACAACTTTTATATCCACTGGGTAACACAAAAATTTGTGTGACTCACTTTATTGCAGTGATGTGGAACCAAACCCGTAACATCTCCAAAGTATGCCTGTAATATTTTACAGCAGCCCTAGGGAAAAAAACATACCATCCAATAAGAATTGTTGTAAACTCTACAAATAATTAGAAGAAATGAGTTTTCCACAAATTTACATCGAACTCTGGGTTCACAGCATCATTCCTTCTTTACAAATAGGGCAATCGTACATCCCAGTTAGCAAGCAACAGTCCTGGCCTATAAAAGCACCCCCCTTGATTCTCAAAAGTGACCTCCTTTGGATAATAAGTTGCATGGTCATCCTATGTATGAACCCATTTAGAATACCTTTCTGTCTGTTCACCTTCAAATCCTACCCTGTTCAAGGATCAAGTGACATCTGACTCCATCTTCCCCACTCACAGGATAATTTTCTCTCCAGTTCCTGTAGCTTTTTATAAATACAGCCATTATAATACTCATGTCCTATTACAATTACTTGCTTACATGTCCACCCCATGCTCTTAGCCACTTAGCACAGTGCCAGGAACTGAGCAGGTACTCAACAGATGTTTTCTAGGTTTCTCAAACGATTAATCAGAAGACTGACAAAGTACCTGCAGAGACAGTGTTCTCTCACTTTTGTCCCTTCCACACTCTCCAGGGCCCAGTGAAGGTGGGAGTAAAAAATTAGCGAACAACTAACTTGACAAGCAGTAGTTCTCAGACTTGAATGCACATCAATATCACTTGGAAGACTAGTTAAAACACAGAGTACTGGGTCCCACCCCAGAGTTTCTGATTCAGCTGGCCTGGGATAGGGCCTGAGAATTCAAATTTAACAAGTTTCCAGGTGATACTGCTAGGAACTACCTTTGAGAACCACTGCTATAAAGAAAACACCATAATTATGAAAATGCCCATTTCTTCTCATGACTTTATTCCTAATGGGAGACTCCCTTTTCTGAATATGAGGGAATATCATCCCATGACAGAAAAAGATCATCCCATGGCAGAAGGCAGAAGGACAAGAGAGTGCGAGAAAGCAAGAGGGCAACAGGGGCTGAACTCTCTTTTACAATAAGCCCACTCTTGTGATTACTAATCTATTACCAAAATAACAACATTAATTCATTAATGAGGGCTCTCTTATTAGGCCCCACATTCCAACTGTTGCATTGAGGATTGAGTTTCCAGCACATAAACTTTAGGGGACACATTTAAACTACAGCAGAGCTTTTATGTAAATTCAACCAACAGGAGATGGGAAAATCAAAGGCATGAGAAAGACAGCAAGGGTGAGCAGAGAAGTATGTGCAGGTTAAGGGAGAAAGTCACAATGAATCCTCTAGTGCAGACTACTTTATCAAAAGCACCTAAAAAAGATCTCATTAACTCCCCGAACTCACCTCCACCCACATCTAAAGAGCCACACACAGCATCACCAAAGGCAGCACAATGAGAACAGCGTTCTCCTCAACAGATAGGCTGTGAGTATCCAGACAGACACCCGACCTCAACAGCTCCAGAACAGCCCCAAGACAGCTCCTCCCTAACCACCACTCAAGTAACCAGCTGGAAAAGTATTCAGAAAACCCGCATCCTGACACACCACTACCAAACAACTTAAACAGCAAAGAACAACCCATTTAAACAGCAATGCCAGCTGCCAGGAAAAGCAGGGACAATAAGTAGAGGAAAAGCAGACTCCTTGGGGTCCGCCAAGACACAGTCTCTCAGCATCAGCACTTTCAAATGTAGAATCCACACACCCCTGGGGCCTGCGGAGCTCCACAAGGCATGCTGTCCTCAAAGATAAATGAGCAGGCAAACTGGACAGAAAACCACTCAGGGTATTACTCTTTAAAATATCTTTACAGGGTCAAAGACAAATGGGTCTACAGGCTATGTGTATTCCCAACAGATTCTGAGAATGATGTCACTATCCCTTTCAAGATGTGTTTAACATATCTTGTGTTAAACAAGATGTGGACACTTGTATTCCTGCCACTGAACACCACTGCTTTGCTAATTTGAACTGATTCCAGCTAACACTACCCCAGCTCCCTGGATCTGGTTACCATTAGCCAAGATTGTCATCCATATTGTAACCTTTTAAAGAGTCCTAAAAACTACTCTTCCAAGACAAGTAAAAATATCTGCCAAAGAAATGAAGAAAAAAGATTCAGAGAGAGAATAGAATTAACATACTACCAAGAGAGCAAAAAGTGAAGGAAGAGGAAAAACTAGGAAAATCATATGTGGACTCACACCTATTTCCAAAGTGGGCTAATATCCTTTTGCTTGTGTCTAAATGAGGTACCAATTTTAAACTGCTACTGAAAAAAAAAAAAAAGAGAGAGAGAGAGAGAAAGAAGCAGGCCCAGGCCCAGGCCCAAGCCCAGGCCCAGTGGCTCACACCTGTAATCTCAGCACTTTGGGAGGCCAAGGCAGGTGGATCACCCAAGGTCAGGAGTTAAAGACCAGCTTGTCCAACACAGTGAAACCCCATCTCTACTAAAAATTTAAAAAAACTAGCCAGACGTGGTGGTGCATGCCTATAATCTCAGCTATTTGGGAAGCTGAGGCAGGAGAATCATTTGAACCCGGTAGGCGGAGGTTGCAGTGAGCCGAGACAGTGCCACTGCACTCCAGCCTGGGCACCAAGAATGAAACCCCATTTCAAAAAAAAAAGAAGCAGGCCCAAATCGTAAAGTAAAACTTTTAGCATAGAAAATAAGAATTGGTGAGAATTCCATTCCCTGGTTACTTACCCCATAGGCTGAAGAGCTGCCTCTGCATCTAAGGATCAGGGCATTCTGTGTTCGATGGCAGAATCCAAGTCAGAATGCAGCACAATCCCTGAAAAGTGAGAACACCAGGGTGAGTTATCCTGACCTTGAGATTGCTTCTCTAGCTCTTTCATTTAAAAAAAATATAAGAACCAAGAAGGAGATCCCCTCTTGCCACCTCAGTTATTTGAACTCAGCTACTCAAGTTCTATTTTGTCAAGATCAAGGGCTCCCGTGAGTGACTGTGAGGGAAATCTGATCACTCAGAGGGCTAAAGGTAACCTTATGAAACATGAAGATGTGAAAGGAGAACGTAGCTGCTGCTCAGAAACTCCACTAGCCCATCTTGAAAAGAAATCATCTACAAACAGCGTAATTCCCTGTTTCCAATTCTAGTTTTGTTGGGTGTCCCTAAACTTTTCTGCCTTTTTGTTTTTTTTTTTTTTTGGAGACAGTCTTGCTCTATCCCCCAGGCTAGAGTGTAATGGTGCAATCTCGGCTCACTGCAACCTCCGCCTCCTGGGTTCAAGCGATTCTCATGCCTCAGCCTCCCAAGTAGTTGGGATTACAGGTACACACCATCACACCCAGCTGATTTTTGTATTTTTAGTAGAAATGGGGTTTCACCATATTGGCCAGGCTGCTCTTGAACTTCTGACCTCAGGTGATCTGCCTGCCTCAGCTGCCCAAAGTGCTGGGATTACAGGCGTGAGCCTCCGTCCCCAGCCTTCTGCTCATTCTTATTTCGCCCACCTAATGTAAGAAAACTAAGCTAAAATACATTTTGTAACCAAACCAAAAGGAAGCTCTCTAGGAGGTATGGCTACTATACTCAGGAGACTTGAACTTTCCTTGACCCAAAAATGGCTATCTGGAAGTCAGCATCCTCAGAGTACATTAATGCCGGGTGCGGTGACTCACACCTGTAATCCAGCACTTTGGGAGGCTCAGGCAGAAGGATCACCTGAGCGAAGGAGTTTGAGACCAGCCTGGCCAAAACACAAAATACAAAATTTGGCCAGGCATGGTGGTGCGCGCCTGTAATCCCAGCTACTCAGGAGGCTGAGGCTGAGGAAGGAGAATTGCTTAAGCCTGGTGGCAGTTAGCCAAGATTGTACCACTGCACTCCAGCCTGGATGACAGAGTGAGACTCTGTATCAAAAAAAGGAAGAAAGAAAAAAAAAGCTTGAGTGATCCCTACACTGCACATGTTCATATTGATAAATCAAGGAGTGCCTGTATCGAGCTTCAGCAAAAGATTTTTTGGGGAGGTGAAGGAAGGAGCAGTTCCATCAAATTAAAAGATTAATTTTTAAAAGCTTAAAGATTAATCTGTGCTTTTAAAAAGGATTTCACAACTATGTTACCTGTTGTATTTGTTCTAGGCTGAGTAACGTCAGTTGTATTATAAGAAGTTCTGATCTGTAAAAACATAGTTGATATTAGTATTATAATAAAGCATTTAGAAGAAATCTATAGGCCTTTCTCACACAGCTGTGCACTGCTAATAATAATAATTATTATTATTATTGAGACTGAGTCTCATTTTGTCACCCAGGCTGGAGTGCAATGGCACAATCTCGACTCCCTGCAACCTCTGTCTCCCAGGTTCAAGCAATTCTCCTGCCTCAGACTCCCGAGTAGCTGGGACCACAAGTGTGCCCCACCACACCCAGCTAATTTTTGTATTTTTAGTAGACACAGGGTTTTGCCATGTTGGCCAGGCTGGTCTCGAACTCCTGACCTCAGGTGATCTACCTGCCTCAGCCTCCCAAAGTGCTGGGATTACAAGCATGAGTCACTGTGCCCAGCCAATTTTTAAACATGGTCCACTCTGCCTTCATTTTACAGTGAAAAAACTCATTCTGGTGACTTGAATTTTGAAAATAGCAATTTTCAGACACTCAGGTGAGACCATCTAGATGTCTCCAAAGTCATCTTTTTTATAAGATAAATATGCAAAAGTCACTTTTCCCCCAAACCAGCTCAATTCTGTTTCTGAATCTTGGATGAACTGTCCCACAACACAGCCAGAAGCAGCTTGCATCATCTTAAACCTTTCCTCTCCCTTATAACTCAGTCCCAACAAATATACACAGATACACAACCCCAATCAGTAAACAAGACTCTGCCCACTTCAACATTCCTTCCATGAGTAGAGAGAGGCCTTCTGTTCCTACCCCCCACACTCAAACTACCCACTGTGTTATCCTTCAAAATCAACCCAGAATAATCTTTCTAAAGGACAGATCCACATTATTTTAAGAGAGAAGTGCTATGAGACCATTTAATGACTACCACTGCTTTTGTAGGATCTAAGGCCTTCCTCCACTTGGCCACCCAAGTCTATCTATGCAATCCTACAATGCCCACATGGCACTCCTCACTCCACACAGAATAGGTGAGGTATGTGAACATGTGAGCATACCTGACACCTCCCTGCCTTTACTCATATTTGAAACACGTTCCCTCCCTTCTGGATGCACAAGTGACTGATTGGGGTGTGCCACCTACCTCCTGAAGCTGGTTTATCAAGTTGTAAATCTTCATGTGTTGAATTCATAAGATCATGTCTGAAAGGTGAGAATAAATAATATTCACTAGGCAATATTCAGCAAATATCCGCTAGTATTTATTTAACATTTAATCACATTTAACATTTCATCACCAAGGGTGGTTTTGAAAAGAAAAGACAGGCTGGGCATGGTGGCTCACGCCTGTAATCCCAGCACTTTGGAAGGTAGAGGCTGGCAGATCACAAGGTCAGGAGTTCAAGACCAGCCTGGCCAACATGGTGAAACCTCATCTCTACTAAAAATACAAAACTTAGCCAGCCATGGTGGCAGGTGCCTGTAATCCCAGCTACTTGGGAGGCTGAGACAGGAGAATCGCCTGAACCCAGGAGACAGAGGTTGCAGTGTGTCAAGACCATGCCACTGCACTACATCCTGGGTGACAGAGCAAGACTCCAAATCGGGGAAAAAAAAAAATTAAGAAAAGAAAAGACAATCTGGATGCTTGAGCACCACTAAATCTTCATTTGAGGTTTCTACAAAGTAACAAAACAAAGTAATAATTGCAAATTGTCTCATAACGTGCTTCACAGAGCATGTGTCCTCAAAAGTAAAGTGGTAACTTTGCAACCCACAGGTATTTGAAGCACATTACAAAAATCTTAAATGGGATCCTTTAATATCACATTGCATTCAAGACTATCTTCCTCTACACATCTAGAAAAACAATCATATATTCCCACATATGCTTTAAAAATCTCAGGCCTAAAAACAAGACATGGATACTATTCTATTTTTAGCAAAAGTAACAGAAAATTGTGAAAGAAAATGTCAGTTGCACGCCAGTCAGGTGTGGGCAGTGTTCATGTTTCGAAAGGTAACACTGGCATGACTGACTCAATGTTGGACCCAGGTAAATTAAAAAGTGGTACATAAAAATACATAAAACAGGCTGGGCGCAGTGGCTCTCACCTGTAATCCCAGGACTTTGGGAGGCCGAGGCAGGCGGATCACCTGAGATCGCAAGTTAGAGACCAACCTGACCAACATAGAGAAACTCTGTTCCTAATAAAAATACAAAATTAGCCAGGCTTGGAGGCGCACACCTGTAATCCCAGGTACTCAGGAGGCTGAGGCAGGAGAATCTCTTGAACCCGGGAGGCAGAGGTTGCAGTGAGCCAAGATGGCGCCATGGCACTCCAGCCTGGGCAACAAGAGTAAAAACTCCGTCACACAAAAAAAAAAAAAAAAAAAAAAAAATTCCTGTGGGAAGGCCTTCTACATAAAGATCTTCAACATGAGACTGGAAAAAAGGGGTGGACCTTTGGCTTTTACAGCTTGAGCTATAAGGACAAAAGGAAAAAAGGATATCATTTAAACACAATATGTAGAAAAAAATATTGAATCTGTATTGCTCTTTAATTTTTATAATCTGAACTTCACTTGTTTTTGTAATTGAGTCAAAAGAAAAATATTATGAGTAAAATAAAAACACCACCAAAAATGCTAATATTCTGTTTATCAAAGTCTGCAGTGAAATATCCCATTACAGATGAGTGCAGTGACTCACACCTGTAATCCCGGCACTTTAGGAGGCCAAGACGGGTGAATCAACTGAGATCGGGAGTTCGAGACCAGCCTGGCAAACATGGTGAATCCCCATCTCTACTAAAAATACAAAATTTAGTCAGGCAAGGTGGCAGGCACCTGTAACCCCAGCTACACGGGAAGCTGAGGCAGGAGAATTGCTTGAACCCAGGAGGCACAGGCTGCAGTGAGCTGAGATCACAGCACTGCACTCCAGCCTAGGCAACAACAGTGAAACTCCACCTCAAAAAACAACAACAACAACAACAACAAAAAAACAGTTAAGAGAATCGTGGAGCTGTGTCCTACTCATTGTATTTACTTTCCTAAAATAAAACAACATTATAGAAAACATTATGACCAGGCGCAGTGGCTCAAACCTGTAATCCCAACTCTTTGGGAGGACGAGGCAGACGGATCATAATATCAGGAGTTTCAGACCAGCCTGGCCAACATGGTGAAACCCCATCTCTACTAAAAAATTACAAAAATTAGGGCCGGGCGCAGTGGCTCATGCCTGTAATTCCAGCACTTTGGAAGGCCAAGGCAGGTGGATCATGAAGTCAGGAGATCAAGACCATTCTCGCTAACATGGTGAAACCCCATCTCTACTAAAAATACAAAAAATTCGCCGGGTGTGGTCGCAGGTGCCTGTAGTCCCAGCTACTTGGGAGGCTGAGGCAGGAGAATGGTATGAACCCGGGAGGCGGAGCTTGTAGTGAGCCGAGATCGCACCACTGCATTCCAGCCTGGGCAACACGGCAAGACTCCATCTCAAAAAAAAAAAAAAAAAAATTACAAAAATTAGCCAAGCATGGTGGCGTGCACCTGTAATCCCAGCTACTCAGGAGACTGAGGCAAGAGAATTGCTTGATCCTGGGAGGCAGAGGTTGCAATGAGCCAAGATAGCAGCACTGCACTCCAGCCTGGGTGACAGAGGAAGACTCCATTTCAAAAAAAAAAGAACAGCTAGCAGGTGCCATTTGCTATGGGGAGACTAGGGATATGATCTTGCTGCAATCCTTCCATTTTAGTAAATCTTAACAGTGTGATTCCATTGTTTTGTCCCCATTTCACTCCAGAAGCAAAACAAGTATGAAAACCAATTCTACTTCTGTTTCTTTCAAAACACATCTAACAATTAAGAGATGAAAAAAAGAAAATGAGTTCACTGTTTTAGAGAGTATTCGAATTTTGACAACGTGAGGCCAGGCGGAGTAGCTCTCGCCTGTAATCCCAGCACTTTGGAAGGCCGAGATGGATCACCTGAGGTTGGGAGTTCGAGACTAGCCTGATAAACACGGAGAAACCCCGTCTCTATTAAAAATACAAAATTATCCGGGTGTGGTAGTGCATGCCTGTAATCTCAGCCACTCGGGAAGCTGAGGCAGGAGAATTGCTTGAACCCAGGAGGCAGAGGTTGCAGTGAACCAAGATTGTGCCATTGCACTCTAGCCTGGGCAACAAGAGCAAAACTCCATCTCAAAAAAAAAAAAAGAATTTTGACAACATGAATTCTCCTATCCTGGAACATAATTAATAGTTACAGGCATATTATTTCATGTGGAAGGTACCATTTTAAAAAAAAACAATGTTAAGCATTAAATAATTATTGCACATAATCTTTTTTTTTTTTTTTTTTTTTTGAGACAGAGTCTTGCTCTGTCGCCCAGGCTGGAGTGCAGTGGCGGGATCTCGGCTCACTGCAAGCTCCGCCTCCTGGGTTCATGCCATTCTCCTGCCTCAGCCTCCCAAGTAGATGGGACTACAGGTGCCCGCCACCACACCCGTCTAATTTTTTGTATTTTTAGTAGAGATGGGGTTTCATCCTGTCAGTCAGGATGGTCTCCATCTCCTGACTTCGTGATCCACCCGCCTCGGCCTCCCAGAGTGCTGGGATTACAGACGTGAGTCACTGTGGCCGGCCTGCATATAATCTTCCAATCTGACTTAAGACTGAAGACCTACCTCCTGAAGCTGGTTTATCAAGCTGTAAATCTTCACATCTTAAATTCATAACTTCATGTCTGAAAGGTGAGAATACTTAATATTCACTAGGCAATATTCAGCAAAGTAACATCCACTAGTACATATTTAACATTGAATCACCAAGGATGGTTTTGAAAAGACAAGACAGGCTGGGCACGATCGCTCACACCTGTAATCCCAGCACTTTGGGAGGCCGAGACTGGCAGATCACAAAATCAGGAGTTCTAGACCAGCCTGGCCGACATGATGAAACACTCTCTCTACTAAAAATACAAAAATTAGCCGTGTGTGGTGGCAGGTGCCTGTAATCCCAACTACTCGGGAGGCTGAAACAAGAGAATTGCTTGAACCCAGGAGGCGGAGGTTGCAGTGAGCCAAGGTCATGCCACTGCACTCCAACCTGGGTGACAGAGCAAGACTCCATCTTGGGAAAAGAAGAAAAAATAAGAAGAGAAAAGATAATCTGGATGCTTGAGCCCAACTACACCTTCATTTGAGGTTTCTACAGAGTGACAAAACAAAACAATAATTGTAAATTGTCACATAAGGTGCTTCATGGAGCATGTGCCCTCAAAAGTGGTAACTTTGCAACCCACAGGTCTTTGAAGCATATTACAAAAATCTTAAATGGGATCCTTTAATATCACACTGCATTCAAGACTATCTTCCTCTACACATCTAGAAAAACAATCATATATTCCCACATATGCTATAAAAATCTTAGGCCTAAAAGCAAGACATGGATATTATTATTTTTAGCAAAAGTAGCAGAAAATTGTGAAAGAAAATGTCAGTTGCATGCCAGTCAGGTGCGGGCAGTGTTCATGTTTCAAAAGCTAACACTGGCATGACTGACTCAATGTTGGACCCAAATAAATTAAAAAGTGATACATAAAAATACATATAATAGGACGGACGTGGTGGCTCAAGTCTGTAATCCCAGCACTTTGGGAGTCCAAGGCGGGCAGATCACAAGCTCAGGAGTTCAAGACCAGCCTGGCCAATAATGGTAAATCCCCGTCTCTACTAAAAATGCAAAAATCAGCGGGGCATGTTGGTGGACACCTGTACTCCCAGCTACTCGGGAGGCTGAGGCAGGAGAATTGCTTAAAGCTGGGAGGTGGAGGTTGCAATGAGCCGAGATCATGCCACTGCCCTCCAGCCTGGGCGACAGAGCAACACTCCATCTCAAAACAACAACAACAACAACAAAAAACATAAAATAACTCAAACTTAATTAAATATAACCCTAATGGGGAATGATTATTTGTCAACAATAACAAAGATATATTACTCAGAACAGAGATAAGAGTCCAACAAGAATCCAAGAGTCTTACTTTTTAATCACAAAACAAATCCTTTCCTTTCCAAGTAATATCCTCTCAAGGCCAGGAATTCTGTAAGTAGATAGCCTTCTTAAAAAACATTCCTGGCGGGACAAGGTGGTTCATGCCTGTAATCCCAGCATTTTGGGAGGCTGAAGCGGGAGGATCACCTGAGGTCAGGAGTTCAAGACCCACCTGGCCAACATGGTGAAACCCCAACTCTACTAAAAATACAAAAATTAGGAGGGTATGGTGGTGGGTGCCTGTAATCACAGCTACTCAGGAGGCTGAGCTAGGAGAATTGCTTGAATCTGGGAGGCAGATGTTGCAGTGAGCCGAGATCACACCACCGCACTCCACCATGGGTAACAGGAGCGAAACTCTAGCTCAAAAAAAACAAACAAATAAATAAATAAAGAGAAATATCCTATTGCTTTAAGGCAATGTAGACACAGCCAGACTTTCTAAAAAAATCTGAACCACATTATAAAGCCAAAAAAAAAAAAACTGTCTACTTTTATTTAATACATATAGTACTAAATGGAAGAGGTAATATTTTCAAAACATAAACATTAGTGTAACCTTATTGGACTTTTACAAATAATTTTTTAAATAACAGAAGAAGATTCTCATGAACTGCAACATTTCAGCGAGCATTTATTTACTCAAGATTAAAATAATACAACAGCTATAAAGAGTCAAGAGCTGACCAGGTGTGGTGGCTCATGCCTGTAACCCCAGCACTTTGCGAGGCCAAGGCAGGTTGATCACCTGAGGTCAGCAGTTTGAGACCAGCCTGGCCAACATGGTGAAACCCCATATGTACTAAAAATACAAAAATTAGCCAGGCAAGGTGGCACTCGCCTGTAGTTCCAGCTACTGGGGAGGCTGAGGTGAAAGGATCGCTTGAACCTGAGAGGTGGAGGTTGCAGTGAGCTGAGATGGTGCCACTGCACTCCAGCCTGGGTGACAGAGCAAGACTCTCTCTCAAAGAAAAAAAAAAAAAGGTCAAGAGCATGGGAAGTATTAAAATCAAACATAATCAACGGTCTTCCATCAGAACAGCTCCATTTTTTGCTATCATTATGTGTCAATGTCTATTTGCTAAACATCGATATCTATACTAAAGTTTCAAGTGTACTATATAACACATTAGTGCTGACTTAGGTTTAATATCCTTTGCTGTACACTAAACTTCAGTATCATACTTATATATCACAACAAAACTATCTTTCTCTAAGGTAATTACCATTAATATTGCTTTAAAATTATGAAATGTGAAGATTGTTTTTGTAATTTCACAACAGCTGAACATTATTGTCTTTAAACAAAATAATCTAATAAATCACCATCACAACAAAAGCCCCACAACATTAATGTTTCACCTTACAAAAAGCATTGACATTTATAAAATTGTCATAGTCAATTTATAAGACTGTAATAGCAAATTATTTTTACTCAGAATAGTACTAAATTAACAATATAATAAAAACATAATGGTGGCTCACATCTGTAATCCCACTTTGGGAGGCAGGTGGATCACTTGAGGTCAGGAGTTCGAGGCCAGCCGGGCCTACATGGAAAAACTCTTGTCTCTACTAAAAATACAAAAATTAGCTGGTATTAGCTGGGCATAGTGATGTACGCCTGTAATCACAGCTACCTGGGAGGCTGAGGCAGCAGAATTTCTCGAACCAGGGAGGCAGAGGTTGTAGTGAGCTGAGATAGTGCCACTGCACTCCAGCCTGGGTGACAGAGCAAGATTCTGTCTCAATCAATCAATCAATCAACCAATAAAAACATAAGAAGGAAGCATTTACTATGTATTTATATGCCTGGTATTATGTGAAGCACTTTACTATCTTATCAAATCTTTGGGATAAATCTTCAGTTCTCATGAACACAAAAGAGGATACTAAGGCTCAGAAGGAGAAGAGATGTGGCCAGGCTGTGTCCCCAGAGCCTATGATCTCACCACTAGGTTACAGTGCTTCCAAATAACACGTTATGAGGTTTTTGCTTTAAAATGAACCAATAAAAAACAAAGGCAAAAAAGGCATAAGCTATTAAAAAGTAGGAGAAACACTAAAAGAGCCTTAAGCACATAACTAAAAATATTATGGAAAAGTTATTAATTAATTAGCAAATTTACTCTAATTCTAGACTTTCATTGAGGGGTACGTTATATTACTCATGATGAAGAGAAAATGTTCACTTCAAGTATATTAACATAAACACCATTAATATGGTTTATCATGTTTAAATGTTCACTTAAAGCACTTCAGTTAAAATTCTGCGTATCACACAATTCTATAGCTTGCTAGTAGACTGCAAAGTAAATAGTCATTCAAATAAAAACGGCAAAACACATGATGTTTTTCGCAGGTTGTTGCTATTTTTAGGTAAGCATTTGCTATATACCATCAAAGAGATAACAACAAATTGCTAATTTCTTTCATCATTATATAAAGGTGGCTTTAGGATAGAACAGTATAAGGGCAAAGAAGAATTTGAAATCTAACGTCAACTCGGCAATGCATCAAGATAAAAAGTAGAGACAATAGGGGCATCTTGATGAATATCGAATTTTTTTTTTTTAGACAGAATTTTGCTCTTGTTGCCCAGACTAAGAGTGCAATGGTGTGATCTTGGCTCACCACAACCGCCACCTCCCAGGTTCAAGCAATTCTCCTGCCTTGGCCTCCTGCGTAGCTGGGACTACAGGCATGCGCCACCACACCCGGATAATTTTGTGTTTTTAGTAGAGAAAGAGTTTCTCCATGTTGGTTAGTTTGGTCTCGAACTCCCATCTCAGGTGATCCGCCTGCCTCGGCCTCCCACAGTGCTGGGATCACAGGCATGAGCCACCATGCCTGGCCAAATAACAAATTTAACAAAGCAGATTGAGAGAAACAATTAGTTTAAAAAAATAAAAAATGGCCTGGTGAGTTGGCTCACGCCTATAATCCCAGCACTTTGGGAGGCCAAGGTGGGTGGATCACAAGGTCCAGAGTTCAAGACCAGCCTGGCCAAGATCGTGAAACCCCATCTCACCTAAAAATACAAAATTAGTGGGGCGTGGTGGTGGGCACCTGTAATCCCACCTGCTCAGTAGGCTGAGGCAGAGAATTGCTTGAACCTGGCAGACGGAGGTTGCGGTGAGCTGAGATCACACCACTGCACTCCAGCCTCGGCGACAGAGTGAGACTCCATCTCAAAAAAAAAAAAAAAAAAAAAAAAAAAAAATATATATATATATATATATATATATATATATATGTTCAATTAAATCCCTAAGATCCAGGGATTTGCAATAAGCATGTAAATAAATCCCAAATATTATGCTGAAAGTTTAAAAGAAATGCTAATTGATAATTAGAGAAATACAACTTTTCCTTAGCTTTCTAGTAATCTAGAAACAAAGAATGTTTCTAATATTTAGACAGACACTACAAAGTACCTTACAAGGAGAGACGTGTAAGGATGGCGTGACTCACCAGCAGCCCTGGGCTTGTCCACAGTACCCCCATGATGAACAGTAACTCCACTGTGTAAATGCTCATGAACAAACTATTACAGGACTTTTCCAGTTTAGACACACTGTATTTTCTTTCAGACAATTCTTCAACTTGTTTACATAGATCAGCAATAAGATTATTCCATTTCTCTGAAAATTGACCAAAAGTTGATTCTCAATACATCCCTATGTCAAAGCAGCAATAACATATAATGACTTATTTTCTATATTTTACATCCTAACAGATCATATCATTTTACTGCTTTTGAAAAAATTTTTCCCCTTTTTGGTGGTTCTTAGAATTACTTTAAAGGGAGACTATAAGAGAAGTTTTAAAGTTTAGTACCTCTTTTTAGTCTTTTAATTCTGAAAAGCAGAAGGGCAGAGAAGATCAATCAAATTAAACACAACAGCAGGGAGGCCACAATGAGGTCTCCAGGGGTCTTTTAGCAAACTTCCTAAAACATGTCTCAGCTGTGTGGAAATAAGATTTTACAGTGGTGGTGGTGCAGGCCTGTAATCCTAGCCCTTTGGAAGCAGAGGCAGGGCAGATCCTTTGAGCTAAGGTCAACACAGCAGAAACCCCCCCTCCCCTCCCCGACCCCCCAGTCCCATCCCCGTCTCCACCAAAAATACAAAAGTTAGCCAGGTGTGGTGGCAGACAGCTGCAGTCCCAGCTACTTGGGAGGCTGAGGCAGAATTGCTTGAACCCAGGAGGCAGATGTTACAGTGGGCCGAGACGGTGCCACTGCCAGCCTGGATGACAGAGCAATACTCCGTCTCAAAAAACAAAAACAAAAACACCAGGTTAAGAGAGACCCCAGACCTTACAGATACAAGTTTAACAGGGACCCCAAAGCAAAAAATCCCAACCCTTTTTCTCCCAATCATTGAAACACCAGGAGGGTGTAATAGTTTTGCAGCCTAGCTGTAGTAGGCTGATGCCCCCAAGATGCCCACATCATAATCCCTGGAACCAGTGAACATGACCTTATATGGCAAAAGGGGCTTTGCAAGTATAATGAAGTTAAGAGTCTTTGGCCAGCTTGTCCCCACAGGGTTTATGTACTCACCTGGATCCTTATAAGAGCAGAGCAGGTGATGGAGAGCGGTGGGAGGTGTAGTGATGAAAGCAGGAAACGCGAGTCATTCGAGAAGGGCAGCACAAGCTGAGGAGTACAGGCCGCCTCCAGGGCCAGGAAACGGATTCTCCCGCAGAGCCTGGAAAGGCACTGACCCTGCTCCCACCTTGACTCAGTGGGACTGACTTTAGAATTCTGGCCTTCAGAAATGTAAAGGAATACCTCTATGCTGTTTTAAGCCACTAAGTGTGTGGTAATTTATTGCGGCAGCAACGGGGAACTAGTATTGTAGTGAAGCCTCAATACCCACCTGAAGGGGCCAGGCGCAGTGGCTCACGCCTGTAATCCCAGCACTTTGGGAAGCCGAGGTGGGCAGATTACTTCAAGTCAGGAGTTCCAGACCAGCCTGGCCAACATGGTGAAACCCCGTCTCTACAAAAATTAGACAGGTGTGGTGGCGCATGCCTGCAATCTCAGCTACTCAGGAAGCTGAAACATGGGAATCACTTGAACCCGGCAGGGGGCGGGGGAGGGGGTGAAGGTTGAAGTGAGCCAAGATCATGCCACTGCACTCCAGTCTGGGAGACAGAGTGAAACTGTGTCTCAAAAAAAAAAAAAAAAAAAAAGGAAAAAAGAAAATGGCTTTGGCAGAGGGGCTGGCCAGGCAGTGCCTTCCCTTGGGTTTCTCCTGGGTAGGCCTCTGCCATGAGGAGGCGCTTCCTTCTGCCTGTCCATGGCCCACAGCAAAGGAATGTCTGCTTCTGGGGGTTGGATGGGGGACTGCTGGCAGAACTGGAAACCTTCTTCAGGTGGGTTTTTTTTTTTTTTTTGAGACGGAGTCTCACTCTGTCACCCAGGCTGGAGGGCAGTGACACAATCTCAGCTCACTGCAACCTCTACCTCCCCAGTTCAAACGATTCTCCTGCCTCAACCTCCCGAGTAGCTGGGATTACAGGAGCATAGCATACCTAGCTAATTTTTGTATTTTTAGTAGAGACAGGGTTTTGCCATGTTGCCCAGGCGGGACTCGAACTCCTGGCCTCAAGTGATCCACCTGTCTCAGCCTCCCAAAGTGTTGGGATTACAGGCATGAGCCACCGCCCCCAGCACTCGTCAAGGTCTTTGATGGCAGGTTTTTCCAGGTGATCAGTCCTTGTCTGGTCTGGCTCTGTCCCACTCTCCCTCTCACCAAGTTCGAACCCCTAGCTAGTTTTCAGAGGAGTAGAGTGTGTACCCCAATCCCAACTGGGTATGGTTCAGATCTGCATTTAACTCATGAAGCCTGGCTGCTCCGCAGGTCCTGGAGAAAAAAAGAGTCTCGCTGCAGGTATGATACAGGACAGGCTTGTCCCCAGGACCCGCCTGTCCCCAGGAAGAGGGAAGCCCAATGTCCCACCAGGTTGGCAGGGCTGGGGAAGGGAAAGTGTTATAGTAGCCCCAAGACTAAAAAGAGGCAGCAGAGGGAGCAGGACAGTGCTCCCATGGAACTCAAGCCGCTGCCTGAGTGAGGTGAGGGAAGAGTGCACCCACTGACATCAGGGGGCAGAGAGGTGCGGTTCCAGCGCGGCTTTTCCCCTTGCGTCTTGCCATGTGACTCTGATCCCCTCCAGGTGAGCCTGCCCACTTTGGGCCCAGGGTTGCCGCTGGGGCCTGTACCCAAAAGCAGCCCCCCATGGCCATGACCCCACTCCCAGGAGTGGGGCAGAGCAGGGAGGAGTCCTGGAAAGAGGAGACGCAGGGACAAGAAGGAATGGGCCTCAAACTCCAGGAGGGGGACCTTCTCATGGGTCCTGTTTTCTGGTCTCTCCTCGCTTACCCCTGGGCTGATCACCCTGGGAAGAACTGAGCCAAGGTTTCTCACCCTCAGGTCCAAGGGGTTCAATTACCGGGCCCTTAGGGAGATGCGAGCCCCCTAAAACGATGCAAAGTTCCTGGCCTAATTTTTATATTTTTAGTAGACATGGGGTTTCACCCATGTCTACTGATCGGAATGCCTCGAGCACACAAAATGTTGGAATTTACAGGCGTGAGCCAACGTGCCCGGCCAGCCCTATTTATTTCAGCCTATACATTTTGCACTTGTTAAAAGTATTTGAACATACAATTATCATGTTTTCTTTAAGCAGTCCCTCCCTGTTGTACACTTGGATAGTTTATTTTTTTAGACAAGGTTTACCTCCGTCTCGCAGGATGGAGTGCTGTGATGGGATCATAGCTCATTGCAGCCTTGAACCTTGGGGTTCAAGTATCTGGGAAGCTGAGGTGGGACTACAGAGATGGGGTCGCGCCATGTTGCCCAGGCAGCTCTTTAACTCCTGGCCTGAACGGATCCTTCCGCCTCGGCCGAGCCTGGACATAGTTTTCTAGTTTTGACCCACAGAAACACTGTGCTGGGTCGGAGTTTGTCAACCACCCTTCTCCAGCCAGCAACACACAGAACATGGCGGGGAAGTCGCGGTTACCAGGCTCCACTCCGAGGAAAAACCAGCGCAGCTCCAGGCACTGTAGCGCCACTGTGACGTCGCCGAAGGCCGGCGCTATTACGACGCCGGAAGGCCCGCGCCTGTGACGTCAGCTGAGGCGCGCCCCTGTGATATCTCACAGGCCCGCCCCTTCTGTAGAACCAATCGGAACTCGAGGCGCAGCGGCTGGGTATTCCAGGAGAGCGCATGCGCAGACGCATGGCCACAGACTGCCGGTCAGTGTCAGCAGGCGGTGGGTTAGGGTCCGCAGGCCCAGACCAGGCCGCCGACACCAATAAGCTACAAGGAGGAGCTTTACCGCTGCCTGTACTACTACTGCCTGCGCTACTTCCCAGCCTGCGGCGTAGGGCGCAGCAAGGGCCTGACGCTTAGCGAGCAGGCGCTGCGCACCAAGCGGCTGTCGCCTGGAGGGCACGTTCAGGCAGAAGCTCCTCAGTGGCCACAAGTCCGCTAGCTCCGGCTACAGCCCTTGCCGCACACTCGCGTCACCTGAGCCTGTGTAGGTGCGCCCCCCAACTCCTCCCCCAGCCAGGTCCCGGGGACGCCGGCAGCGTCCCCCACCCCTGGCGCCGCTCATCCTGGGCAGGATCGGCCCCGTCTGAGGCTGCACCGCATTAGGGAGCTGCACCCCTCGGCTTGACCTCTGATGGCCGTTGCAACAACATCAAAGCCTTTGGAACTTTGTAGGGGGTACGAGGGGCTAGGAAACCAAGAAAACATCTTTTTAAAAATATAAGCGATCGGGCCGGGCGCGGTGGCTCACGCCTGTAATCCCAGCACTTTGGGAGGCCGAGACAGGTGGATCACGAGGTCGGGAATTCAAGACCATCCTGGCCAGCATGGTGAATCCCGTCTCTACTAAAAATGCAAAAATTAGCCGGGCGTGGTGGCGGGCACATGTAATACCAGCTATTCGGGAGGTTGAGGCAGAGGCAGACAATTGCTTGAACCCGGGAGGCAGAGGCTGCAGTTAGCCGAGATCGTGCCACTGCACTCTAGCCTGGGCGACAGACCAAGACTCCGTCTAAAAAATAAAAAACTATATATATGTGTGTGTATATATATATATATATATGCGATGGAGCCCGGGAGGTTGAGGTTACTGTGAGCCGAGATTACACCACTGCACTTCAGCCTGGGTGACAGAGGGAGACCCTGTCTCTAAAAAAAAAATATATGCAAGTGAGAGCTTTTCTTCCAGTGCTCATGCTCAGACTGAAGAAAGTTATTGGGCCGGCCCAGTGGCTCACACCCGTAATCCCAGCACTTTGGGAGGCCTAGGTGGGCGGATCCCTTGAGCTCAGGCGTTCCAGACTAGCTTGGGCAACATGGTGAAATTCGGTCTCTACAAAAATACAAAAAATTATCTGGGCGTCGTGGTGGGCGCCTGTAGTCCCAGCTACTCAGGAGGCTGAGGCAGGAGAGTGGTGTGAACCCGGGAGGCGGAGCTTGCAGTGAGCGGAGATCGCTCCACTGCACTCCAGCCTGGGCCACAGAGCGAGACTCCATCACACACACACACAAAAAATTAGCTGGGCATGGTGGCACGGGCTTGTAGTCCCCTCTGCTTGCGGGGCTGAGGCGGGAGGATCGCTTGAGCCCAGGAGGTGGAGGCTGCAGTGAGCGGTGATCTCGCCACTGCACTCCAGCCTGGTCGACAGAGTGAGACACTGTGTCAAAAAAAGAAAAAAGAGAAAGTAACTGATCTGTGTTTTTGTCTGATTTCCTACAGGATGCCGAAGGACCTGTTCAAAGTATTTTCTGTAACTCCAACTGTAACTTGGTTCTAGGAGGAGAGAATCCATGTTTGGTCAACAGAACTTTTCGCCGCCACTTAAGTTTACTGCTTCAATATCTTTTCCTTACTAATTGATTGTTAATTAAGTAGTGTCCAAGTGAGTTAGCCTTTTTAGGGTTGATTAATTAAAAGAGCAGCAAGAATGGCATTTTAACTCTTCTGGTTTTTGGGGTTTTTTTTTCAGTTACTATGATAACTCTTTTCAAGTCCACAAATGATTTGTTCTTAGCTGTAAAGAAGAGGTCAGAAATGTAAGTGGGGAGAGAACAAAGATAGGAATATGTGTAAGATTTCTACCTAAATGTTGGCAGGGCACGGTAGCTTATGTCTGTAATCCCAGCACTTTGGGAGACCTAGGTGGTCGATCGCCTGGAGTCAGAAGTTCGAGACCAGCCTGGCAAACATGGCAAAACCCCATCTCTACTAAAAATACAAAAATTAGATGGGCGTGGTGGTGGGCGCCTTTAGTCCCAGCTACTTGGGAGGCTGAGGCAGGAGAATCGCTTGAACCTGTGAGGCCAATGTTGCGGTGAGCCAAGATCATGCCACTGCGCTACAGCCTGGGCAACAAAGCAAGACTCCATCTAAAAAAAAGACTTCTACCTAAATGTCACAGACTACTCTGAAGGTTAATATTTGGTATTGTGATGTATATTGCACAGTGTGTCAACCTCAAATAATCAAAAGGGTCAGAATCTAAAGGGAGTTTATTCATGCACAGAGTTTAAGGAGAGCCACCTGGGAAGCGCAGGTACCCAAGGGTGGAAGACAGTGTTCCAAGGCTTAGAAGTTTGGGATCACTTGCATAGACAAAGTTTAGGGAAGTTTAGCAGAATTTCAGCATCTCTCCGTTTAAGGCTTAATACGTAGTTAAAACAATCTGATTGGTTCAGGTGGTCTTTCTTTGACTCTGTCACCCAGGCTGAGTGCAGTGGTGCAATCGCAACTCATTACAGCCTCAGCCTCCTGGCTCAAGTGATCCTCCCACCTCAGCATCCCTAGTAGCTGGGACTACAGGCGTGCACCAACACACCTGACTAATTTTTGTATTTTTTGTAGAGACAGGGTTTCACCACATTGCCCAGGCCAGTCTCAAATTCCTGGGCTTAAGCAGTCCACTCACCTCAGCCTCCCAAAGTACCGGGATTACAGGCATGAGTGACGGCGCCCAGACTAGGTGGTCTTTTTTCCGGGAAAGGTGTATTTTACCTTCTACACTGAAGATGTAAGTCATGGGGTCTTTTGTGCCATCTGGTGTGAGGTACAGAACAATAAAGGAGGCAGTTAATGTGTAATAAAGATGAGTGATTGGAAGGAGAGTAGGACTAGTCTCTGGTCTCTCATAGTCATTTACCGAATGAAAATAATAAGGAAGGAATAAATTATAATTTAAGAAGCAGAAGTGGCCGGGCGCGGTGGCTCACACCTGTAATCCCAGCACTTTGGGAGGCTGAGGCAGGTGGATCATGAGGTCAGGAGATCGAGACCAGCCTGGCTAACACAGTGAAACCCCGTCTCTACTAAAAACACAAAAAATTTGCTGGGCTTGGTGGCGGGCACCTGTAGTCCCAGCTACTTGGGAGGCTGAGGCAGGAGAATGGCGTGAACCCGGGAGGTGGAGCTTGCAGTGAGCTGAGATCCTGCCACTGCACTCTGACCCGGGCGACAGAGCGAGACTCCGTCTCAAAAAAAAAACAGAAGCAGAAGTTGCAAACATGCTATGTGACTCGGTCAGGGTGTA
The DNA here is from genome assembly GCF_000001405.40 of Homo sapiens. Taxonomy (NCBI): domain Eukaryota; kingdom Metazoa; phylum Chordata; class Mammalia; order Primates; family Hominidae; genus Homo; species Homo sapiens. The sequence goes on from NC_000007.14 coordinate 66,497,062, forward strand.
ACTTCCCTCCTGGCATGATAAATTTATAGAGGGTCCTGAAACTTTTTTTTATTTTATAGTTGCTAGGTTCTCTGCACTGTCAATCCCATAACAATTCTTCGAGGTAGATACTGCTATCCACTTTTTGTTTGTTTGTTTTTGAGACAGAGTCTTGTTCTGTCATCCAGGCTGGAGTGCAGTGGCATGATCTCGGCTCACTGCAACCTCTGCCTCCTGGGTTCAAGCAATTCTCCAACCTCAGCCTCCCCAGTAGCTGGGATTACAGGTGCCCACTACCACACCCAGCTAATTTTTGTGTTTTTAATAGAGACCACGTTTCACCTTGTTTACCAGGCTGGTCTCGAACTCCTGGCCTCAGATGATTCACCCGCCTTGGCCTCCCAAAGTGCTGGGATTACAAGCATGAGCCACCACGCCCTGCCCACATTTTAGAAAATGAATTATAAGGCACAGAGAGTTCAAGTACCTTTCCAAAGATGACACAGCTAATTAGACAGCAGACTAGGTGACCTGACCCCAGGACTTTTGCCCTTGACCTCTGCACTACCTTGTTGAGCAGAGCAGTAAATATTTCATACATAGCTTTATCCAGAATTTTCCTGTTGGTTGTGGTAAACCATGTTTTGTTGTTTTGAGACAGGCTCTTCTTCTGTTGCCCAGGCTGCTGGTGTGCAGCGACACAAACACTGCTCACTGCAGCCTTAACCTCCTGGGCTCAGGCTATCCATTTCAGCTTCCGGAAGTGCTGGGATTACAGGAATGTGCCATCATGCCTGGCCTCACACTACATTTTAATGCTTTTTTTGAAAATGAAAACTTTTGGCCAGGCACAGTGACTCTCACCTGTAATCCCAGCACTTTGGGAGGCTGAGGCGGGCGGATCACGAGGTCAGGAGATTGAGACCATCCTGGCTAACATGGTGAAACCCCATCTCTACTAAAAAATACAAAAAATTGGCCAGGCATGGTGGCGGGTGCCTGTAGTCCCAGCTACTTGGGAGGCTGAGGCAGGAGAATGGTGTGAACCCGGGAGGTGGAGCTTGCAGTGAGCCAAGATCATGCCACTGCACTCCAGCCTGGGCAACAGAGTGAGACTCCATCTCAAAAAAAAGAAAATGGAAACTTTTACCAGTGATTCCCTTCCTTCAAACTAATGATAAGGAAATGATGCTGTTCTGTTTTGTTTTCTTTTTGCATGTTTTTTTTTTCTTTTTTGAGAGAGGTTCTTGCTCTGTTGCCCAGGCTGGAGTGAGGTGGCGCAATCATGGCTCACTGCAGCCTCGACCTCCCAGACTCAAGCAATCCTTCCCCCAGCCTCCTAAGTAGCTGAGACTACAGGTTGTGCTACCACAGTTGGCTAATTTTTGTATTTTTTGTAGAGACAGGGTTTCACCATGTTGCCCAGGGTGGTCTCAAACTCCTGGGCTCAGCTATCCTCCACCCTTGGCCTCCCAAAGTGCTGGGATTACAGGCGTGAGCCACTGTACTTGGCTGATGCTGTTCTTTTCAAACGCATATTTACTTTTTTTTTTTTCTTTTTTTTTTTTTTTTTTTTTGAGATGGAGTCTCACTCTGTCTCCCCGGCTGGAGTGCAGTGGTGCAATCTTGACTCACTGCAGCCTGGTCTTGAACTCCTGACCTCAGATGATCCACGTGCCTTGGCATCCCAAAGTGCTGGGATTACAGGTGTGATCCACCACACGTGACGATTTTGCTCATTTTAGATACTAGAACTTGTTAATTAAAAAAAAAAATTTTTTTTTTTGAGCTGGAGTGCAGTGGTGTGATCTCGGCTCACTGCCACCTCCGCCTCCTGGGTTCAAGCGATTCTCCTGCCTCAGCCTCTCGAGTAGCTGGGACTACAGGCACATGCCACCATGCCCAGCTAATTTTTGTATTTTTAGTAGACAGGGTTTCACCATGTTGGCCAGGATGGTCTTGATCTCTTGACCTCGTGATCCGCCTGCCTCGGCCTCCCAAAATGCATGAGCCACTGCACCCGGCCAAAAAAAATGTTTTTTGAGGCAAAATCTTACTCTGTCATGCAGGCTGGAGTACAGTGGCACAGTCACAGCTCACTGCAGCCTCGAATTCCTTGACTCAGGTGATTCTCCCACCATAGTCTCCAAGTATCTGGGACTACAGGTGCACGCCGCCACCACACCCAGCTAATTTTTGTTTGTTTATTTTGTTTTTTGAGATAGAGTCTCACTCTGTTGCCCAGGCTGGAGTGTAGTGGCGCGATCTCGGCTCACTGCAAGCTCTGCCTCCTGGGTTCATGCCATTCTCCTGCCTCCACCTCCTGAGTAGCTGGGACTACAGGCGCCTGCCACCACGTCTGGCTAAATTTTTTGTATTTTTAATAGAGACGAGGTTTCACCATCTATTAAAGCCAAAATGGTCTTGATCTCCTGACCTCGTGATCCGCCGGCCTCAGCCTCCCGAAGTACTGGGATTACAGGCATGAGCCACCGCACCCGGCCCACACCCAGCTAATTTTTTTTTGTATTTTGTAGAGAAAGTGTTTTGCCATATTGCCCAGGCTGGTCTCAAACTCATGGGCTCAAGCGATCTTCCAGCCTCAGCCTCCTAAAGTGCTAGGATTACAGGCATGAGCCACTGCTCCCAACCTTTTTAATTCAATTTAAATTATAAATATGATCGCTATAGAAAATACGTGTATTATTTATCTGCTGCTATGTAACAAATTACTCCAGACCTAGTGGCTGAAAATAAATACTTAGGACCAGGCACAGTGGCTCATGCCTGTAATCCCAACACTTTGAGAGGCCGAGGTGGGAAGATCACTTGCGTCCAGCAGTTTAAGATCAACGTGGGCAACATAGTGAGACTCCATCTCTACAGAAAATGCAAACATTAGCCAGGTGTGATGGTGCACACCTGTGGTCCCAGCTACTTAGGAGGCTGATGTGGGAGAATCACTTGAGCCAGGGAGGGAGAGGTTACAGTGAGCCAAGATCACACCACCACACTCCAGCCTGGGTGACAGAGTGAGACTCTGTCTCAAAAATAAATAAATAAATAAATAAATAAAATATTTACTTAGGAACTCCATTTCTGTGAGTCAGGAATTCAGGAGTGGCATAGCTGGGTCATCTGGGCTCAGGGTGTCTCGTGACATTGCAGTCAAGCTGTCCTCTGAGACTGCAGTCACCTAAAGCCTGTTTCCAAGATGGCTCACTCATGTGACTGCTGACCGGAGGCCTCAGTTCCTGTCACATGAGCCTCCCTACAGGCTGCTTAGGTGTCATGGTGTGACAGCTGGCTTTCCCAAGTGAGTAATCAAAGAGTGAGCAAGGAGGAAGCCATAGTACCTTTTATGATGTAGCTTGCAAAGTTGCAAGCCATCACTTTTGCTTTTTCCTATCTGTCAGAAGGGAATCACGTAACCCAGCCCACACTAAAAGAGATAGGAACTGGGCTCCGCCTTTTGAAGAGAGTATCAGAGAATTTGGGGACATATTTTAAATGACCATACTATGTTTAATTATTGCAAGTACAGTCACTGTAGAAAAATTGGAAAATAGGGACAAGCAGAAAAAACAGTCACTTGTAATTCCATGAATCAATGGATAACATTACTAGTTGGATGTATATAATTCCAATATTCAAAATATATATTTTCTCAAAATATAAATACACTATATGTACTGTGGTGTAATCTGCTCTTTCACTTAATGTATGTATTATAAAAAATACCTTTCATGTCAAATATTCTTTCCTTTTTTTTTTTTTATTGAGACGGAACTTCATTCTTGTCACCCAGGCTAGAGTGCAATGGTGCGATCTCTGCTCACTGCAACCTCTGCCTCATGGGTTGAAGTGATTCTCCTGCCTCAGCCTCCCTAGTAGCTGGGATTACAAGCATGAGCCACCAAGCCGAGCTAATTTTTTTTTTTTTTTTTTTTTTGAGACGGAGTCTCACTCTGTCAGCCAGGCTGGAGTGCAGTGGCGCAATCTCGGCTCATGGCAAGCTCCGCCTCCTGGGTTCACCCCATTCTCCTGCCTCAGCCTCCCGAGTAGCTGGGACTACAGGCACCTGCCACCACGCCCAGCTAATTTTTTCTATTTTTTAGTAGAGACAGGATTTCACCGCGTTAGCCAGTATGGTCTTGATCTCCTGACCTTGTGATCCACCTGCCTCGGCCTCCCAAAGTGCTGGGATTACAGGCGTGAGCCACCATGCCCAGCCAAGCTAATTTTTTTGTATTTTTAGTAGAGACAGGGTTTCACCATGTTGACTAGGCTAGTCTCAGACTCTTGACCTCAAGTGATCACCCACCTCGGCCTCCCAAAGTGCTGGGATTACAGGCATGAGCCACCGTACTTAGCCCCTCATAACATTTTTTAATGGTTGCATACATTTCATCATATGTATGTATCATAACTTATTTAATGAATTCTATTATAGGACACTTAGGTTGTTTACAGGTTTTCCCTGTTTTATACATTTTTTTAAATGAACATCCCTACAGCACATTTATTTGTACAATCATGACTGTTTCTTAAATCCCTAGAAGTGAAATTTTTGGAACACAGTTTGCATAATTTTAAAACTTCAAATGCCTGTTACCTAATTTGAGCAGAATTTCTACTGCAATAATCAAGAGTCCATTTGGCCAAATTTCTTATCTATGACAACACCTGCAAAAGTTCAAATACTGATAACTATAAGTGAATTTGTTGAGAGTGACTGAAATCACTATGGAATGAGAAATTGCTATAAAAATTTTACTAAAGAGTGAACTGGCTGGGCGCAGTGGCTCACGCCTGTAATCCTAGCACTTTGGGAGGCGAGGTGAGCGGATTGCCTGGGCTCAGAAGTTTGAGACCGCCCTGGACAACATGGTAAAATCTCATAAGTACTAAAAATACAAAATTAGCCAGGCGTGGTGGTGGGCACCTTTAATCCCACCTACTCGGGAGGCTGAGGCAGGAGAATCACTTGAGCCCAGGAAGCAGAGGTTGCAGTGAGCCGAGATCACACCACTACATTCCAGCCTGGGCGACAGAGTGGGACTCTGCCTCAAAAAAATAAAATAGGGAGATCTGAGTGTGTTACCAACACCACCACACACTACCAAACAGTTTTCCAAAGTGGGTACACCAATGTAAACTCCCATTAGAGCTGTATGAATTTCTGTTACACCACATCCTCCTAATCTTTGGCATTGTTAGTGCTTTCAGCTTTAGGATTTTTGGTGACTCTGTAGAGGGATCTATTAGTGGGTATTTTGTTTTTCGTTTTTGTTTTTGGGGTTTGGGGGTCTTTTTTTTTAACAAAATATGTTCCAATTTAAAACAGTTCATTTCAGGAGAAAGATATGAAAAGTCAACTTCCATCGGTGTCTGGATTAAGGGTCAAGGCCAGTGGCCATGGGAATTGACAATGAGTCACTCCTCAGCCCCTCCCATCCCCCAACATGCACGACACATGCATTTCAAATGGTAAAAGGTGTAAAAACAGCATGGTATAGAATATTCTTTCTTAAATAAGGTTGAAATTGTCTGAAATCAGGACAGTGTAATATATAACTATCACTGGATCCTGTCTGCCAGGCCAGCCGCAGGATCTGCTGCCACCACTGGGGGACATTGGCACAGGAATGCTCTTCTATGGGAGCCGGGGGGACCCAGGGTGTGGCTCTTGCGATGGCCAGGGGCTGCTGCTGCCTGGGCATGACATGGTCAGAGAAGGTGGTCGGCGGTAACGAGAAAGCATTGGCAGGTGAGATTCACCAAGGTAAAAACACACACCCCACACGTGGCCCCACACATGATAAGGATGGGGGTCAGCTGCCCCTTCCCTGACATGAGGGTGTCACTGGCACGAGAACCACTGCCTGGGACTCTACTGGGACAGGCACCCCTGCCCCGGGCCTGCAACACCCACCTCTGCTTTTTTGAGGGGTCAAGGGATCAGGCAGTCAGACCCAGAGGACCCAGGCCAAGATGGTTTGGTGGCCTCAGCCTGGCTCTGGGATGCTTGGCACGGCCCCCTCCCCTGGAAGGGCTAATACTTAGCCCGGCAGCGCCCCAGCTTCCATGCTAGGCGATTCCATCCTCCAGCCGGGTTCGGGTCCCCTTGTGCGATCTGGGCCCTCAGAGATGCCACAAGCCCAGGCCCCCTAGAGGGGTCCGCTGCCAGCAATGGATGCACCAGCCCCGCCAGGGGTGGCACCATGTGCTCCCCCAGGGCACCTCCGGGCCCCAGCACTCACCATGGGGGGCTTCTGGTACCGACCGTCTTAAGTAGACACTTGGCACAAAAAAAGGACGCTTCCAGGAGAGACAAAAGAGGAAAAGTGGCATGGGGAAGCGAGGGGAGGGGGGGCACTGCCCCGTTTCCCAGTGGGGCTGATCACCAGAAATGTACCTGCCCTGACCAGCATGCGTCTCCCCTGCCCCCTCCACGGGGGTCCCCCTCTTCTCCCCCCAGAAGCCAGCAGACAGCCCCTGTGCACGAGGAGTCCGGGGCAGGCCTGACAGTGGCAGCTGGGAACTGCTGATCCGGGTGGTCTTATTTGGGGGCTATTTCTTTTGTAATCTGTCAAGGCCAGAAGCAGCCGTGCGGGGTCCCGGAATGGCAGCAGGCGAGGGCAGCACGGGTGATCCATCCCCGGGACAGCTATGAGAAGCCCAGACCCACAGAGCGCCACAGTGTTCAGTCAACAGCAGACGAAAAAGCCACCACCCCAAAAAGAGTCCCCTCGTTCCCCACCTTCCGAGTCTTTCGGGGAGAACCAGTCTGGGTACCTCAGTGCCTAAAGGGGTCCCGGGAGGCAGTCCCTGGGGCTGTGGCTCAGTGTGCAGCCGTGGCCTGGCGGGCTCCCCATCAGACCATGGCCATGGCCAGCCAGGCCTGGAAGCTGCCAGGGCCAGTGCCTGCCACCACCTTCCATGCGCCCCTGGCCCAAGTGCAAGTGCTGGCTTCCCGCTCCTCGGGGGCGGCACAAGTGCATGGGACAAGGCCATGCACGGAGCTGCCTGCCATGTCCCTCTCTCTACCTCTCAGGTACACACCTGAGAATATTCTGTAAAAGTCCCCACCCCACCCTCACTGTTTCCAAATTGGGGACAACACAAAGCAGAACAAAACGAAAAGAAATGCCCCCATCCAAGTGGCCTTTCTCTCGGTGTTACTGGGGGACCGTCCCTCCAGCAGCTAAGCCCACGTGAGCTCCAGTGGGGTACACTCCAGCCGGGACAGGGTGGCTGTGCAGCCCTCTGGAGCCCCCCGGCAGCCCCAAGCTGCCAGTGTTGCCCCTGGAGGCACAGCCCAGAGGAGCCTCGAGCCCCTGTAACTCCAGCCCAGGGGCCCTTCCCAGCCTCTGCAGAGGGACGGGGTACCCGGCCATAAGACAGGACCCTGGGCATTTCTTGAACCTGTGCAGTGAGGCGTTCTTTTTACTTAAAAAAAAAAAAGTTTAGGCACTTCCCAGGGTGGGCGACTGAGGGAGTGCCCCACCCCCTCTTCAGGAGTCCAGTGGGCAAAACACAGCATTGAGTTGTGAAGAGGAGAGGCGCACTGGGCGTCAATAACTTTAAAAAGGGGGGAAAATATCAGTTCCCGAGTCTCCATGCGTTTCGTGTTGAAGAAGAAAAGAAGCGGGGAAGAGAAAGAAAAAGTATGTGGTGTTGGAAGGACAGTCACGGGAGGCTGCGGGGTGGGGACCCCCATGCTGGCTGGCAAGGGGCTCTGTGAGGCCCAGAGTCGCTGGGGACACGGGGCGCACGTGTGTTTTAGGTTTCGTTGGGTTTTTTCTTTTTCCTTTTTTTCTTTTTTTTTTTTTTTAGAAAAAAGCGAACCGTAAGTCAAGGCCAGAAAAAGACTCCCTTTGACGTTGACAAAAGGTGAGAAGGTGCGCGAAGTGTGCAGACAGATATACATCCCCTGATAACTGTGAAATAAAAACCATTTGTTAAAAATATTAAAAAAAAAAAAAAATCCTCCGCGGGCAGAGGCCCCGCCCGGGCTCAGCAGCGCTGCCTGGCCGGCAGCCGCGGGTTGGGTGTGAAGGAAGGTTTGTCCCGGCCCTTGTCTCCGTCCCGTCTCCCTGGGCCTGGGCGCTTTCAGACCAGGTTGTACTCCTTGAGGCTGAGCTGCAGGATGGTGTCCTTCACGGCCGCGAACACGAAGCGGATGTTCTTCGTGTCGGTGGCGTACGTGAAGTGGGAGTCGATGATCTTGTCGCTGTCGGGGTTCATGTCCACTAACATCTTCAGGATGAACTCCCGCGCCGCCTGGGCGTCCTGCTGGGGCCCTTCGAACTCGGGGAAGTAGTCCACCATGTGTGAGTACAGGATATTGTCCTCCAGCAGGTCCTTCTTGTTGAGGAAGGTGATGACGGGGGAGTTCTGGAACCAGGGGTAGTCGATGATGGTCCGGAACAGGGCTTTGCTCTCCTCCATCCGGTTCTCGTTGTCCGACTCCACCAGGACTTGGTCGTATTCACTGAGGGCGACGAGAAACGGGATGGACGTCAGGTTCTCAAAGCAGTGGATCCACTTCCTCTGCGCCGACCGCTGTCCCCCAACATCCGCCATCCTGAAGATGATGTTCTCCAGGTCGAAAGACGCCGGTGGTGGGCACGCGGACCCGCAGCACGTCCTGCTGGGTGGGCAGGTAGCTCGAGGTGGCGATGCAGTCTACGTCGGTCACGCAGTACTTGGCCGAGTCCGAGAGCTGGTACTCGCGCCTGCGGTCGTAGCACTCGTGGATGCCGGGGTCGTCCCACAGGGTCTTGATGGCGCTGACGTACCGATGCTCAAAGGTGGTCACCTTCTCCACGTCCACCTCTCGGATCTGGAGCGCATTGGCCTTGTTCTGCTCCAACTTGTAGAGGATCTTCAGCGTCTCCATGGCCCGGATCATGGCCTGCATGGCGGTGAAAATGTTCTGGTAGACGAGCTTGGTGAAGCCCCTTTTGTCCTCCTCCTAGTACCCGGCGCCATGGATGATGCGCATCTGCTTGATGAAGGTGCTCTTCCCGCTCTCGCCCGTGAGGAGCAGCAGCAGCTTGAGCTGGCGCCGGGCGTCGCGCTTGTCCCCCGCAGCTGCTTCTGGATCTCGGCGTTGATCCGCTTGGACTCCTTCACCTTATCGCTCAGGCAACACGCCATCATGGACTCCAGAGTCATCGTCCCGGCCACGGCCGCCACCCACCGGCCCCCGGCCCGACTTTGGCCGAAGCCGCCTCGGTCGCCGCCCGCCTCGGCCCTCAGGCTTCAGCCCCGGGCCCTTGGCCCCCGGCCGGCCCGCCCCGCCCCGCCTCGGCGGATGCATGAGAGCTCGAGGTGGCCGCCGCAGCCACCGCCAACCGCAGCCACTGCAGCCGAGCGACAGCACCCGAGTTGGGTTTTTTTGTTGTTTTTTGCTTTTTTTGAGACGGAGTCTCAAAAAAAGGCTGGAGTGCAGTGGCGCGATCTCGGCTTACTGCAATCTCTGCCTCCTGGGTTCCAGCGATTCTCCTGCCTCAGCCTCCCAAGTAACTGGGATTACAGCCGCCTGCCACCACACCTGGCTAATTTTTTTGTATGTTTAGGAGAGACAGCGTTTCACCTTGTTAGCCAGGATGGTCTCGATCTCCTGACCTCGTGATCCGCCCGCCTCGGCCTCCCAAAGTGCTGGGGTTACAGGCGTGAGCCACTGCACCTGGCCTAATTTTAGGATTTTTATTAGAAACTGGGTTTCACCGTGTTGGCAAGGCTGGTCTCGAAGTCCTGACCTCAAGTGATCTGCCCGCCTCAGCCTCCCAAAAAGCTGTGATTACAGGCATGAGTCACCATGCCTGCCAAAAGTTGCATTTCCCCAGCCCCCGGAGAGGAGTCTCACTCTGTCCTCCAGGCTGGAGTGCAGTGGTGTGATCTCGACACACTGCAACCTCTCCCTCCCGGGTTCAAGCAATTCTCCTACCTCAGTCTCTCGAGTAGCTGGGATTACAGGCGCATGCCACCATGCCAGGCTAATTTTTTTGTATTTTTAGTAGACAGGGGGTTTCGCCATGTTGGCCAGGCTTGTCTTGAACTCCTGACCTCAGGTGATCCGCCCACCACAGCCTCCCAAAGTGCTGGGATTACAGGCATGAGCCACCACACCTGGCCCCTTTTTCTGTTTTTTTAAGAGAGGGAGTCTCACTATGTTGCCCAGGCTGGATTCAAACTCTCAGGCTCAAGCAATCCTCCTGTATCAGCCCCCTCAGGAGCTGCGATGACATGCACATGCCACTGTGCTTGGCAACTTTTCATATTTTTCCATTTCCACTGAATTGTAAATAAACTGAAAGCAAGGTCCAGAACCTGTGTGTTCTTGCAGGCTCACCAGCACTATAGATATGTAGCCTGAGCTGGACATATATTTAGGGCATAGAACTTTATTTTCATTTTATTTTTTGTAGAGATGGGATCTCACTATGTTGCCCAGGCTGGTCTCAAACTCCTGGGCTTCCAGCCATCCTCCTGCCTTAGCCTCCCAAAGTGCTGGGATTACAGGTGTGAGCCACTGTGCCTGGCCTTAGGGCACAGAATTAATGTGGTGTGAAAGGAAGTGCATCTAGCCCAGTCCCCCACTGATGGATTCATCTACATTCACACAGACAAGGTAGGGAGTTCAGGATGAGTTGCTATTATTTTCAAAGTGATGACATTTCCACTTGAAATCATGGTCCTGTGCATTCATTCACCCCTCTAACTTTTCAAATCAGGAGACAGTGACTAGAGGCCCTGCCCACGGCCCCCACAGCAAATGTCATGAGAATTTCAGGTCCATCCTGACAACCATCCCCTCTCAGTGCCCGGGTGAGTTTCCCTGGCATTTAAGAATGCTTACCAGTCTTCTGGCTTCCACCCCAAATCCAAGAAGTAGATTTCTTTCAGCTTTATTGACTTTTCATTAAGGGAGCAAGCAATTTTCTCTGGCAGTGAAAGCATTCTGCAGATGTGCAGTTCTACAGAGGAAATGTAACCAGACACGTACCCCGCAGAGAACTCACATTTTATTTATTTATTTATTTATTTATTTATTTATTTATTTTGAGATGGAGTCTGGCTCTGTCACCCAGGCTGGAGTGCAGTGGTGCAATCCCGGCTCACTGCAACCTCCACCTCTCAGGTTTCAGCGATTCTTCTACCTCAGCCTCCCGAGTAGCTGGGACTACAGGCGCATCCCACCACGCCTGGCTAATGTTTTTTTTTTGTATTTTTAGTAGAGATGGGGTTTCACCGTGTTAGCCAGGATAGTCTCGATCTCCTGACCTTGTGATCCACCTGCCTCAGCCTCCCAGAGTTCTAGGATTACAGGCATGGGCCACTGCATCCGGCCCAACTCATTATTATATTAAAGAGGGACAAGTCTCAGAACCTGCCAAGAGGGGGTGATTCTACCCCTATAGCAAATTTAGAAAATATTAAAAAGGAAAATTAAAAGCACCTGTAACCTTCAAATCCAATAGTAACTACTGTTAAGATTTTGCTGTCTTTTTTCCCATTTTCTCTTTTCTTTCCTTCCTTCCTCCCTCCCTCCCTACTTTCCTATTTCTTTCCTTTTCTCTCCTTCCTACCTTCTCTGCTTCCTTTCATTTTTCTTTTTCCTTTCCTTTTTCCTTCCTTTCTTCTTTTTCTTTCTTCCCTCCCTCCCTCTCTGCCTCCCTCCCTTCCTTCCTCCCTCTTCCCTATGTTTCTTCCTTCCTTCCTCCTTTCTTTTCTTTCTTTTTTCTTTCTTTCTCTCTTTTCTTTCTTTCTTTCTCTTCCTTCCTTTTCCTCCTTTTCATTGTTCCTTTCTTTCTTTCCCCCATCCTTCCTTCCCAATTGCCTGCCTTCTGTTTGCTTTGCATCAGATTTTAAAACACATTGGGAACGATGCTTAACATTATGCTAGGACAGTTTTCTACATAGTTATACTTCAAAAAAATTTTTTAAAATAAATAACACAAATGGGTGTACCATAATTTAAACATTCACCTGTACAGCTTAAATGCTGAAATTTTTTTATTCTTATAGTCAATATTTGTATGTGCATTTTTATATGTTGATTATTATCTTAGGATAGATGTCTAGAAGTGGAGTTAGTGTGCCAAAAAGTAAATTTTTTTTCTTTTTTCTTTCTTTTTTTTTTTGAGGCAGAGTCACTCTGTCACTCAGACTGGAGTGCAGTGGTGTGACCAAAGCTCACTGTAGCTTCAATCTTCTGGGCTGTGCAAGCAATCCTCCAACCTCAGCCTCCTGAGTAGCTGAAACTACAGGTGTGTACCACCATGCCCAAATAATATTTTTTTAAACTTTCTGTAGAGATGAGGTCTCACTATATTGCCCAGGCTGGTCTTGAACTCCTGAGCTCAAGTGGTCCTCCTGCCTCAGCCTCCCAAAGTGCTGGGATTACAGGCATGAGCCACCACTGCTCCCAGCCTAAAAAGATTTTTAAGGCTTGTGACACATTGTACTGAATTGCTCCCTGGAAATGTTACAATTTTTGCTTATCAGGGAGGTACATTTTTCTGTACACTCATAGGCATAAAATACAATCCTAAATTTTTATCTTGGCCCCATGTGGTGGCTCACACCTATAATCCCAGCATTTTGGGAGACCAAGGTGGGAGGATTGTTTGAGCTCAGGAGTTTGAGACCAGCCCGGGCAACGCAAAACAGGGAGACCTCATTTCAAAAAAAAAAAAAAAAAAAAACAAAACCCAAAACTAAATTTTTCATTTTTGACAACTTCACAAATCTCAAATGACAGTTATTACTAATGAAGATGAATATTTGTCATCCCTTGTTGGCCCTTTGTATGTCTAAATGGTGAATTGTTCGTTCATGTCCTTGGTGCATTATTTAATGTTTTAAATGTTTTTTCTTTTTCTTTTTCTTTTTTTTTTTTTTTTGAGATGGAGTCTCGCTTTGTCACCTAGGCTGGAGTGCAATGGGGAGATCTCAGCTCACTGCAAGCTCTGCCTCCCGGGTTCACACCATTCTCCTGCCTCAGCCTCCCGAGTAGCTGGGACTACAGGCACCCGCCACCATGCCCGGCTAATTTTTTGTATTTTTAGTAGAGATGGGGTTTCACCATGTTAGCCAGGATGGTCTCAATCTCCTGACCTCATGATCCGCCCACCTTGGCCTCCCAAAGTGCTGGGATTACAGGCGTGAGCCAACGCTCCCAGCCTAAATTTTTTTTTTTTAATTTATTTGAAGAAGTTCTTTATATGTGAAGCTCATTAACCTTTTATCTGCCACATGGAGTTTGTCACTTGTCTTCTTGTTTTTGATTTTAAAAAACTCTTCATTCCTAGATGGGCATTACCCTTATTAAACAACGAATAGAATATGTGATATCCAATGATACATTTAAAACAAGACAACCAATATCTTGGTGTACATAAAGACAAACTTCAGAAGACAAACATTAAATGTTTTAACATACATTTGAATAAACTTTACTTACAAATTGTTTAATTGGAAAAGGAATTTGTGTTCAAAAAATGTTTTCACTGATGGAAAAATAAATCTAACAAAACCAGTATGTGAAAACATTGATTTACAAAGCCAAAATATATCATATCATAGTTTCATTTGCTGTATACCTTTAATGAGGTCCCCTCTTTTTTTTTTTTTTTTAACAGAGACGGAGGTCTCACTATGTTGTCCAGGATGGTTGTGAACTCCTGGCCTCAAGTGATCCTCCTGCCTCGGCCTCCCAAAGGGTTGGGATAACAGGGCTGAGCCACTGCGCCTGGCTGAGGTTCTCATTAAAAGAAAATAGGCCAGGTGCGGTGGCTCACACCTGTAATCCCAGCACTTTGGGAGGCCAAGGCGGGTGGATTACGAGGTCAAGAGATTGAGACCATCTTGGCCAGCATGGTGAAACCCCATCTCTACTAAAAATACAAAAAATAGCCGGGCATGGTGGCGGGTGTCTGTAGTCTCAGCTACTCAGGAGGCTGAGGCAGGAGAATGGCATGAACTTGGGAGGCAGAGCTTGCAGTGAGCTGAGATCATGCCTCTGCACTCCAGCCTGGATGACAGAATGAGACTTCGTCTAAAAAAAAAAATAAAAAAGGAAAAGAAAATAAAGGCCAGGAGCGGTGGCTTACACTTGTAATCCCAGCCCTTTGGGAGTCTGAGGCAGGTGGATCACCTGAGTTCAGGAGTTTGAGACCAGCCTGACCAACATGGTGAAACCCTGTCTCTACTAAAAATACAAAAATTAGCCAGGCGTGGTGGCTCACGTCTGTAATCCCAGCTACTCGGGAGGCTGAGGCAGGAGAATCGCTTGAACCTGGGAGGCAGAGGTTACAATGAGCCGAGATGGCGCCACTGCACTCCAGCTTGGGCGACAGTGTGAGACTCCATCTCGAACAAAAAAAAAAAAGAAAGAAAAAGACCCTTGCCTGTGGGGAGAGTGGGCTGGGTGGGCCCTGAGGGACTGTGACAGGAGTATGACAGGCAGAAGACACCCATGTCATTTGGAGTTTTGTCTTCAGACCCCTCGCTAACCTCTGAGGAAATGACAGACTCGATGCCTGGGCACCTGCCATCGGAGGATTCTCGTTATGGGATGGAGATGCTGACAGATAAGAAATGGACCTGGGATGGTGGTGCTTGGGACTCATCTCCCCAGGGAGCAAACGGAAAGCGGGGGGCCAGGCAGGCCTCAGGCTTTTCTTGATTTTGACCGCCTCTAGTATAGGAAACCCAATATATGCCTGACCCCAATCCAAGGCTGGGTTCCTTTTGGAAGCCTCAAGTAGGCTCTATTTATTTATTTAAAGACCTTGGCGCGATCTCGGCTCATTACAACCTCCACCTCCTGAGTTCAAGCAATTCTCCTGCCTCAGCCTCACCATGTTGGCCAGGCTGGTCTCAAACTCCTGACCTCTGGTGATCCACCTGCCTCGGCCTCCCAAAGTGCTGGGATTATAGACATGAGCCACTGTACCCGGCCATTTTTTTTTTTTGAGATAAGGTCTCCCTCTGTTGCCCAGGCTGGAGTGCAGTGGTGCGATCACAGCTCACTGCAGCCTCCAACTCTTGGGCTCTAGTGATCCTCCTGCCTCAGCCTCCTGAGAATCTACACTGACAGGCACACACTACAGGCACACATTACAGGCACGTGCCACCACGCCTGGCTAATTTTGTATTTTTAGTAGAGACAGGCTTTCGCCATGTTGGTCAGGCTGGTCTCGAACTCCTGACCTCAGGTAATCCACCTGCCTTGGCCTCCCAAAGTGCTGGGATTGCAGGCGTGAGCCACCACGCCCTACCATAGGCCCTATTTCTAACAAGGCCCAGCATGCTTCCCAGGAGCCACCTGTTGTGATTAATTTGTCCATTTATCCAACAACTATTTATTGAGCATCTATTGTGTACCAGGTCCTGTGTAAGGGGCTGGAGACAAAGCAGTGAACCAAGCAGAAGTCCCCACCTCCTGGGGTGCACATCCTCCTGTGAAGAGATAGATAAATAGTAATCAAATAAGTAAAATAGGCAGGCTAAGGTGGCTCATGCCTATAATCCCAACAGTTTGGGAAGCCAAGACAAGGGGATTACTTGAGGCCGGGAGTTCAAGATCAGCCTGGGCAACATAGAGAGACCCATCTCTTAAATTTTTTGAGATGGAGCCTCACTCTGTCGCCCAGGCTGGAGTGCAGTGGTGCGATCTCAGCTCACTGTAACCTCCGCCTCCTGGGTTCAAGCAGTTCTCCTGCCTCAACCTCCTGAGTAGCTGGGATTACAGGTGCCCACCACCACGCCTGGCTAATTTTTTTGCATTTTTAGTAGAGACGGGGTTTCACCATGATGGCCACGCAGGTCTCAAACTCCTGACCTCAAATGATCCTCCTACCTTGGCCTCCCAAAGAGCTGGGATTA
The DNA here is from genome assembly GCF_000001405.40 of Homo sapiens. NCBI lineage: Eukaryota > Metazoa > Chordata > Mammalia > Primates > Hominidae > Homo > Homo sapiens. Next base: position 66,512,944 of record NC_000007.14, read on the forward strand.
CAGGCGTGAGCCAATGCACCCTGCCTCAACAAATATTTATTGAGCACCTACTGTGTACTAGGTCCTGTGCAAGGGGCTGGGGAAAAAGCAGTGGACCAAACAGATGTCCCCACCTCCTGGGGTACACATCCTCGTGTGGAGAGATAAGCAGTAAGCAAATAAGTAATATAGGCAGGGCAAGGTGGCTCACGCCTGGCTCACCTCCCAGGAAGGCCCTCAAAAGGACAGGCAGCTTTGCCCTCTACACAGGCATGGGACACAGGGGTTGAGATTCCTGGCCCTGTGGCACCGGCTGGACTTACAGCAGCCATGTCTCTGCAGCCAAGGCCATTGGCATCTCGGAACCCATCAAGGTGCTGTACTCCAAGTTTCTGATGCACCCGGAGGAGCTGTTTGTGGTGGGGCTGCCCGAAGGCATCTCCCTCCGCAGACCCAACTGCTTCGGGATCGCCAAGCTCTGGAAGATTCTGGAGGCCAGCAACAGCATCCAGTTTGTCATCAAGAGGTAAGGCCTGACCAGGTCCACGGGAGACAGCACCAGGCCTGCTCAGCACCCAGGGGCAGGAGCAGCACCAAATTGCCATCAAGTGATTATTGTGCCTCAGCCACCCGAATAGCTGGGACCACGGGTGTGTGCCACCATGCCCAGCTAATTTTTTGATTGATTGATTGAATCGATTGATTTTATTTTTTTAGAGATAGGGTCTGGCCATATTGTCCAGACTGTTCTCAAACTCCTGGACTCAAGCCATCTCCTGCCTGGGCCTCCCAAAGTGATTACAGGTGTGAGCCACCGCGCCTGGCCACTATTTCTTTCTTTTTTTTTTTTTTCCTGTAGACAGAGTCTCACTCTGTCTCCCAGGCTGGAGTGCAGTGGTGCAATCATGGCTCACTGCAACCACAGCCTCCTGGGTTCAAGCGATTCTCCTGACTCAGCCTCTCGAGTAGCTGAGACTACAGGTGCCCGCCACCACGCCCGGCTAATTTTTGTATTTTTAGCAGAGATGGGTTTTCACCATGTTGGCCAGGCTGGTCTTGAACTACTGACCTCAAGTGATCTGGCCACCTCAGCCTCCCAAAGTGCTGAGATTGCAGGCATGAGCCACCGCACCAGACCTCCTTTCTTTTCTCCTTTTTTTTTTCTTTGACAGCAAGGTGTTAAATGGGGTTTGGCTGCAGTTGGCAGACATGAGGCTCCCCAGGGCTGCCAGACCCAAAGCCACCGAGCTGACCCCTCTTGCAGTCTCAGGAGAGCAGTGTTCAGTTGGCCCAGATGCAGAATGGGAACGTGCCATCAGCTCACGGGTTCTCCAGGCTGGCGTGTTGGTGTCCTGGGCCAGGGACTGGGGGCAATGCCCCATCATCCCAGGATGGGAAAGTCCAGCAGCGGCTTCTCCAGGATCTTTCTGTTTCTTTGAACATGTTGCGTTTTTGCCAGTGAGGTCCCGGGGCAGCACGCATGGATACACTCTGTGTGCCCAGCTGGGATAAAAAGTCCCTTTGGAGAAGGCAGTGGCAGTTATTGAGTACAAATGTGGTTGGGTGATTTCAGGAACAGTGGTTTATGCCTATAATCCCAGCACTTTGGGAAGCTGAGGTGGGAGGATTGCTTGAGCCCAGGAGTTCAAGACCAGCCTCGGCAACATAGCAAGACTGTGTCACTACAAATTTTTTTTTTAAGCTCTGGTGTGGCAGCACATGCCTGTAGTCTCAGCTACTCAGGGGGCTGAAACAGAAGGATCACTTGAGGCCAGGAGTTCAAGACTAGCATGGGCAACATAATGAGACCCCATCTCTACAAAACAAATTTAAATTAGCTGGGCATGGTGGTGCACACCTGTAATCTCAGCTACTCAGGAGGCTGAGGTGGGAGGATCACTTAAGCCCAGGAGGGGTTTGGAGGCTAGAGTGAGCTATGATTGCACCACTGCACTCCAGCCTGGGTAACAGAGCAAGACCCCTCCTCAAAAAAATAAAAAACAAAACAGGGAATGGGAAGATGATATTTCCATTTTGTGTTTGTTACTTCTGTGTTACTGTAATAGCATACATTTAGGCTTGGTTTATGGTTGGGCACGATGGCTCACGCCTGTAATCCCAGCACTTTGGGAGGCCAAGGCGGGCAGATCACTTGAGGTCAGGAGTTCGAGACCAGCCTGGCCAACATGGCGAAATCCCATCTCTACTAAAAATACACAAATTAGCCAGGCGTGGTGGCTCATGCCTGTAATCCCAGCTGTAATCTCCCCGTCATCAGGAGACTGAGGCACGAGAATTACTTGAACCCGGGAGGCGGAGGTTGCATTGAGCTGAGATCGCTCCACTACACTCTAGCCTGGGCGACAGAGGGAGACTCTGTCTCAAAAAAAAAAAAAAAAAAAATAGGCTTGGTTTGGTTGAAAGCAGCAAGAAAGAAGAAACTCTTAAGGGTTTGTTCCTCCAGGGGAATAGATGGTTCTCAAACTGGGAGACTCACAGCGTCATTTTTGCATACAGTGGTGAGGAGATCCGCTGGGACAGGGAGCTCTTCTGCAGGGCCTGCTCTATGCCAGGAGGGAGTCTGCTGCAGATAGCAAAAAGCTACACAACAGGGCTGGAGAGCAAGAGTTGTGATCCTGCAGTAGAATCAAAGGCTTCAGCAGGCCAGGATGAAATGCAGCCACATGCCCGGTGTGTCTGGGCATATTAAAAGGAAGACTGAGCCGGCATGGTGGCTCATGCCTGTAATCCCAGCACTTTGGTAGGCTGAGGTGGACAGATCACTTGAGATCAGGACTACTGAAAATACAAAAATTAAGGCAGGGCACGGTGGCTCATATATGTAATCCCAGCCCTTTGAAAGGCTGAGGCGGGCAGATCACCTGAGGTCGGGAGTTCAAGACCAGCCTGACCAATATGGAGAAACCCTGTCTCTACTAAAAAATACAAAATTAGCCAGGCATGGTGGTGGGTGGCTGTAATCCCAGCTACACGGGAGGCTGAGGCAGGAGAATTGCTTGAACCCAGGAGGCACAAGTTGCCGAGATCATGCCATTGCACTCCAGCCTGGGCAACAAGAGCAAAGCACCATCTCAAAAAAAAAAAAAAAAAAAAAAATGAGCCAGGCATGGTGGCATGCACCTGTAATCCCAGCTACTCAAGAGGCGAAGACAGGAGAATCGCTTGAATCCGAGAGGCAGAGGTTGCAGTGAGCCGAGATCACACCCCTGCATTTCAGCCTGGGGGACAGAGTAACACTCTCATCTCAAAAAAATAAATAAAATTAAAAGGGAAGATCACATTTCAGGTGGTTTAAGGATAAACTCGTGATAGACATATGGCCCATCAGATGTGTGAAAACATACAGAAATAAAGATTCACAAGAGATTATGTATAATTATAGTATAGTAATTGGCTCTACTGTATACATGTATAGTACTGTACTGATTGAAGGAACGCTTCATTCAACAAATTCCCAGCCTGAGCAATGTGGTGAAACCCCATCTCTGGGGGGAAAAAAAAAATAGCCAGGCTTGGTGGTGAGCACCTATAGTCCCAGCTACTCAGGAGGCTGAGGTGAGAGGATCACTTGAGTTCAGGAGGTCGAGGCTGCAGTGAGCCATGATCGCACCACTGTACTCCAATCTGGGTGACAGGGTAAGACCCTGTCTCAAAAAAAAAAAAAAAAAATGTAAATACATTCTGGCCGGGCATGATGGCTCATGCCTGTAATCCCAACACCTTGGGAAGCCCAGACAGGAGGATCGCTTGAGCCCAGGAGTTTGAGACGAGCCTGGGCACTGTATCGAGACCCCATCTCTACAAAAAATTTTAAAAATTCTCACACCTGTAATCCCAACACTTTGGGAGGACAAAACAGGAGGGTCGCTTGAGGCCAGGAGTTCGAGACCAGCCTGGTCAACATAGCAACCCCATCTCTATTTGATTATTATTATTATTATTTTTTTTTTTGAGACAGAGTCTCGCTCTGACGCCCAGGCTGGAGTGCAGTGGCAAGATCTCAGCTCACTGCAAGCTCCGCCTCCCAAGTTCATGCCATTCTCCTGCCTCAGCCTCCCCAGTAGCTGGGACTACAGGCGCCTGCCACCACACCTGGCTAATTTTTTGTATTTTTTAGTAGAGACGGGGTTTCACCGTGTTAGCCAGGATGGTCTCAATCTCCTGACCTCGTGATCCGCTCACCTCGGCCTCCCAAAGTGCTGAGATTACAGGCATGAGCCACTGCGCCCGGTCAATCGGAAGCCTTTTCTAGCTCCTGAGATTGTGGTTCAAGGCAGGGCTATACTTCCCCCTCCCAGCCCTGGCCCCGTGACCCCAGCTCTGTGCCTGGCTCTGTACAAAAGCCTAAGAGATGCCCACTGCCAGAGTGGGCACCAAATCCTCATCTACTGGGGACCCAGGGAGTACCCTCCCTGAGAGTTTGGCCTTTGGGCTCACTCCCGGGCAGAGACTCCTCAGTGCTGCTGCTTGATTACCCCTGTGACAGAGAGCTCATTACCTCTCCAGGCCCATTACCTCTCCAGAGAGCTAATTACCTTCTCCACTCCATGGCTCACCCTGCCATCCCCTGACAGCCCCCTTCTGGCCAGCATGATTTTCCCAGTGTCCTCTGCCCACCACAAACCCCAGCCCCCCAACAGGCTTGCTCTAACAGGACAAGTTGTGCTGAAGATGGAGACTTTAGAAGCAGTGCGGTATGATAAAGAACGTTGACTCATGTCTGGACAGGGCTTTCTGGAGTCTGTGGAGCTAAAGACATTAGTATAATACAAAGCTGGGCTTGGTCACTGGCGCTTCCGACTGCAGTGACACAGCAGCTCTCAGATGTGAGCCGTAGATCTCAGACCTTTCCAGAAGCTTGGAGTTCTTGCTATGTAGTGGGCCCCAACTGTTTCTACTCCTTTTCTTCTCTTTTCTTTCATTTTGAGACAGAGTCTTATTCTGTCACCCAGGGTGGAGTGCAGTGGCGCTATCTCAGCTCACTGCAACCTCTGCCTCCTGGGTTCAAGCGATTCCCCTCCCTCAGCCTCCCGAGTAGGTGGGATTATAGGAGCCTGCCACCACATCCAGCTAACTTTTGTATTTTTAGTAGAGATGGGTTTCACCATGTTGGTCAGGCTGGTCTCAGACTCCTGACCTCAAGTGATCCGCCCTCCTCGGCCTCCCAAAGTGCTGGGATTACAGGCGTGAGCTACTGCACCAGACCTTGTTTCTACACTTTAAACCAGCTCCACGGGAGGCCCCCTGAGGCCGCCTGCTCCAATCCCAGGCAGTGACAATCGTGCAATGTCCCTGGAGCAGGAGTGAGATAATCAGACGGACCTGTTCAGGACTGGGCAGGTCTCACTCCTGGCTGGATCCTTCAAGCCCAGGGCAGCCCCCCAGTTTCCACACGTGGGGCAGCAGGGACTCCAGGCCTAACTGTGCGGAGCCAGGAGGGTCCATTGCAGGGATGTGCAGACTGAGGCCCAGAGGGGAGGGCTGGGCAGTCTCAGAGATGCTTGGAGGGACCTCTGTGATAGCCCCGCTTGTGTTGTCCAGGCCCAAGCTGCTCACTGAGGGAGTCAAAGAGCCCATCGTGGATAGTCAAGGTACCCAGCACGGGGTCGCGGGCCATGGTGCGGGCGGGCAAGGGAGGGCCCCAGGCCTCTGCCACCAGCCCCTCCTCCTGCTGCCTCTGTCCTGCTCCCACCCTGACCCTGGCATTCTGCCCACACCCCCGCATTAGGTTTCCCCTAATGATGCCATCTTGGGTCCCAGGAACTGCCTCATCACTTGGCTTCTCTCCCCCTGCCCTGCCCCCAGAGAGGGATTCCAGGGACCCTCTGGTGGGCGAGAGCCTGAAGAGACAGGGCTTTCAAGGTAAGGTTGAGCTCAGGGGGAGGTCTGTTGTCCCAGCACCAGGACCTTGACCTGGTTTGGGTTTGGAGGGCCAGGCTGGAAGTGGGGAGGAGCTGGCCCCCAACTTCAGGGCCTAAGGGACCAGGCAAGCCAGGTTGGCAGCCCAGGCCCGGCTGTACCCTGTAAGCTCTGTGTTAGAGACTCCAGGGGAGAGGGGGTGCCTACAGGTGGACGGTGGGGGAAATTGGGGGTTGGGAGGCTACAGGGCGCAGGAGCCTGCCTGCCCCCCTCCAGGAAGGTAGCTGACATGCCCACTCCTTATTCAGCAATCAGCTGTGGTCTTAGTGCTTTGAAATCAGAATAAGAGCCAGGCGTGGCACCTCACGCCTGTAATCCCAGCACTTGGGGAGGTCAAGGCAGGCGGCTTGCTCAAGGCCAGAAGTTCGAGACCAGCCTGGGCAACATAGAACCCATCTCTAGGTCTATTTTTAAGAAAAGAAATCAGAGGCTGAGTGCAGTGGCTCACACCTGTAATCCTAGCTCTTTGGGAGGCCGAGATGGGTGGATCACTTGAGGCCAGGAGTTCAAGACCAGCCTGGCCAACATGGCGAAACCCCGTGTCTACCAAAAAAATACAAGAATTAGTCAGGCGAGGTGGCATGCACCTGTGATCCCAGCTACTTGGGAGGCTGAGGTGGGAGAATCACTTGAACCTGGGAGGCGGAGTTTGCAGTGAGCCAGGATCGTGTCACTGCACTCCAGCATGGGCAACAGAGCAAGACCCTGTCACCCTGTCTCAAAAAAAAAGAGTGGGGGGAGAGAGAAATGGTGGTGTAGGATCCCTCCGGCACATGCGGGCACTTGTCTTGTTTGTTTGTTTGTTGAGATGGAGTTTTACTCTTGTTGCCCAGGCTGGAATGCAATGGCGCAATCTCAGCCCACTGCAACCTCTGCCTCCTGGGTTCAAGCGATTCTCCTGCCTCAGCCTCCTGAGTAGCTGGGATTACAGGTGCACGCCACCACACCCGGCTAATTTTTGTATTTTTTTTAGTATAGACGGGATTTCACCATGTTGGACAGGCTGGTCTCGAACTCTCGACCTCAGATGATCTGCCAGCCTCAGCCTCCCAAAGTGTTGGGATTACAGGCATGAGCCACTGCACCCAGCTTTTTGTTTGTTGTTGTTGTTGTTGTTGTTGTTTTTTCTGAGACAGAGTCTTGCTCTGTCATCCACGCTGGAATGCAGTGGTGTGATCTCGGCTCACTACAACCTCCACCTCCCAGGTTCAAGGGATTCTCTTGCCTCAGCCTCCCAAGTAGCTGGGATTACAGGTACACACCACCATGCCCAACTAATTTTTGTAGTTTTTTGGTAGACACGGGGTTGTAGAGATGGGGTTTCACCATGTTGGCCAGACTGGTCTCCAACTCCTTCCTTCAGGTGATCCTCCCGCCTCGGCCTCCCAAAGTGCTGGCATTACAGGTATGAGCTGCCGCGCCTGGCCACACTTGGGGGTTTTTAATGAACACTCTCTGGGTGAGGGTGGCTGGGTGGCTCATACTTGTAATCCCAGCTGAGGCAGGTGGATCATTTGAGCTCAAGGGTTCACAGCCAGCCTGGGCAACATGGCGAAGCCCTATCTCTACCAAAAACACAAAGAAGAAATTAGCCAGGCATGGTGGCACACAGCTGTGGTCCCAGCTACTCAGGAGGCTGAGGCAGGAGAATTGCTTGAGCCTGGGAGGTGGAGGTTGCATTGGGAGCTGCCAGGCGTGTCCCCTGTGTCTGTGGGGACTGCCCGTCCTCCACCATCTGCTGGATCAGCTGGGCTTCCGTTCCCTCCTTTGTCTCCAGCCCCCCAGTGACTTCATGAAGCCCATACCCCCTGCCTGCCAGCCCAGGGCACAGGACTCTGCACTCTATGGTGTCCCTCCTCTCCGGGCTTATTTATTGATTTGGTGGTTTTCAAATGTCAACAATTAACTGAATTTCCAACTCATCACTGTTGTGGCAACAGTGCATGTCCTTCTGGAAAAAACACATCTCCATCAAGACGTTGGTGCTGAAGAACCTGAGCGGCCCACTCCAAAGATCCGTTAATTGCCAGAGAAGGAGTTCCCCATAATTAGAAAATCATCTTCCTTAAAAGTCACCAAGTGCCTTTTCACTGAACAGCCCAAACCCATAATCATTTTGCGCTTTGCAGAAAATTACGACGCGAGGCTCTTACGGATTGACATTGCCAACACGCTAAGGGAGCAGGTCCAGGAGCTTTTCAATAAGACATATGGTAAGCAGCGCAGAACCCCTGGGGAGGGACATGTAGCTGCTGTGGACAGAGAAGTGGCAGGTTTCCCAGTTCCAGCCGAGGGGATTTCTGGGGAAACGATTCACCCCTTTACATGTATTTCTTGAGCATTTACTATGTGCCAGGCACTGTCTCAGGCACTGGGGATATTGCTGTGAATAAAACAGACACAGTCCCTGTACTCATGAGCCTTGCAGACCAATGAGGTGAGACACACTTTCAACAACTACACACAGAATTTAATAGACAGGGGCCCGGCTCGGTGGCTCATGCCTGTAATCCCAGCACTTTTGGAGGCTTGAGCTCAGGAGTTCAAGGCCAGCCTGGGCAACATGGTGAAACCCCATCTCTACCGAAAATACAAAAAAGAAATTAGCCAGGTGCAGTGGTGCACACCTGTGGTCCCAGCTACACAGGAGGCTAAGGCAGGAGAATCGCTTGAGCCTGGCAGGCAGAGGTTGCAGTGAGCTGAGATCGTGCCATTCCACTCCAGCCTGGGCAACAAAAGCGAAAATCTGTCTCAAAAAAAAAAAAAAAAAAAAAAAAAGGAGCATACGACATGGGAGCATATTGGTGTGGCTTTTTCTTTCTTTTCTTTTTTTTTGAGACAGGGTCTCACTCTGTCACACATGCTGGAGTACAGTGGCGTGATCATGGTTCACTACAGCCTCAAACTCCTGGGCTCAAGCAATCCTCCTGCCTCAGCCTCCTAAGTGGCTGGAACTACAGGCATGCATCACCATGTCCAGCTGTTTTTTAGAAATCTGTAGTAGAGACAGGATCTTGCTATGTTGCCCAGGCTGATCTCGAAATCTTAGACTTAAGTGATCCTCCTGCCTTGGCCTCCCAACATGCTGGGATTACGGGCATGAGCCACCATGCTGGCCTTTTTTTAATGTTCTGATCAAATAGCTTAGATTGTAATGCCTATACCTTTCCACAATGCTACATAAGAGCTTTCTCGTACCATTCACTCTCCTGCACGCATGTCTTTCCATCACACCCCCGCAATCCCATGTACACACACCCCACGCTGCCTCTCACTCCTGACGGGCAGGACCCTGCCTCTCACCCACAGGGGAAGCCTTGGGCATCAAGTACCCGGTTCAGGTCCCCTACAAGTGGATCAAGAGTAACCCCGGCTCCATGATCATCGAGGAGCTGCCACCAGGAATCCTGTTCCGAAAGCCCTTCGGCTCCCAGAACCTGGAGAGGATTCTTGCCATGGCCAACAAGATCACGTTCACAGTCACCAGGTACTCAGGGGGAAGGGTGAGGGTGAAGAGGCAGGACTAGCTCAGATGGGGGCTTACACCTGCGAATCCTTAGCCTTTCCCTAGGTCGTGCCCTCCCCACTGGACAAGGTGGCTCTCCTGGCACCATCCTGGGTCCTGGGGGTGGCCAGAAAGGGACTGCAGGCCAGCCTGAGTGCAAGGTGTCCTTCAGAAGTGGGACTGGTCACCCCACCATGGCAAGGGCAGCCTTCGAGGGCATCTTCAACCTGTTCAGCAACACCTGCTCACTGTACCCCCAGCCCCCAGGAAATGCCTTTAGCCCCCATCAGAGGGATTTGCCCAAGGTCTTGGGGCCAGCCAGGGCAGAGCCTACCCAAGGCCCAGGTCTGCATCCTGCAGAGTGGCACTGCCAATGCCAGCACCCTGCCACATGGTGTCAGTGTCCCACGCACACAGAGCCCCAGGGCAGCTTATTAAAATGCAGATTCTGCTGCCGTAGATCTGGGGTGCTCCCAGGGGAGACTGAGGCCACTGCATCCCAGGGGTGTCTTCCTCATCCCCAGGCCCTTCCCCCTGACACCCCTGCCTCTGTTTCTCTTCTAGGCCTTTCCAAGGACTCATCCGAAAGCCTGGTAAGAGGCACTGGCTGTGGAGGGGTCACTGGGAATAGGGCCAGGTCATGGTGCTGGGGGCTGGAGCTAAGCCTGCTGTGGGGCACAAGTTCTGGGGTCTGGGAACAGAAGCCAGGCCCCTGCCTTTCTTTCTTTCTTTTTTTTTTTATGAGGCAGAGTCCTTTTCTGTCACCCAGGCTGGAGTGCAGTGGTGTGATCTCAGTTCACTGCGACCTCCACCTCCTGGGTTCAAGTGATTCTCCTGCCTCAGCCTCCTGATGACAGGGAGATTACACGCAACTGCCACCATGCCTGGCTATTTTTTGTATTTTTAGTAGAGACAGGGTTTCACCATGTTGGCCAGGCTGGTCTCAAACTCCTGACCTCAAGTGATCCACCCACCTCGGCCTCCCAAAGTGTTGGGATTACAGGCGTGAGCCACCATGCCCAGCCTGGGCTCCTGCCCTTCTGTTTAGCCACCTCACCTGGGCACCTGCCCCAGATAGATGGAGGAAGGCTAAGCTTGAATGTGGCCCCACATCCTGGGGCAGAGAAAGGAGTGGTGGTGCCAGTGACTTCTAAGTTTTACCCAGTCTGGGTTCAGGAGGGAGGGGCCAGGCCGGGTCAGTGCACCCCCTCCTCCTGATAAAGGGGGTGTGGTTGACCTCAGTGAATAGATGAGGTTGGAGGCGAGTGGGTTCCTAACCACAGAAGGAGGGGTGTCTGCATGGGAACCACAAGCGTGGTGGTAAGATGTGGGGGGTGTCTACCCCGCCTTAAACAGCGCAGTGCCTCTCCTGACCCTTTTTTTTACATTATATATATATAGACAGAGCGAGAGAGACCAAGTCTCACTTTGTTGCCCAGGCTGGAATGCAGTGGCACGATCTCCGCTCACTGCAACCTCCACCTCCCAGGTTCAAGCGATTCTCCTGCCTCAGCCTCCCGAGTAGCTGGGATTATAAGCACATGCCACCATGCTTGGCTAATTTTTGTATTTCTAGTAGAGATGGGGTTCCACCATGTTGGCTAGGCTGGTCTCAAACTCCTGGCATCAAGTGATCCTCCTGCCTCGGCCTCCCAAAATGCTGGGATGACAGGCATGAGCCACCTTGCCCGGCCTCCTGACCCTTTTTAAGCCACCCATCCACCTCCATGTCCACCAAGGGCTGTGTTCTGGCCTCCCAAACCCAGATTTGCAGGGGCTGTCCCTGCAGGGCGACATGCCACATGGTGAGCACTAAGGGCTGGCCAGAGCCTTCAGGGTGGGCCAGGCATGGTGGCTCACACCTGTAATCCCAGCACTTTGGGAGGCCAAGGTAGGAGGATCACTTGAGGTCAGGAGTTCAAGACCAGCCTGACCAACATGGTAAAACCCCGTGTCTACTTAAAATCCAAAAATTAGCCAGGCATGGTGGTACGCAGCTGTAATCCCAGCTACTTGGCAGGCTGAGTCAGGAGAATCACTTGAACCCGGGAGACAGAGGTTGCAGTGAGCCGAGATAGCACCACTGCACTCCAGCCTGGGCGACAGGGTGAGACTCTGTCTCAAAAAAAAAAGTACTTAGGGTACACTGTTGTGGCAGCTGCCAACAGGCCACAGGAGCCCCCAAAAGGGGGATCAGGAGGGTGAGGGGTAGTTGGAGAAGGTTGCCTGAAGGAAGGCCCTGCTTGGGCCTCAGGGGAAGATGGGACTTTGAGAGGCAGAGAGGAGGGTGGGTTGTGTTTGGCGGGGGAACGGCAGGGGTTGAGGGGTCACTGGATGCCATAAGTGTGTTTCCAGAGCTCTCAGAGGGGCAGAGTGGTCAGATGATGTTGGAAAGGTGGAGACAGTGGAAACTGCAGCAGCACAATGCAGTCAGTGTGCCTCCAGTGGACACCCGGCTGAGAGGTCACTGGGTTTCTGGCCCTGCACTGGGTGCTTTATGCAGGTGCCTTTCACACATATTTCGGGAGATCCTGCTGGGGCAAGGTGGTATTCTAGGAACTAGGGTTACAGCGGAGTGCAGACAGAGGAGGCATCTCATTTAGTCTTCACACCTAGGAGGTAGATGCTAGAGCTCACCTTACAGAGGGGGAAACTGAGGCTCAGTGTGAGTGATGTATTAATACTCTGTGTCCCAGGGCTAGCAGGTGGCCGTGGCCCCAGCCCTCAGGGATGGACCTGCCAGCCCCTTTCCAGGCGTTGGCACCCAAGCCAGGTATCCACCAGGTATCCACACTTACTCATGCCACTAGTCATGCTGGGCTGGGAACATGTCCAGGCTCCTGGGAGTCTCGGAGGGTTCACCAGAAGTCTTTGAGTGCTATTCCTGCACCAGAATGGGCTTTTCTCAAACCCCTCCCTCACACAGTGCCCAAAGCCTGGCCTGGGCCAGCACCAGCAGTTCTGAGGCGAATCGGAGTGGAAGCTGGGGTCTGCTGGGGGAGGCAGAGGCAATAGCAGGCTCCTTCATCTGGAGGCAGTTGTCCCAGGGCAGGTGGAGGGGTGGCAGATAGTTGCAGAGAGGCAGATGGCTGGGGACAGTGTCCAGGAGTCAGCCTTCAGGGTCTTAGGCAGCATGTGGGCCATGGGAAAGTGCCATCTTGTTCAAGTCCCTGTACCTGCCTGACTAGCCATGGGAATCTGAGCCTTCGCTTCCTTACCGCCAAGATGGACAAGCATACCTGCCTCGCCATGTGATCTGAATATGGAAAAAGATGGGCAGTGCTAGGTGAGCTGGAAGGACTGTTTTCCCCCAATTGCCTTTTTTTTTTTTTTTTTTGAGATGGAGTTTAGCTCTTATTGTCCAGGCTAGAGTGCAATGGCATGATCTCAGCTCACTGCAACCTCCACCTCCCAAGTTTAAATGATTCTCCTGCCTCAGCCTCCTGAGTATTTGGGATTATAGGCGTGTGCCACAGCATCCAGCTAATTTTTGTATTTTTAGGCACCCTAACATGGTGAAAGGCCAGGCTGGTTGGCCAGGCTGGTCTCCAACTCCTGGCCAGGCTGGTCTCCAACTCCTGGCCAGCCTCAAGTGATCCACCCATCTTGACCTCCCAAAGTGCTGGGATTACAGGTGGGCGTGAGCCACCGCACCCAGCCACCTTTCTTTTTGTCCTCGTTTGCAAATACAGAATGGACCTGAGTCTGCAAACTCAGAAGTGCGAGACATGTATTTTTATTTTTATAAAATTGAACTGGACTCCTACCAAAAGCCCCCAATGCAGAGTGGCAGAAACTTTATCGGAGTCCATTTTGGATCATCATTTCCCTTGGGCTTGTACCAGGGCCTGGAACCTTCTGTGAGGCCCACCCAGTAGACACTTCCACACCACAGAGAGACTGAGCATGAGAAGGTCCGTGCTTGAAAAAGGCCTAACAGTGGGATCTCGGTGCAAGGATGGGAGAGTGGAAACCGAGTGGTGAAGAGATGACTGTGGCACTTAGCAGGGAATTCCTGGGAGGGTGAGGCTTCGGGAAGTTTCCAGGGAGACAAACCCTGTTAAGAATGGCTCTAGGGCCGGACGTGGTAGCTCATGCCTATAATCCCAGCACTTTGGGAGGCCGAGGCGGGCAGATCACGAGATCAGGAGTTCGAGACCGGCCTGCCCAACATGGTGAAACCCCGTCTCTACTAAAAATACAAAAAAATTAGCTGGGCATGATGGCGGATGCCTGTAATCCCAGCTACTCGGGAGGCTGAGGCAGGAGAATCGCTTGAAACTGGAAGTCGGAGGTTGCAGTGAGCCGAGATCATGCCGTTGCACTCCAGCCTGGGCAACAAGAGTGAAACTCCGTCTCAAAACCACAAAGCAAAAAAAAAAAAAAAAAAAAAAAGAATGGCTCTAAACCAGGAACAGTGGTTCACCCCTGTAATCCCAGCACTTTGGGAGGACAAGGTAGGAGGATCGCTTGAGGCCAAGAGTTTGAGGTCAGCCTGGGCAACATAACAAGACCCCGTTTCTACAAAAAATTTAAAAATTAGCCGGGCACGGTGGCATGCACCTGTAGTCTCAGCTACTCAGGAGGCCAAAGCAGGAGGAAGGCTTGAGCCCAGGAGGTGGAGGTTGCAGTGAGCTGAGATTGTGCAACTGCACTCCAGCCTGGGTGACAGAGCATGATGCTGTCTGAAAAAAAAAAAAAAAAAAAAAGGAATTGCTCTGAGATTTTTTTTTAGGTCACTTATTGAAGGTTCCCATGGAAGCCTTTCCTAACAGAACCACACCAAGAAGGTAAAAATTCTGAAAGAGATTATGCTTTTTTGTTTTTGTTTTGTTTTGTTTGTTTTAAGATGGAGTTTCGCTTCTTGTTGCCCAGGCTGGAGTGCAATGGCACGATCTTGGCTCACTGCGATCTCCACCTCCCGAGTTCAAGTGATTCGTCTGCCTCAGCCTCCCAAGTAGCTGGAATTACGGGTGTGCACCACGACACCTGGCTAATTTTTGTATTTTTAGTAGAGACAGGGTTTCACCCTGTTGGCCAGGCTGATCTCAAACTTCTGACCTCAGGTGATCAGCCCGCCTCAACCTCCCAAAGTGCTGGGATTACAGGCATGAGCCACCACGCCTGGCTGAGATTGTGCTTTTTTGAAGATGAATCAGTCATTAAATTGCAAGAGCCCCACTGCACCCCGGAGCTGTGGGCCTCCCCAGTGTACACTCCTGGGGAGTACAGCCACTCCTGGACTGGTTTTGTTCTGGGTCAAAAGAGATGACTCAGGCCAGACGTGGTGGCTTATACGTATAATCCCAGTATTTTGGGAGGCCAAGATGGGAAAATCACTTGAGCCCAGGAGTTTGAGACCAGCCTGGGAAACATAGCAAGATCCCATCCTGCAAAGACATTTTTTTAAATTAGCCAGACATGGTGGGGACGAACACCTGTACTCCCAGCTACTCGGGAGGCTGAGGTGGAAGGATCCCTTGAGCCTAGGAGTTGGAGGCTGCAATGAGCCATGATTCCAGCGTGCATGACAGAGTGAGATCTTGTCTCTAAAAAAAAGAGAGAGAAGCCCAGAATGTCTTTAATGTTTTCCCAACTGGGGACATCACATCTGCCCTCAGTGCCTCAGTTTCCCCATTAAAATCTAGAGGCCCTGCCTGCTCTGACATGCTGAGTGGCAGGCAGGCATCTGGCTGGAGAGGAAGGCATACTTGGACTTGGACCAAGCCTCAGGGGGCAGTGGGTCAATTTCAGGCCTCAGGTCAAGGGAGCTGTGGACCAGGGATTTCTGGGGGCCAGGGGTGCTGGAAGGCACCAGGCTGAACCAGAGGGGACCTGGTGGGGGGCCTGGGGTTGCAGAGGGATGGGGGAGCTGGGTCCCCCAACTCGCACCAGAAGGAACTCCAGCCCTGCCTGCAAGGGGCTGAGACAACCCACGCTCGACCCTGAGGGCTGAACACCATTGGTAGCTGGTAGCTCTATACTGCCCAACCAGGCCACACCCCACCTGCCCGCAGTGGCACTGAATTAAATTAGGGAGACTGCCAGGTGCGGTGGCTCACGCCTGTAATCCCAGCACTTTGGGAGGCTGAGGCGGGTGGATCACGTAAGGTCAGGAGTTCGAGACCAGCCTGGGCAACATGGTGAAACCCCGACTCTACTAAAAATACAAAAATTAGCCCGGTGTGGTGGCGGGCACCTGTAATCCCAGCTACTTGGGAGCCTGAGGCAGGAGAATCGCTTGAACCCAGGAGGTAGAGGTTGCAGTGAGCTGAGATTGCGCCACGGCATTCCAGCCTGGCAACAGAGGAGACTGTCTTAAAAAAAAAAGAGAGAGACAGGTGGAAAGCCCACAGGTGAAGAGGTGAAGCCCAGGGAGAAACTTACTAAAGGAGGTGATTGGTTGCACCAGCCTCTGCTGGGCAGTCAGTCCTAACGCCTGAGACTAGATGGAGGGGCTAAGCAACAGGTTGCAGTGCGATGGTTCAAAGCAGTTTTGGGGGAAGTGGTGGGGACCAGAGTGGAATAGTGGGCTCAGGAGAGAATGAGAAAGGCAAGTGATTGAATCTGCCAAAGACAGATCACCTTTTAGAGGGCAGGAGAGAATGAGCAAGAGTGGAGAGTGGAATGGATGCAGAGAGGGCTTTATTTTTTTGGTGGAGGGAGGGGACAGAGTCTTGCTCTATCACCTAGGCTGGAGTGCAGTGGCGCAATCTCGGCTCACTGCAACCTCCGCCTCCCGGGTTCAAGTGATTCTCCTGCCTCAGCCTCCCAAAGTGCTGGGATTACATATGTCACCCACCACACCCAGCCAAGAGAGGGTTTTAGAGGCAGGAACAGCAGCTGCATGATCTTCAGCAGATTCAGTAGAGAGGGAAGTGAGCTGTGGGAGAGGAAGGAGGATGGGGGAAATGGCAAGAAAAGGAGCACCCTGCTTAGAAAGGGAACGGAGCCGGGTGTGGTGGCTCACGCCTGTAATCCAGCACTTTGGGAGGCCGAGGCAGGAGGATCACTTGAGCCCAGGAGTTTGAGACCAGCCACATAGCAAGACCCCATCTCTATTTTTTTGGAAAAAAAAAAAAAAAAAGCAGCAAGCAACAGGATGGGTGGAAGAGAGTTGCTGAAGGCTCTTGCAAGATCCTCTCTGCCTGCTCCTTCTCTCACAGAGGGACAGGGGAGGGTGATGAGTCAGTGGACTGAATGTCCCCATGGGGATGAAGGATGGTTGGGGTCAGGGTCCTAGAGGGAGGGCTGGAAGGAGGGAAGGAGATGGCCAGAGAAGGATGTAGGACACAGAGGTGCCGCCGTGGATCACCAAGAGGTTCAGGACTGGCCAGAGGAAGGAGAGGAGATCAAGGCAAGCATGAGGCACTTGGGAGATGCATCTGTGCCTGCACACAGCTGAAATCCCCAGGAAATAAGACGGGAGCAGGGTGGGTTTCTGCAGCCGAGGTGAGACCAAAGTGCCAGCTCACTGCCACCCTCAGTAAAGACTAACTTGCCCTTCCCCACAACTCCCCTCCCAGAAGTAGCTTGCTCTCCTCTGCCTGCCACACATCGGGGGGCTCAGGGAAAGCTCCCCCTCCCTGGACAGCTAGTGTTCCCTAGGCCAAGGCCAGTCCCTGCAGAGATGAGGAGCTGGGAAATCCCCTCCTCCCATCCCGCACGTCCACGCGTGCCAGATCCTGTGCTGCGGGCTTTTCACACACAGCCTCTTAGCCTGTGAGGCGGGTGCTGTTGTCCTTCCCATTTTGCAACTGAGCAAACAGCCTGAAAGAGACAAAAACCAGGTAGTTAGCATGACCCCAAAGCCACTCCCTGGTCTACGCTGTTCTGCAGCCTGAGCCTGGGGTGGCCAGGCGGGGTTGTGCAGTGGGGGGAAGGAGAATAGCCCCCAGAAATGCTGCCGGAATGGTAAAGGGCCTGGACTGCAAAGCTAGTGACTTGAGCTTTATTTTGTGGCACTGGAGGTTTTCCCAGTCATTGTAATGATACAATCAGATTTGCGTTGTCTTCAAGTTACCATGGTAACCGTACTTCCACCCACCAAGAGTGGATTGGAGAAGGCAAAACTAGGGCAGAGAAGCCAGGGAGTGTTGAGAAGGTCTGAACCCAGACAGTGGGCAGCTGGGCCCCAAGACGGATGGGGGACTCCAGAAGCGTGGAGCTGGCAGAGAGAAACCTGCCCGGGGCATCAGAGAAAAGGGCGACTGTGCAGGAACAGAGTAGATGAGGTGGGGGAACCTTTGGGTAAGAAGAGCTGAATCAGGAGCATTGAGGCAGCGGTTTTCAAACCTCAGAAGCAACAGCAGGGCCGGTCGCGGTGGCTCAGCCTGTAATCCCAGGACTTTGGGAGGCTGAGGCGGGTAGATCACCTGAGGTCGGGAGTTCGAAACCAGCCTAGCCAACATGGTGAGACCCTGTCTCCACCAAAAAATACAAAAATTAGCCAGGCATGGTTGGCAGATGCCTGTAATCCCAGCTACTCGGGAGGCTGAGGCAGGAGAATGGTGTGAACCCGGAAGGCGGAGGTTGCAATGAGCCGAGATCACGCCACTGCACTCCACCCTGGGCGACAGAGCGAGACTCTATCTCCAAAAAAAAAAGGCCAGATGCAGTGGCTCACGCCTGTAATCCCAGCACTTTGGGAGGCCAAGGCAGGAGGATTGCTTGAAGCCAGGAGACCAGCCTGGGCAACATAGTGAGATCCTGTCTCTACAAAAAATGAAAACAATGAGCCAGTGTGGTGGTGCACATCTGTAGTCTCAGGTACTCAGGAGGCTGAGGAGGGAGGATTGCTTGAGCCCAGGAAGTCAAAGCTGCAGTGAGCTATGATCACACCACTGCACTCTGGCCTGCGAGACAGAATGAGACCTTGTCTTTCAAAAAAAAAAAAATTCTAGAATTGTTCTTGAATAGCAGTGGTTAACATCTTTTAAAAACTTTGGAAGGTAGTGAACTCCCCATCACTGGAGGCATTTAGCAGAGGTTGAGCTGCCACTCACCAAAGAGGCCTCTTCATGTAGGGCTTGCTGCAGGAGACAAGAAGGACAGGAGAGCCCCGCCTGTTTGCAAGGGGCTGCGGGGAGGACTAGAACCAAGGAGGGGCCCCTCTACCCACCAAATCCACTTCTCTTTGCTGCCCCGCCACCAGCTCCCTGCAGCTCCTCCCTGCATATGGGCCCAGCTGCCCCTCTCCAGCTCCCTTTTGGGCAAACACGAGGTCTCTCCCTGGACCCAGGCCAGCTTCCGCTCCTTTTAGTTCTCCTCTGACCCTGGGGGTACAGCCGTCCCTGCCAGCTTGAGGGGACTCTGGGAAGGCAGCGCCCCACCTCTCCTTCCCCAGAGCAGGGGCTCCAGATCCCAGGGATGGAGCAGAGCTGCCAACTTCCTGTGTGACTCCAGCAAGTCAGGCTTGCCTACCTGGGCTTCAGTTTCCCTACTTGTGAAATAGGAAGAGGCTGAGGCAGGAGAATCGCTGGGACCCAGGAGATGGAGGTTATTCTGTGTCAAAAAAAAAAAAAAAAAAAAGGGTGTCAGCAGGGCTGGGTCCTTCTGGAGGCTCTAGGGGAAAATGTTTCCTTGTCTTTTTTTTTTTTTTTTTTTTTTTTTGAGACAGAGTCTTGCTGTGTCCTTCAGGCTGGAGTGCAGTGGCGCGATCTCGGCTCACTGCAACCTCTGCCTCCCAGGTTCAAGCAATTCTCCTGCCTCAGCTTCCTGAGTAGCTGGGATTACAGACACGTGGCACCATGCCTGGCTAATTTTGTATTTGTAGTAGAGACGGGGTTTCACCATGTTGCCCAGGCTGGTCTCGAACTCCTGACCTCAAGTGATCTGCCCACCTTGGCCTTCCAAAGTGCTGGGATTACAGGCGTGAGCCACTGAGCACCGCCCCGTTTTAAGGATTAAATGAATCCATGCAAAGATCAAAGAGCAGTGCCTGGCACAGAAGAGCTCAGGTTCTCTGAGTCACCAAGTGCCCATGAGGGGTCGGGCATTTTTTTTTTTTTTTCTGAGACGGAGTCTTGCTCTGTTGCCTAGGCTGGAGTGCAGTGGCACGATCTCAGCTCACTGCAAGCTCTGCCTACTGAGTTCAAGCGATTATCCTGCCTCAGCCTCCTGAGTAGCTGTGACTACAGGCGCGCACCACCTCGCCCACCTAATTTTTTGTATTTTTAGTAGAGACGGGGTTTCGCCATGTTGGCCAGGCTGGTCGTGAACTCCTGGCCTCAAGCGATCCACCTGCCTCGGCCTCCCAAAGTGCTGGGATTACAGGTGTGAGCCACCGCGCCCAGCTGGGTTCAGTAATTCTTAGCATATTGCCATTTTCCCTGCTCTATCTCTGTCTCTCACACACACGCACACATACATACACACACACAAATAATTTCTTTTTCTCCATTTGAAGTTGCAAACATCTTGACTCTTCATGCCTAAATATTTCAATGCACATCTCCTAAGAAAAACACTATTATCTTACATACTCACAATAGTATCATCACACTTATAAAACTGAGTAATTCCCTGTCATCTAATATATGGTCTTTATTCAAATTTCCAAAAACGTCTTCTGTGCCTGTTCTCATTCATGATATAATCATTTTTCACTGGTTGATTTTTTAAATTTTTTTTTAAAGACAGTCTCCCTCTTGCCCAGGCTGGAATGCAGTGGCACAGTCATAGTTTACTGCAGCCTGGACCTTCTAGGCTCAAGCCATCCTACCACCTTAGCCCCTCGAGTGGCTAGGACTACAAGCACACGTGCTACCATGTCCAGCTCATATTTTATTTTTTATTTTTGTAGAGATAGGCTGGAGTGCAGTGACACTATCACATAGCTCACTGTAGCCTCCAACTCCTAGGTTCAAGCAATCCTCCCGCATCAGCCTCCCGAGTAGCTGGGACTACAGCCAGGTGCCACTGCACCAGCTACTCTTAAATTTTTTGTAGACAGAGTCTCTATATGTTGCTCAAGGCTCGTCTCCAACTCCTGTCCTCAAGTGATCCTCCTGCCTTGGCCTCCCAAAGTGGTAAGATTACAGGCGTGAGCCACCACACCAGGCTCACAGGTTAATTTTTTTTAATTATTTTACTGTGTATGTTTGCCTAAACAAAAATTATTTCATTTTGCTTATAATTTTACTTTTTTTTTTTTTTTTGAGATGGAGTCTCGCTCTGTCACCCAGGCTGAAGTTGTGTGATCTCAGCTCACTGCAACCTCCACCTCCGGGGTTCAAGTGATTCTCTGGCCTCAGCCTCCCAAGCAGCTGGGACTATAGGCGCCTGCCACCATGCCCAGCTTATTTTTTGTATTTTTAGTAAAGACAGGGTTTCACCGTGTTAGCCAGGATGGTCTCCATCTCCTGAACTCATGATCCACCTGCCTCGGCCTCCCAAAATGCTGGGATTACAGGCGTGAGCCACCGCGCCCAGCCTATAATTTTACTTTTATAACAAAGGCATGTTACTGAATAGAATCTGGGTCTTGCTGTTTACCACTTAGCTCTGGTTGACATAATGTCAAAGTGTGTAGCTGTAGCCTCTTAGTTCTCATGGCTCTATAATCTTCCATTGAGTGGAATTTTACCATGATGCAATTCCTCACTCTCCTCTCCTTGGGGATTGGGCTGCTTCCATTGTTTTGCTGTTACTAAGAATGCAATTAACACTTATAGCCGGGCGTGACGGCTCATGCCTGTAAACCCAGCACTGTGGGAGGCCGCAACCGGAGGATCCCTTGAGCTCAGGAATTTGAGACCGGCCTGGGCAACATGGCAAGACCCCATCTCTACTAAAAACACAAAAAAATTAGCCAGGCATGGTGGCACGCTTGCTACTCAGGAGGCAGAGGTCGCAGTGAGCTGAGATCATGCCACTGCACTCCAGCCTGGGCAACAGAGCGAGATCCTGTCTCAGAAAAAAAAAAAAAAAAAAAAAAGCAACGGAAGAGAAGCATAGATCCATTAAAAAGTTTAAGGCCCAGCCTGGTGGCTTACGCCTGTAATCCCAACACTTTGGGAGGCCGAGGGGGAAGGACTGCTTGAGGCCAGGAGTTTGAGATCAACCTGGGCAATGTAGCAAGATCCTGTCTCTACAAAAATTTTAGAATTAGCCAGACGTGGTGGTGTGCACCGGTAGGCCCACATACTCAGGAGACTGAGGCAGGAGGATGAGGTCAAGGCTTCAGTGAGCTAGGATCGCACCACTCCATGGGTGACAAAATGAGTCTACATCTCTAAAAACATAATTTTTGAAAAGCAGAGGAAGAAGGCCGGGTGCAGTGGTTCACGCCTATAATCCCAACACTTTGGGAGGCCGAGGTGGGTGGATTGCTTGAACCCAGGAGTTCAAGACCAGCCTGGGCAACATGGTGAAAACCCATCTCTACTAAAAATAGAAAAATTAGCCAGGCATGGTGGTGCACGCCTGTAATCCCAGCTACTCGGGAGGCTGAGGCAGGAGAACCACTTGAACCCGGGAGGCAGAGGTTGCAGTGAACTGAGATAGTGCCACTGCACTCCAGCCTGGGCAACAGTGAGAGTCCATCTGAAAAAAAATAAAATAAAATGCAGAGGAAGAGAAGTGGAGATTCCCCCATTCCAGCAGCCTCCTTCCCACCCACACTGGAGTTTTGGATTTGGGGGTTTGATGGCTCTGGCATGTCTAGGCCCTAGAGGGGTTCAGAAGGAGGGGTCTTGGGGACACAGAGAGTACTTCAACAATCCCACTTTAAGACAGTTCCCTTTGGGCCGGGCACAGTGGCTCACACCTGTAATCCTAGCACTTTGGGAGGCCGAGGCGGGCAGATCAACTGAGGTCAGGAGTTCGAGACCAGCCCAGCCAACATGGTGAAACCCCGTCTCTACTAAAAATACAAAAATTAGCTGAGTGTGGTGGCTTGTGCCTGTAGTCTCAGCTACTCGAGGGGCTAAGGCAAGAGAATTGCTGGAACCTGGGAGGTGGAGATTGCAGTGAGCCCAGATCATGCCGCTGCACTCCACCCTAAGCGACAGAGCGAGACTCCATCTCAAGAAAAAAAAGACAGTTCCCTTTGTAAAATGGGTCAAGGCTTAAGGGCCCCTCCTGCACGCAGTGTCCAGGCTCAGCCAGGTCTGATGGCAGAAGCAACACAGACTCATGATCATTGGCCTGGGCACAGGTCTCTGCCACGGGCACAGGTCTCTGCCCCACTGCAGCTTGGCCCTCCTCTCTCCAGGCCTCAGTTACCTCATCCATGAAATGGAGCTGAAGGAATTCCTGCTAAACCTGTGCACAGGCCCTACAAGCAGTTAAATGCTGAACCTGAATGTACCTTTTTTATTTTTTCAAGACTGAGTCTCACTCTGTCACCCAGGCTGGAAAGCAGTGGTGCAATCGCTGCAGCCATGAACTCTGCCCCGGCCTGGCAGTGAGTTGGGGCTCTGTGAAATGGTTCAGGAGGGGAGAGGAAGGCTATTATCCCACGCTTCTGCTACAGATCGCAGTCTCTCCCCTCTAAACCGCCCTTGCCCTTCGCTGGCTGCGTCTCCCTGCTGTGAATGGTCGTAATTACCAATACGAGATCGTCAGTCTGAGCTAAAGACCTCTAACTAGGCAGGGAGAGGCCAAGGCTGGCCAAGGCTCTTGCACTTTGCCCCAGGAGAGAGCCACAGAGCCAGCCCAGGCATCACCCCAGCCAGTTGGTTTAAAATTGTGTACATAGCATGGCTGTGATTCAGTGAGCTTGGTTGTCTTTTTTTTCCCCCTTCGCAAAATTCAGTTACTCCTTGGGCTAACAGACAGCAGGTTGGAAAAGATAAGCTGAGAGTTGCCCAGGCAGTGTTAAAGAGAGAGGAGACCGAAGAACAGCATGAGCAGGAAGGGGCAGGAGAAATGTCAAGGGAAGGCCTGTCCACCAAAGGCGTCACTGTCCAGGGGCAGTGGGCAGGAGGTCACTGCTGCAGGGATGGGTTCTTTCAGCAGGACTTTCTGCACAGCACTAGGGGCAGACCATGAGGTGAACCCCCACACACACTGAGTCCTAACTATGACATTTCCAAACAGAACACTCTGAAATGTTTGCAGCCGTGGGTGTCATTTACAGCCAGCCTGGGTTCAGGAAAGCTCAGGCAGGTGCCCCCAAGAATAGGTTTGCTGACTTGGCATTCAGGACAGTAAACTAAACCCACTCCCCTGACCCCCCTTTTTTTTTTTTTGAGATGGAGTTTTGCTCTTGTTGCCCAGGCTGGAGCACAGTGGTGCAATCTCGGCTCACTGCAACCTCCGCCTCCCAGGTCCAAGCGATTCTCCTGCCTCAGCCTCCCAAGTAGCTGGGATTACAGGCACCCGCCACCACGCCCAGCTAATTTTTTTGTATTATTAGTAGAGATGAGGTTTCACCATGTTGGCCAGTCTGGTCTTAAACTCCTGACCTCTGGTGATATGCCCACTTCAGCCCCACAAAGTGCTGGGATGACAGGCGTGAGCCACTGCACGCCTGCCCATTGCTGCTCTACAGATGAGGACATAGAGTGGTTCAGGGACTTGCCCAGGGTCGCGAGCTGATAGCAGAGCTGGGATTTGAACCCAGGCAATCAGTCTTGGGTAGACCATTGGGCTTGTGGCCCTGGCCTTGCAGGGCCTGGTATTGCGCCTGCCCCTGCAGTGTTCTCAGCAGCTCTCTGAGGCGGTTCTCTGATCCGTGTTTTTCCCGTGAGCAGATTAGACTCAGAGGTGACCAGGCATGCTGGAGCTGCCCTGCCCCACCCGAGGCTGAGGCCACCACTGCCCACAGCAGTCCTTGGGGAGCTCCCTGATGGTGACAAGATGAGGGTGGCAGGAGCCTGGCTCTGTCAGGAAAGGGGACTCATGACCCACCTGCAGCTCTCTGAGGTGCTCAGCTGGTCTGGGCATGGTGGCTCATGCCTGTACCTCAGCACTTTGGGAAGCCAAGATGGGTGGATTGCTTGAGCTTAGGAGTTGAAGATCAGCCTGGGCAACATAGTGAGACCTTGTCTCTACAAATAATACAAAAATAAGCCAGGTAGTGGCACACACCTGTAGCACCAGCTTACTCGGGAGACTGAGGATGGAGGATGGCTTCAGTCCAGGAGGCGGAGGTTACAGTGAGCTGAGATTGCTCCACTGCACTCCAGCCTGGGCAACAGAGCCAGACCATCTCAATTAACAAACAAACAAACAAAAAACGCCTGGCTGGGGCATCTAGGTTAGCAAGGATCTTAGCATTCTCCCTCCCTCGGGGCTAACCAGTGTGGGCGAGCTGTCTCGGTTGCAGCAGTGGCCACGATTCCTGGCGGGAGAGACTGGCACCAGCCTGCACACCTCAGAGCCCCAACAGGAATATCTGTTCAGATCGAGATGTTGCCCTTTCCCCTACAGGGCACGGCTAGAGCACAGACACAAACCCAGTGTCAGGTCCCCAGACACGGCAGGGGACAGGGGAGTCGGTCTTCACCTGTGGTTCAGGTTCCCTCCCAGACAGTGCCCAAGGAGCTGCCTCTGGTGCACTCACAGTTCCCAGAAGAGCTGGGATGGGACTACAGGTGTGCACCACCATGCCCAGGTTTTTTTTTTTTGGTAGAAACAGGTTTTCCCTGTTGCCCAGGCTGGTCTCAAACTCCTGGCCTCAAGCAATAGTCCCACTTCAGCCTTCCAAAGTGCTGGCATGACAGACATGAGCCACTATGCCCAGCCTGTAGTGCTTTTTGCTATGTGAGATTAGACCCAGCAGGCCCAGAGTCTCAAATTAGGAAACAGAGAGGTTGAGTGACTTTCCATACACCACACAGCATTAGGGGTTAGAATCAAGATTGCCTTCCTGTCTAATGAGCCAGGGACCTTCCCCATCCCTGGCCCTGGGGATCCCCCTTTTCCCCAGTGTATGCAGGAATTCAAGCAGGAGCTCGAACAATCCAGCCCCTACCAGA
Source organism: Homo sapiens (assembly GCF_000001405.40). Taxonomy (NCBI): domain Eukaryota; kingdom Metazoa; phylum Chordata; class Mammalia; order Primates; family Hominidae; genus Homo; species Homo sapiens. The sequence continues at coordinate 66,538,294 of NC_000007.14, forward strand.
GCCTGCCCTACCCCATTTCCTTCAGAAACTCATGATTTAAAAAAATGTAACCTGGGCGACATGGCAAGATCCCATCTCTACAAAAAATGGAAAAATTAGCTGGGTGTGGTGGCCTGCACCTGTAGCCCCAGCTACTGCACTCCAGCCTGAATGACAGCAAGACCCTGTCTCTAACAAAAAAAAAAAAAAAAAAAAGTAATCCTCTTTCCTCTAAATTAAATAAAGAGGTAGGAAAATGCAAGAGCAGCTACAGAGAAAAATCAGTGTTCTTCCAGAGCTTGTTGACTGAGCTAGAGAATCCCACGGACAAGGTATACTGTGGGCTTTGCACAGTGTCTGCACGTAATATGGCCAAGCTTGTTTTTTATTTTTTAATTTGTTTGTTGTTAGTTTGAGACAGGGTCTAGCTCAGTTGCCCAGGCTGGAGTGCAGTGGTGCAATCATGGCGTACTGCAACCTTGACTTTCCAGGCTCAAGCGATCCTCCCACCTCTGCCTCCCAAGTAGCTGGGATTACAGGCACACACTACCATGCCCAGCTAATTTTTGTTTGTTTGTTTTTTTGTAGAGACAGGGTCTTGCCATGTTCCCCAGACTGGTTTCAAACTCCTGGCCTCAGCCTCCCAAAGTGCTGGGATTACAGGCATGAGCCACTACATCTGGTCAGTTCCTGGTGTTATTGACAAAGGCATTTAGACCCACTCCACCCCTCCCACACTCTGGAGGTGGTCAGGACGCCTCCCCAAACCGCCAGCCCCCTCAGCCAGCCCAGCCCCACTTTCCTGACACGCACACTCCCGCCACTTCTGGTTCACCGCCTGGGACCTGTGTCTCACGTAGAGCTGCCATAGTGTGCTATTGACTGCCCCGTAGTGTCACTGCTGGTTAGCCGCAGCCTGGTTTAGGGTTGCACTTCTCCCCAGACCAGGCAAGACTTGGAAGGAACAGGGGAAGTTTCCTGATTGGCTAATGAGTGTTAAGCACCTGAAATTACAGGATACTACAAGTTTCCTTGTGTCTTACTTGCCGCTCCCAACTGCCTTGGAGGTCTGTGTGATGAGCCCCAGAGTGCAGATGAGCCCACATCCTTGGAGCTTTGGGCCCCGTGTGGTGGTCACCTCCTCTGGGAAGCCCTCCCTGCTATAGGCTCCCATGGGCCATGTAAACCAGAAAGTGCCTGAAACAGGTCTCAATCGATTTAGAGATTTATTTTGCCATGGTGGAGGACACAGCCAGGAAAAAGAGACTCAAGCTGCAATAGGGTCTGTGGCCTGTGCTTTTTTCCAGAGAGGATTTTGAGGACTTTGGTATTTAAAGGGGAAAGAGGGGGGCTGGGCACAGTGGCTCACGCTTGTAATCCCAGCACTTTGGAAGGCCAAGGCAGGTGGATCACCTGAGGTCAGGAGCATAATGGGCAGCATAATGAAACCCCATCTCTACTAAAAATACAAAAAATTCAACACGCGTGGTGGCGGGTGCCTGTAATCCTGGCTACTCTGGAGGCTGAGGCACAAGAATCACTCGAACTCAGTAGGCGGAGGTTGCAGTGAGCCAAAATCATGCCACTGCACTCCAGCCTGGAAAACAGTGAGACTGTCTCAAAAAATAAAAAAATAAAAGAAGAGGAATAGTTAATGATGTATTCATCCTGTGCTCAGTAAATCTGCATTTTACATAAGATAATGTAAACAGAATAGAGGAAGTTAAATACGTATTTGTCTTGGGTGGACAGAGCGATAATTTCTATTCTTGTCTTTGTCCCCTGCCTGTGAAGATAAGCTGTGAATTTACATGACCAGGGTGAGGGAAGCCACCCGGGAGATAGGTGACCTTCTGTCTTACAGCCATCTGCTTAGGGACAAAAGGCTATTGAATGACTCAGTTCCCAAGCTTAACATTTCCCTTTGGCATAGTGAGTTTGGGGTCCCATGTTTTTTGTTTTTTCTTGAGACGGAGTCTTGCTTTGTCACCCAGGCTGGAGTGCGGTGGCGCGATCTTAGCTCACTGCAGCTTCCACCTCCCAGTTCAAGGGATTCTCCTGCCTCAGCCTCCTGAGTAACTCGGATTACAGGCACACACCACCACACCCAGCTAATTTTTTGTATTTTTAGTAGAGACACGGTTTCACCATGTTGGCCAGGCTGGTCTGGAACTCCTGACCTCAAGTGATCCACCCACCTCGGCCTCTCCACCCGGCCTGGGCCTCATCTTTGAGGGGCCTGCTAAGCTTCTTTCTATCCTGCAAGCTTCGTAGAGCTCTGACTTTGAGTCTTGCTCTGTCCCGGAATAGGAGAAGACAGAGGCGTGGCACTGTGGGCTGAAAGCAACAGATTTAGGGGAAACTATCTTTAAGACTAAGCCTTCTTTCTATAGCTACTGTCGGGGAGGCCGGGCATGGTGGTTCACATCTATAATCCCAGCACTTTGGGAGGCTGAGGCGGGCGGATCACCTGAGGCCAGGAGTTCAAGACCAGCCTGAGCAACATGGTGAAACCCTGTCTCTACTAAAAATACAAAAATTAGCCAGGCATGGTGGCAGGCACCTGTAATTCCAGATACTCAGGAGGCTGAGGCATGAGAATCAGTTGAACCCAGGAGGCAGAGGTTGCAGTGAGCCAAGATCGTACCACTGTACTCCAGCCTGAGTGACAGAGCGAGAGCGAGAGAGAGAGAGAAAGAAAGAGAGAAAGAAAGAAAGAAAGAAAGAAAAAAAGAAAAGAAAAAGAAAGAAAGATGAAAGAAAGAAAGAAAGAAAGAAAGAAAGAAAGAAAGAAAGAAAGAAAGAAAGAAAGAAAGAAGGAAGGAAAGAAAAGAAAGAAAAACTGTAGGGGAATCTGAGACACCAGGAAACCCAGGGCTCATGGTAGAGTGGAAAGACCAGGGCTTTGGGGTCGACACAGAGTACTCTTGGTGCTTAGTGGCTGTGTGACCTTGGGTAAGTTTCTTTACCTCTCTGAGCCTCTGTGTCCTTGGCTGCAGTGTCTAGGAAAGCATCTGCACACAGTGATGTGTGTGGTCCAGGCCATCCTTTCTCTGTTCTGTGCACCCACGGCCATGCCTGCTGAGAATCCTGCCACCAATGATTCCTCAGTGGCATGGGGAGAGATGGAACGTGCCGTTGCTTCCCTGCAGGTTCTAGGAGCTGGTCTTTGGGCCCAAGACTCCAACACCGTTGTCTGCATGGGATTTGGACAAGGGTGACCTTGATCCTTCCCACATCCCACTGCTGAAAGGAAGGGCCATGTTGGGCCACAGGAGATGAGAGTTCTAGGGGATGTGGAGCGTGGGGTCTTGGTGTGGCTGAATTAGAGGCATTACTCCATGAGATAGGGACACGGGAGGAGGACGTTGTCTGGAATGGCTGATATTTGCGGTGTCTTTGGGTACCCAGGGGGGCTGGTGGGCTGTGCCTGAAGACAGATGCAGCAACTCAGAGATGTGTAGAGATTCCTGAGTGTAGGTGTGGACGGACCAGGCCAGGGACCTGCAGGGTTTGGGAGGACCTGAGGGGGTGGGTGTTGGAGCCCTGGGAAAAGGAAGAACCAGGCCAAGCAGGTGCCCAGCCTCTGTCCTGTGGGAAGCTCCCTGCTCTTTGGGCAGCCCCCACATTGAGAATGGGGCCTCCATTCTGGCAGCTTGTGCACGGGAGGCCAAGCGACCCAGATAGGGTCTGCAGACTCCAAGCAGCACAGAGCACCAGCCCAGGAGATGCAGTTCCCAAGGCAGCCTCCTAAACAGAAGTGAGCTCTTCCCAGAGTTTTCAAGATTAAAAGAGCCAGGCACAGTGACTCACAACTGTAATCCCAGCACTTTCGGAGGCTGAAGCAGGAGGATCACTTGAGCCTAGGAGTTCAAGAATAGCCTGTGCAACAGAGAGAGATTCTCTCTACAAAAAATTTTAAAAAAACTTAGTCTGGCACGGTGATTCATGCCTGGAGCCCCAGCTACTAGAGAGGCTGAGTGGGGAGGACTGCTTGAGCCAAAGAGTTCAAGGCTGCAGTAAGTCATGACGGCACCACTATACTCCAACCTGGGAAACAGGGTGAAACCCTGTCTCAAAAAACAGGAGCCAGGCTGGGCACCATGGCTCACGCCTGTAATCCCAGAACTTTGGGAGGCCGAGGTGGGCAGATCACCTGAGCTCAGGAGTTCAAGACCAGCCTGGCCAACATGGCAAAACCCCATCTCTACTAAAAATACAAAAATTAACCGGATGTGGTGGCAGGCGCCTGTAGTCCCAGCTCTCAGGAGGCTGATGCACGAGAATGGCTTGAACCTGAGAGGCAGAGGTTGCAGTGAACCGAGACTGCGCCACTGCACTCCAGACTGGGCAACAGAGTGAGACTGTGTCTTGGAAAAACAAAGAGAAAAAAAAAAGGAGTCATTTTGTTCCAACGACTCATCAGTCTGCTCTGCCCTGCCTCATCCGGCCCTAGCTCCCTGCCTGCTTCTAGCTTCACCCCCCTCAACATCTCACCCTTACCCAACCTGCCTGCCCCAGAGGCCCAGCCCATGTGAACCCATGCTTCTCAGAGAGATTTCCTGTTGGACATGCAAACCAGCCTTCCTGCAATCCCAGCCCCATCCTCAACCCTGGCACAAACCCACAGGCTGCTGCAGAGCTCTGCCCCAGACCCCATCTCCAGCCCAACCACCCCTCAGCCTTACAGCCCAGCTCAGGCCCCGTCTCCAGGGCTAACTGACCCCAGCAGCAACTCTAGGCTACAGGGAGGGGAGAGCGGAGCACGCCGGGGCTCAAGCAGCAGATAAGCCGTGACAGTTGCCAGGGCAGTGAGCAGGGAGAATGCATAGCCCCCACACTCCCAGACACAGTCTGTTTCCCATTCACAGACCTTGGCCAGCGAGCAGTCAGGGGATTTCCAACAGCCCAGCACAGTGACACCGGCCCCTGTGCACGGACCCCGCTAGGCCCATCAGTTGTCTCCCCTGTACCACCCCCAAGTTCAGCCACTTCCAGGACAAGGGATCTTTCTTTTTTTTTCTTTTCTTTTTTTTGTTTTTTGGAGACGGAGTTTCGCTCGTCACCCAGGCTGGAGTGTAATGGCGTGATTTCGGCTCACTGCAACCTCTGCCTTCCGGGTTCAAGCAGTTCTCCTGTCTCAACCTCTTGAGTAGTTGGGATTACAGGTGCCCGCCACCACACTCGGCTAATTGCTGTATTTTTAGTAGAGATGGGGTTTTGCCATGTTGGCCAGGGTGATCTGCCCGTCTCAGCCTCCCACAGTGCTGGGATTACAGGCGTGAGCCGCCACACCTGGCCAGCATAGGATCTTTCACCCTTGAGTGCCTGTGCATGGCTGGTCCTTCTGCCCCGGTGTCTTCACACTGCCACTCCATCCTTCACAAACTCCTACCTGCCTTTTCAGAGCCCATTTTTTTTGTTGTTGTTTTCATTTTTATTTGAGACAGGTCTCTGTCTCCCAGGCTGCAGTGCAGTGACATGATCTCTGCTCACTGCAACCTCCACCTCCCAGGCTCAGGCGATTCTCCTGCCTCACCCTCCCGAGTAGCTGGGACTACAGGTGCCTGCCACCACGCCCAGCTAATCTTTTTGTATTTTTAGTAGAGACGGGGTTTCACCATGTTGGCCAGGCTGGTTTTGAACCCTTGGCCTCAAGTGATCTGCCTGCCTCTGCCTCCCAAAGTGCTGGGATTATAGGCATGAGCCACCAATGTCAGGCCTTGAGAGCCCATTCAAGCATCCTGCTCTCCTGGGGGAGGTCTCCCCAGACTTGCCCAGACAGGATGGGCATCCTCATTCATGCCCCTTGTCTCCTAAGTGTGTCTGTTGTACTTTGGTGACCAGGTGACACCCCCTCTGGCTGGGAGACCCTCAGGGGAGCAGCCCTGCCTCTTTAGGTTGTTTTGTGCCCAACACAGGGCCTATGCTGGGGACACTGATAAGAAAATGTCGGATGGGCTGGCCACCGTGGCTCACACCTGTAATTCCCGAACTTTGGGAGGCCAAGACGAGGATCGCTTGAGGCCAGGAGTTCAAGATCAGCCTGGGCAACATAGTGAGACTCCATCTCTACCAAAAATTTAAAAAATTAGGTATGGTGGCACACATCTGTATTCCCAACCACTCAGGAGGCTGAGGCAGTATGGATCACTTGAGCCTGGTATTTGGAGGCTGCCGTGAACTATCTGATTGCACCGCTGCCTTCCAGCCTGGGTGACAGAGCAAAACCATGTCTCAAAGAAAGAAAAATGGATGGATGGACAGACCAACAACTGGGGCTAGAAACCAGCTACAGCCAGGCACAGTGGCTCACGCCTGTAATCCCAACACTTTGGGAGGCCAAGGCGGGTGGATCACCTGAGCCCAAGAGTTTGAGACCAGCCTGAGCAACATGATGAAAACCCGTCTCTACTAAAAAATACAAAAATTAGCTAGGCATGGTGGTGCGGTGCCTGTGATTCCAGCTACTTGGGGGGCTGACGCAGGAGAATCACTTGAACCTGGGAGGTGGAGGTTGCAGTAAGCTGAGATCGCGCCTCTGCACTCCAGCATGGGCAACAGAGCGAGACTCTGTCTCAAAAAATAAATTAATTAATTAATTAAATAAAATAAATACGTAACTAAACAAACAAACAGCTGCATGGGAGTAGGCAGGGCCTGCAGAGAATGTTTTGGCAGGTCAGGGATGCCTGGTGGGAGAAGCAGCAGGTCTGGTGGCCAAGCCAGTGCCAACTCTCAGGCCCCCTTGTCTTCCTCTTTAGATGAAGATGATACCAACAGACTTGGGGAGGTGATCCTGCAGGAGCAGGTGAAGGAACTCTTCAACGAGAAATACAGTCAGTGTCTGTGGTCAGGGTCAGCACACCAAGCCCTCCTCCCGGGGAAAGGGGGAGGCCCTCCCTCCCTCTGCAGCCAGCCTAGCCTTCAGGAGCCCCCAGCTGGCCTGCCTGCTCCCTGGGGACATGGCTGCTCTGCCCATGACCCACATTTTGTGTATGTTGATTTTCTTTTTTTTTTTTTAAACAGCGTCTCACTCTGTTGCCCAGGCTGGAGTACAGTGGTGCAATGTCTGCTCACTGCAGCCTCCACCTCATGGGCTTAGGCAATCCTCCTGCCCCAGCCTCTCAAGTAGCTGGGACTACAAGCGTGCGCCACCACTCCCGGCTAATTTTTCTATTTTTAGTAGAGACGAGGTTTCACCATGTTGCCCAGACTGGTCTTGATCTTCTGGGCTCAAGCGATCCACCCGCCTTGGCCTCCCAAAGTGCTGGGATCGCAGGTGTGAGCCACCACCTGACATCCCTTTCCGGAACCCCAACACGTACGACATCCACTGGCTGGAGAAGATCCTGAAGGCCCGAAAGCATGTCCACATGGTCATCATTAGCCAGCTGCAGTGAGTGCCCAGCCTCTGGAACGGGGAACAGAGAGGGCAAGACCATGGGGAGGGTGAAAGTCAAGGTCATGGTGGGTCAGCTGGGATCCAGACCCAGGTGTACTACAATAGTTCCTGCCTCTTTCTCCTGAAACATACAACTTCAACACTTATGGACATTTACTTATTTTTAAAGATTTTTTTTTTTTTAGATATTATATTTGTTCTCTGGGGAAGAAACAAAAACATGTTTTAATTAAATTTGACTGTTTCTGACTATACAATTCTGATTTTTAACATTTAAATATAAATACGTTTGTATTTAAATATCAATGTTTAAATATAAATATGAATATTTATTATATTTTTTAAAATAATTATAATTCCATAGTCTCAGTGATTACCTTTTTTTCTTTTTTTTTGAGACAGGGTCTTGCTCTGTCACCGAGGCTGGAGTGCAGTGGCACGATCTCAGCTCACTGCAACCTTCACCTCCTGGCTTCAACCCATTCTCATGCCTCAGCCTCCCAAGTAGCTGGGATTACAGGTGTGCACCACCACCCTGGCTAATTTTTGTATTTTTTGGTAGAGATGGAGTTTCACCATGTTGGCCAGGCTGGTCTCGAGCTCCTGACCTGAAGTGATCTGCCTGCCTCAGCCTCCCAAAGTGCTGGGATTACAGGTGTGAGCCACTGCACCCAGCCTCCGTTATTACTACTATACCATATATCCTTACAGTCTTTTGGGTTTTGGTTTTTGTTTTGAGACAGGGTATCACTCTGTTGCCCAGGCAGGAGTACAGAGGTATGATCCTGACCCACTGCAGCCTCAACAGGGTCTCACTGTGTTGCCCAGGCTGGTCTTAAACTCTTAAGCTCAAGTGATCCTCCCACCTTGGCTTCCCAAAGTGCTGGGGTTACAGTCGTGAGCCACCACACCCAAACTGTGTGGCCCAGTCTTTTTTTTTTTTTTAATACAATAGATGATTCGCTTATTTTCAGAACAATACACAAAACAACCTGGAAAATATGAAAAGATAGAAGAAAAGAAGATAGCTGTAAGTCTCCTACTGAAAGTCAACACTTTGATGCATTTCTTTATATTTTTAAATTATTATTTTATTAATATATTATTACTTTATTTTTGAGATGGAGTCTCATTCTGTCGCACAGGCTGGAGTACAGTGGCGTGATCTCAGCTCACTGCAACCTCCACCTCCCAGGTTCAAGAATTCTCCTGTCTCAGCATCCTGAGTAGCTGGGACTACAGGTACATGCCACCACGCGTGGCCAATTTTTTTAAAATATTTTTAGTAGAGACGGGGTTTCACCATATTGGTCAGGCTGGTCTCGAACTCCTGACCTCAGGTGATCCACCCGCCTCGGCCTCCCAAAGTGCTGGGATTACAGGCATGAGTCACCACGCCCAGACGTTTGTTTTTTTTTTTTTTTTTATTGCACAGGTTAGTCTCAAACTCCTGGGCTCAAGCCATCCTCCCACATCGGCCTTTCTTTTTTTTTTTTTTAAGATGGAGTTTGCTTTAGTTGCCCAGGCTGGAGTGCAAAGGCACGATCTTGGCTCACTGCAACCTCTACCTCCCAGGTTCAAGCAATTCTCCTGCCTCAGCCTCCTGAGTAGCTGGGATTACAAGCATGCGCCACCACCCAAGCTAATTTTGTATTTTTAAGAGACGGGGTTTCTCCACGTTGGTCAGGCTGGTCTCGAACTCCCAACATCAGGTGATCTGTCTGCCTCAGCCTCCCAAAGTGCTGGGATTACAAGCTTGAGCCACTGCGCCCAGCCCGCCTTCAATGTTATATTACATGTATTGTTTCTTTGTTTTTTTGAGATGAGGTCTTGCTCTATCACCCAGACTGGAGTGCAGTGGCACCATCTTGGCTCACTGCAACCTCTTCCTCCGGCATTCAAGTGATTCTTGTGCCTCAGCCTCCCAAATAGCTGGGATCACATGTGCCTGCCCCCACACCCGGCTAATTTGTGTATTTTTGTAGAGACAGGGTTTCACCATGTTGGCCAGGCTGGTCTCGAACTCCTGACCTTAAGTGATCCGCCTGCCTTGGCCTCCCAAAGTGCTGGGATTACAAACATGAGCCACTGTGCTGACCTGCATGTTTTTTTAAATTAAGATAATATTTGCATGTGTCAAAAAAACCCAAATTGTTCAAAATCAAAAAGTGGAGGTTTCCCTTTCTCCCACAGATAGTTCACCCCCCCGAAGTAACAACTAGAAAATGCAGGAAAACGGCCAGGTGTGGTGGCTCACGCCTGTAATCCCAGCTACTCAGGAGGCTAAGGCAGGACAATCGCTTGAACCTGGGAGGTGGAGGTTGCAGTGAGCTGAGACCATGCCATAGCACAACAGCCTGGGCAACAGAGCAAGACTCCATCTCAAAAAAAAAAAAAATTAATTAATTAAAAAATAAATTAGACGGGCATGGTGGTGTGCACCTGCATTCCCAACTACTGGGAAGCTGAGGCAGAAGGACTGATTGAGCCCAGAACTTTGAGGCTGCCGTGAGCTAGGATGGCACCACTGAACTCCAGCCTGGGCAAAAGAGTAAGACTGTCTCAAAAATAGTAATTGATAATAATGCTGTGATGACTATCCACTTGCATAAATCTGGGCACACGTTTCTGATCCCTTGGTCAGACAATATCCTCGCTTTATAGATGAGGACAGCAGACCTGGAGGAATGATTTGCCAGCCCAGGTCCATCGTCCAGGGCCTATATGGGGAATGCTCTGTCGGGACGGTGTGTTCCCCATTTTTATTTCGGTGTTACCAGGCTCCTGCAGCAGCAGCAGCACCACATCTCAGAGGGCAGGTGAGAAGGAGGGGAAAACGGCCAAACGCAATGGCTCATGCCTGTAATCCCAGCACTTTGGGAGGCGGAGGCAGGCAGATCACCTGAGGTCAGGAGTTCAAGACCAGCCTGGCCAACACGGCGAAACCCCGTATCTACTAAAAATATAAAACTTAGCTGGGCGTGGTGGCGGGCACCTGTAGTCCCAGCTACTCAGGAGGCTGAGGCAGGAGAATGGTGTGAACCCAGGAGGTGGAGGCTGCCGTCAGCCAAAATTGTGCCACTGCACTTCGGCCTGGGTGACCAAGCGAGACTCCATCTCAAAAAAAAAAAAAAAAAAAAAAAAAAGGAGGGGAAAACCTCATTTTCTAACTGCCACCTCTTTTCTTTCTTTTTCAGACCCTTTGCAGAAATCTGCAATGATGCCAAGGTGCCAGGTGAGTCGGAGGCAAGGAAGCCACCCTTCTGCCCTGTGGGGACTAGACTGTTCCTTTTGAAAAAAAGGTAGAGCCGGGTGCAGTGGCTCACGCCTATAATCCCAGCACTTTGGGAGGCAAGCAGATCACTTAAGGTCAGGAGTTCAAGACCAGCCTGAGCAACATGGTGAAACCCTATCTCTACTAAAAATACAACAATTAGCTGGGCGTGGTTGTGGGCACCTGCAATCCCAGCTACTTGGGGGACTGAGGCAGGAGAATTGCTGAACCCGGAAGGCGGAGGTTGCAGTGAACTGAGATCACACCCCTGCACTCCAGCCTGGGAGACAGAGCAAGACTCCATCTCAAAAAAAAAATGAAAAAGACAGAGACACCAGGAGTTGGAGGCTGCAGTGAGCTATGATTGTACCACTGCACTCCAGCCTGAGCAACAGAGCAAGACCCTGTCTCTAAAAAAAAAATTTTAATAAATTTTTTAAAGGCAGAGATAGATGTGGTCCAGGTGGGCATGCAATAGATGGCTTACCACCTTGAAAAAAATATAGCCCCTCTCCACCCTGGTGCCTCCCCAGGGAGCCTGAGGTCTCCATGAACAAGGACAGGTATCCCCAAGAGGCCCCCCGAAACCTGCAGGTGCCCTACAGAGGGAAGGCCCTGCCATAGCACCAATGAGTGTATGAGGTCAGCTAGAAGGACAAGAGGCAGGCTGGGCCTCAGGGAGGATCATGGGGGCCTCCTGGGTAGCAGAGGGGTAGCATGTGACTGACAGGGGTGAGGCAGGCGGGCACTGCCAGAGACTGGCTGGACCCCCTCCGTTCTGCTGGCATCTGCAGGGTATACAGAACCTTTCACCAGGCACCTGGGGGCCACCTGGCATGATGGTTCCGATTAAGGTGTATGATAGGACTTGGGAGAAATTACTCACGGGTGACTATGATGTGCACCCGATTAAGAAACACTGTATCCCAGCACTTTGGGAGGCCAAGGCAGGCAGATCACTTGAGAACAGGAGTTCGAGCCCAGACTGACCAACATGGTGAAACCCTGTCTCAACTAAAAATAGAAAAATTAGGGCCAGGCACGGTGGCTCACCCATGTAATCCCAGCACTTTGGGAGGCCAAGGTGGGCGGATCACCTGAGGTCAGGAGTTGGAGACCAGCCTGGTCAACATGGCAAAACCCCATCTCTACTGAAAATACAAAAATTAGCCAGGCATGGTGATGCATGCCTGTAATCCCAGCTACTAGGCGGGCTGAGACAGGAGGATCACTTGAACTTGGGAGGCAGAGGTTGCAGTGAGCCAAGACTGTACCACTGCACTCCAGCCTGGGAAACAGAACAAGACTCTGTCTCAAAAAAAAAAAAAAAAAAAGAAAAAGAAAAATTAGCCGGCATGGTGGCGCACGCCTGTAGTCCTAGCTACTTGGGCGTTTGAGGTGGGAGGATGGCTTCAGCCCAGGAGGCAGAGGTTGCAGTGAGTCGAGATCACACCACTGCACTCCAAGCTGGATGACAGAGCAGGACTCTGTCTCAAAAAGAAAAAGAAAAAGAAACACTGATTGGCCAGGTGTGGTGGCTCACGTCTCTAATCCCAGCAGTTTGGGAGGCCTAAGTGGGAGGATTGCTTGAGTCCCGGAGTTTGAGACAAACCTGGGCAACATAATGAGACCGTGTCTCTACAAAAAGTTTTTTCTCCCATCCAACTACTAACCAGGCCCAACCCTGCTTCCCTTCTGAGATCAGGCAAGATCAGGCGCATTCAGGGTGGTATGGCCATAGACCAAAAAGTTTTTTCTAAAAATTAGCCAGGCGTGGTAGTAGGCACTTGTAGTCCCAGCTACACAGGAGGCTGAGGCCGGAGGATCACCTGAGCCCCAGAGTTTACGGCTGCAGTGAGCTATGATTATGCCACTGTACTCCTGCCTGGATGACAGAATGAGACCTCATCTCTTCTTTTTTTTCCCCCCAAGACAGAGTCTCGCTCTGTTGCCCAGGCTGGAGTGCAGTGGCACGATCTCGGCTCACTGCAACCTCTGCCTCCTGGGTTCAACTGATTCTCCTGCCTCAGCTTCCCAAGCAGCTGGGATTACATGCACCTGCCACCACGCCCAGCTGTTTTTTCTATTTTTAGTAGAGACAGGGTTTCCCCATGTTGGCCAGGCTGGTCTCGAACTCCTGACCTCATGATCCACCCACCCTGGCTCCCCAAAGTGCTGAGATTACAGGTGTGAGCCACTGCTCCCGGCCTTCTTTTTTTTTCCCAAGACAGAGACTCGCTCTGTCGCTCAGGCTGGAGTCAATCTTGCAATCTTGACTTACTGCAACCTCCACCTCCTGAGTTCAAGCGATTCTCATGCCTTAGCCTCCCGAGTAGCTGAGACTTCAGGCATGCACCACCACACCCAGCTAATTCTTTGTATTTTTAGTAGAGGCGAGGTTTCACCATGTTGGCCAGGCTGGTCTCAAACTCCTGACCTCAAGTGATCCTCCCACCCCAGCATCCCAAAGTGCTGGGATTACAGGTGGGAGCCACTGTGCCTGGCTGAGACCCCATCTCCTAAGAAATAAAAAAGAAGAAGAAAGAAAAAATATTGATCTAATCTTACCCCACCTCATTGTACAGCTGGGAAGCTGAGGTGCAGAGATGCCAGGGACTTGCCCAGGCCACAAAGTGAGTCAGACGCTGTGCAGACCGTGCTGTCAGGACCATCCATCTGAACCACCACAGGGCCCAGTATGGCTGCTCAGCAGGGACAGTGATAGGATTCAGCAAGGCCACGCCACAACCTGGCCTGAGACCCTAGGCCCTGACTCCTGTCAGGACCAGGTTCACCTGGAACTCCACAGCCTGGGGTGGCATAGCCCAGCTAGAAGCCACCTCCTTCCACCAAGAGCTGATCACAAACCTGGGCCATGTAGTGAGACTGCCCCCGTCTCTGCAAAAAAATTAAAAATTAGTCAGGCGTGGTGGCGCGTACCTATTGTCCCAGCTACTCAAGAGGATGAGGCAGGAGGAGTGCTTGAGGCCGGCAGGTGGAGGCTGCAGTGAGCTATGATTGCGCCACTGTGCTCCAGCCTGGGCAACCGGGTGAGACACTGTTTCCCAAAAAAAAAGAGCCAGTTACAAGGGTCAGGCCTGGCACTGAACATACAGATCTGGAGGCGACCTGGTTTGCTCTCAGGTCAAAGGCAGAGACAGGCCGGGCGCGGTGGCTCACGCCTGTAATCCCAACGCTTTGGGAGGCTGAGGCAGGGAGGTGGGTGGATCACCTGAGGTCAGGAGTTCGAGACCAGCCTGGCCAACATGGTGAAGCCCCGTCTCTACTAAAATCCAAAAAAAAAAGATTAGCCGGGGTTGGTAGTGGGCGCCTGTAATCTCAGCCACTCAGGAGGCTGAGGCAGGAGAATCAGTTGAACCCAGGAAGTGGAGGTTGCAATGAGCCGAGATCATGCTACTCTACTCCAGCCTGGGGAACAAAGCCAGGCTCTGTCTCAAAAAAAAAAAAAAAAAAAAAAGAGCAAACAAAAAACAAAAAACATGGCAGAGACACAGAAGGCCACATAAATGCCTCAGGAAGATTTGGGACAGATGCCCAGAGGGTGGGCACTGTCACCCACATCCACCACTCCCTCCAATATGGCCATCTCTCATGGTGACTCAAGGATGGCCACAGCCCATGGACCAGTCTGAGACAGAGGGTGGGGCAGCATCTGACTTCTTTTTCATGTTGAATATCCCACAAAAATCCCTCTGACTCATAGCCTGGGCTCCTCCTGCCTCCAGGGTCTTCTCTTTCCCAGGGTCTCTATGCCACATCACAGACACCTAGTTTCTGACTTTTCTCCACCAATTGAAGAGACATTTGCCCCGTGGACCGAGCCTGCCCTTACTCTGTGTCATTAAGACCCTTCTGGTGGGCTGAGTGCAGTGGCTCACGCCTGTAATCCCAGCACTTTGGGAGGCTGAAGCAGGAGAATTCTTTGAGCCCAGGAGTTCAAGACCAGACTGGGCAACATAGACTCCGTCTCTACAAAAAATTAGCCAGGCAGGGTGGTGTGCACCTGTAGTCCCAGCTACTCAGGAGGCTGAGGCAGGAGGATCGCTTGAGCTTGGGAGATGGAGGCTGCAGTGAGCCAAGACCACACCACTGCACCCCAGCATGGGTGACAGAGTGAGACCGTGTCTCAAAAAAGACAAAAAAAGCCCTTCTTTATCGGGCTGGGCGAGGTTTCCATGCAGTAACCCATCCAATCAGGATGTGCTGCTCAAAGTCTTACATCTTCACCTCAAGGAAATTCAGCAACCGCAAAACACCTGCTGACTCCTGCCGAGATCCCGCCACTGCACTACAGCCTGGGTGACAGAGCTAGACTCCGTCTCCAAAAAAAAGCATTCTTTTTTTTTTTTTTTAAAGAAATGATCAATTAAAAAACCTTTAATGCTCAGTTTTCACAAACACAATCAAGTCTATCAAATTTCCGGATTTACAGCAAAATGTGCCAGCTAAAAAGGTGTACATTCTTCAGTTTCTCCTATACTTTTTTTTTTTTTTGTGCCTATCTTTCAAAACTGAGCACTGGGTATTTTTAACATAAGCCATGTCATATGTACATTTTAACTATGTTTCAGGAATAAATGAAATCCATGATATGAATTTTCAGTAACTCATAGTGTATTTATAAAATGAAAAGTTCTCTATCAAAATACACTTTTCACTGGGAAAAATAAATAAAATAGACAAATGGACCTACACAAAGTAAACATTAACTTTGGTAGATTTCAGTGTAGTTCATAACAAGGATATTTGCCCTTATTCCCCCAGAGCTGCTCAACTACCAAGAATTTTTTAAATATTTTTAACTGAGATTTTATTATGTTAACATTTGTTTCTCATTCCACATCATCTTCAGCCAAGCTCTGAGCACTTAGAATTCTCTAATTGTTGGGAGCTTAGTCAAAAGCATCTGGAACACTAGTGGTGGAAGAGTTTGCTGTAAGGCCTGCAGTAACTGCTGTGGCTGTCCACACACAGCAATTCCGTTTGTCAGATGGTCTACGCCCTTCTCATATTCACCTTGAGCTAGTAACTCTTCACCAAGCTGTATTTCTTCAAGGAAGAACTTCTGAACAGCTTCAGCATCTTTAAGGTCAGGTAACTTGGAAAGCCCAGCTCTCTCCTTGGCAAGCTTCTGTTTCTTTCTTCCATCTCAAAGCCTGTTCTTGAAGTTGGGGTCACTTCGTCTTTTGTGGTCGAAGTAGATGCAGTACCCAATAAAAAGGGCCCCAGCGCTCATTCTTTAATTAAACTTCATTTAGCTGCCATCTGTCTCGGTTCGAAATGGCATTATTAACTTATATATAATTTGCCTTATTCATTGGTTGAAAAAGCCCTGCCAAGTGAAGGACTCTTCTACCCAGGACCGTGGGGAGTGATGCCCAACACATGTCATCTGTTTCTGTAGGATAAACACAATCTCTGATCAAGTGCGGGGAGGCGGAGTGTCTGTACGGCCTGGTCCTTGTGCTCCCTGATGCAAAGTGAGCTTCCTCAGCCGTGCTGCCTTCTCACACAGAAGCATTCACCTGTCATGGGCCTGAGTGACCTATCACATCCCCAAAACCACCACCTTCCTAGTCCTTCTCCACAACGCCAAGAACTCACTTACTCACCAGATTGGTGAAATAGTAGCCATCCTCTCCAGTCATCAGTCGGCTTGGATTGCAGAAGCACGTGATATACTGGATATTAGACTGAAGGCATGGGGGTTGCCCTTCAAAACAATGTAGATGAGGGTGGGGAGGAAGTCATCTGCTGACGCCAGCTCGTTCTAGGTGATCTTGATGGCATCGAAGATGTGCTTGCTGCACTTGGTGATGCAGGCCAGCTTGTCTCGAGGCACACGCCTGGAATCCATTTCAATATCTACAAAGCAGAAAAGACAGTATTTCCCATGAGAAAAGAATCACAAAAAAGAAGCAATAGGAAAATCATGTTTCATCTCTAAAGTTATGAAGGAATCCTCACTAACCCCCTTTCCAGCAGTTAACTTAGTGTATAATAACTTAGTAAATATGATCTCATACTCACGGAAAACAGACCCATAAGCCAAGTACTACACAGTGTACCCTACAAGCACATTTCTCTAATCCTAAGATTATGCAATAGATACTCTTATTTTTTCTTTTTTTCTTTTCTTTTTTTTTTTTTGAGATGGAGTTTCGTTGTTTTTGCCCAGGCTGGAGTGCAATGGTGCAATCTTGGCTCACCGCAACCTCCACCCACCAGGTTCAAGTGATTCTCCTGCCTCAGTCTCCCGAGTAGCTAGGATTACAGGCATGTGCCACCATGCCCAGCTAATTTTGTATTTTTAGTAGAGTTGGGGTTTCTCCATGTTGGGCCAGCTGGTCTCAAACTCCCGACCTCAGGTGATCCGCCTGCCTCAGGCAGCCTCCCAAAGTGTTGGGATTACAGGCGTGAGCCACCACGCCCAGCCACAATGGATACTCTTATTAATATTATCCATTTTAGTGATGAGGGGGCTGAAGTTCAGAGAAGTTAAATGATTTGCCCAAGATCATACAGACAGCAGGTAGCAGGGTGGGAATTTGAAACCATGTCTATCTGACTGTAAAGCCCACAGTCTTTTTTTTTTTTTTTTTTTTGGAGATGGAGTTTCACTCTTTGTTGTTCAGGCTGGAGTGCAGTGGCCTGATCTCTGCTCACTGCAACTTCTGCCTCCTAGGTTCAAGCGATTCTCCTGCCTCAGCCTTTCAAGTAGCTGAGATTACAGGCGCCTACCACCACGCCCAGTTAATTTTTGTATTTTTAGTACAGACAGTGTTTCACCATGTTGGCCAGGCTGGTCTTGAACTCTTGACCTCAGGTGATCTGCCCGCCTTGGCCTCCCAAAGTGCTGGGATTACAGGTGTAAGCCACTACGCCTGGCCAAGCCCACATTTCTAATCACAACGTAAGCTGCCTCTGAGCTCCACGGAGAAGGAAGAAGTTGTCTGATAAAAGAATCTTTTTATTGCTTCTGTGCCTCTGTTACATTTTAGAATGTTTTCGACAATCTCAATTTGCATACCGCTTTTTAGAAATGTGGCTACTACAAAAAGCATCTTTGTACTGGATGCGAGAATACAAAAATTAGCCCACGTAGGGGTGCGTGGCTGTAGTCCCAACTACTCGAAAAGCTGAGGCAGAAAAATGGCTTGAGCCCGAGAGGTTGAGACTGCTGTGGGCTGGGCTGGCCCCGCCGTGGGGCCGCACGGGGACGGACGCGGGTGGACGCTGGGACCGAGCCCGGGCGCCCATGGCTGGGGCTGCCATGGCTGAGCGGGGCCACGTGCCTCCCCCTCGCGCCCGCGCCCGCGCCCAGCACGGAGGGGCTGCCGTGCGCCTTCCTGCAGAGCCTGCGCACCCTGTTGGACATCCTGGACGACCCGCGGGGCGGCTGCGTGCACCTGCGCCAGAGCCAGTCCCGCTGGCGGGGGGCCGACACGCGGGAGCTGCCCCGTGGGATGCTGGAGGGCCTGCGCCAGGTGGCCTCGGCCAGTGGCTGCCTGACCTTCGAGCGCTTTGTGGCCGACCTGCCCACCTAGCTGCTGAGCGCCATCGGCTGCCCCCGGGACCCCACGTGCGCCCCGGCCCAGCCTGGGGACCAGCCGCTGCAGCGCCTGGCGTTTACGCTGGCCAACGAGCCACAGACAGTCCTGGAGAAGCCCCCGCCCAGGTTCAGGCGGCGCGGCGCGGCCCGCAGCCCGGAGCAGCTGTACACCCCCCGCCGAGGCGGCGTCCTGCCCGCGGAGCCAGAGCGGACCCAGAGCGCAAGCGCGGACGCAGGTTCATTGGCCTGCAGGGCCCTGGAGGTGGACTCGGGATGTCCGACTGGCCCCCCGTGCCCGAAGGGAAGTCGGAGGCTCACCATCACCAGCGGCGTGGACTGCGGCCTGCTGAAGCAGATGAAGGAGCTGGAGCAGGAGAAGGTGGTGCTGCTGCAGGGTTTGGAGATGATGGCGGGGTCGCGACTGGTACCAGCAGCGGCTGCAACCAGTGCAGGACCGCCAGTGCCGCCTGGGCCAGAGCAGAGCCAGCGCCGACTTTGGGCCTGCGGGGAGCCCCCACCCACTGGGGCGGCTACTGCCTAAGGTACAGGAGGTGGCCCGGTGCGTGGGGGAGTTGCTGGCTGCGGCCGGTGCCAGCCGGGCCCTACCTACGTCCTCCTCCGGGCCCCTCTGCCCTGCCCTGACGTTCACCTCCTTCCCGGGGTGGCAGCAGCAGACTATCCTTATGCTGAAGGAGCAGAACCGACGCCTCACCCAGGAGGTGACCGAGAAGAGTGGGCGCGTCATGCAGCTGGAGCAGAAGTCGGCGCTCATAATGAAGCAGCTGTTTGAGGCCCAGGCCCTCAGCCAGCAGGACGGGGAGGCCTCTGGACTCCACCTTCATCTAGCCCGTTTGGGCTGGGCGGAACCCCAGGGCAGTTCTGTCACTCAGCCCTTCGAGGGCGGACGCCCTGTCTCACCCAACGTCTCTGGCTGGAGACCCCCTGCAGCCCAGGCAGTCCCGGAGTGGGCGCCTTCCTGCCCCACTTGCCATCCAGGCTTCCCAGGTCCGCCCCCAGCTGGTCCCCGCACCGAGCCCTTGACTCGGTTTTGGCTCCTGGTGCTGACATGGGCTGGGGCTCTCTTGAGTCTGCATGGTCCGCAATTGCTACTGCCGCTGTCAGGAACAGTGGGGGACTCCCTGTTTCCAGCGGTGCTGCTCTGGGTCCCATCTCCAGGGAAAGGCAATGCTCACGCCGGGCTGCACTTCCGACAATGGCCAGTAGAGGGGGGCCGGGCAGCTCTGATGCGGCGCTGAGGCTGCGCCCGAGACCAGGGGTGCAAGGACAGCTTCCTCCCCTCAACCAGGGCACCAGGACAGGTGGCTGTCACTAGGACAGGGGCAGATGGAGGGGGTGGGGATGGCCTCTAAGCAGGGGGTGCCCGCCTGGCAGGGGAGCCCCAGGAATGGTGGTCGGACTTCGGGTCCCGGCCAAGGCAGAGAGAATGGCTGCAGCAGATTGCGGGGTGGGGGGGGCCAGGCAGGTGAGAGCTTAGCCTGCATATGCCTCCCGCAGACCCCGGTGTGATGGCCTTCCTCACCCTGGCCAGGACGCTGTCCCCTGTTGAGTCCCACAGAACAACCTGTGAGCCTGGCTCCCCAGGAGGGGGTTCAGCCCAGGCCCCCAGGCACATCGTAGGCAGAGCCTGCCCCCCCACCCCAACTCAGGATTCCCAAGGTCTGGGGTCCTGCTCACTCCCCACCCCCGTTTCCTCCCACACTCAGCCTGACCCCAGGTTTCAGCGGGGAGAGGCCACTTCCCTCAGCCAAGGAAAACGAGAACCCCCAGAGTACAAGAGGAGGCTGGGGCAGGTCCCCTTGAGTGTCACTCCCTGCACCCCCTGCCTAGGCCCACTCCCGCTGGTGCTGGGGTTTGCACTGGTGGAGGGGGCCCCTGCTCAGCCCATCCTGGAGGGTCCCAGTGCCACCAGAGCTAGGGGCATGGCAACATCAAGGATGGTCCAGGGCCCCCCGATGCAGGATCAGTGTGTGGGGTGCAGGGCCCCCCAATGCGGGGTCAGTGTGTGGGGGGCGCAGGGACCCCTCGTGCCCAGGGCACTTTGGGGCACTGTCCCACAAGGCAACCCTGTCTCAGAGGAGGGGTCCTGGCAGACAGCACGGCAACTCCTTTCCAGAACCCAGCTCCACGCTAACCTGCCCACAGCAACCCCTCAGAGCCACATCCCCTGCTGCATCTGGCCTGCAGGGGTGTCCCAGGACACGCCCAAACCAGCCCAGCGTGCAACTGCCCTCCTACCCTGAGGATGGGAGTGAGCTTTCCAGGGGACATAAGGACGCCAGGCCTGGATCTTCTGGGCAGGAAAGGGAGTGGGTCCTGAAGGACTGTGCCCCACAGCCCTAGCACCACAGCCCCAGCACCAGGTGGACTGCAGCGCAGTGGGTTGGCCAGCGGCAGCCCGGGAGAAGCCGCCACCCCCGTCAGCAGGCTGGAGACAGCCCATTAGGGCCTCAATCACGTCTACCTTTGAGGGTGCCTGCCATGCCCTGGGAGATCCTGGCATCTTTACAGGACTGGAAGCAGGAGACAGAAGAGTGTCTGCCCCGGGCTGGCAGACGGTTTGAATGGTGAGTAAGACAGGGTTTTATTGAGTGAAAAGGAAGAAAAGGGGGAAAGAAGGACTCTCACAAGGCCAGAGTCTCTGCTACAGTGCTTCCTGCCAGCAGCTAGAATCCCAGGTTCTACACAGAAAGAAGAGGGGCCAGGCTCCTCCCTGCTACAAAAGACTGCGCCACTTCCCGAAGCTCCACCCCAGTGCACAGGCCGGTTGGAGTTTTTCCGGGGGGCTCCACCCCAGTGTACAGGCCGGTTGGGGTTTTTCCCAGGACCCCTTCCCACCTAGCAGTCTCACCATGACCAGCTCATTCTTTTTGCTATATCTACATATTCTTAAATAGATTTAATGCATGTTTTGATAATTTACATGTTTTGTGGACATTTCTATTTATCTAACCCACTGAATCCTTTTTGGTAGCTTTGTAACATTCCATTATATTAACTGACTTATTTGACTCTCTACCACTGTGCATTTGGGTTGCTTCCCCTCTTTTCACTGTTGTGCACTGCAGCTATAAATAATTTTGTAAGGACTATCTTCTTTTGGGTTACTTCTCTGCGATACATTTCCAAAAGTGGTATTAACCGCTTAATAAGAATAAATAGGTCGGGCGCGGTGGCTCGCAACTGTAATCCCAGCACTTTGGGAGGCTGAGGCGGGTGGATCATGAGGTCAGGAGATCGAGACCATCCTGGCTAACACAGTGAAACCCCGTCTCTACTAAAAACACAAAAAATTAGCCAGGCGTGGTGGCGGGCGCCTGTAGTCCCAGCTACTCCGGAGGCTGAGGCAGGAGAATGGTGTGAACCTGGGAGGTGGAGCTTGCGGTGTGCCGAGATCGCACCACTGCATTCCAGCCTGGGTGACAGAGCGAGACTCTATCTCAAAAAACAAAAAAAAACAAAAAACAAAAAAGAATCAATGTTATAGCACTAAGTGTCTATTGCTAGCCACACTCCTCAGAAACTCGGTGCACACTGTCATTAACCACGTGTACGCGCTTATTTCCCTATGGCCCTTACAACATTGGGCTTGATAATTTTCATTTCGTTTTACTGATTTTATAGGTGTAATATATGTATTTATTCCTCACTTTCTGCCAAAGAATATTTAAAGTCTATTTAAAAGATAAATGCAATTCAGCATAACAGACTAGAAAATAAAAAGAATAACAACTGTAATACCAATGCTCTGGGAGGATGAGGGAGAATATCGATTGAGCCTAGGAACTCGAGACCAGCCTGGGCAACATAGTGAGACCCCATCTCTAGTAAATATAGATAGATAGGCATTAAACAATTTTTTAAAAATTATAAACAATAGGCCAGGCACGGTGGCTCACCCTGTAATCCCAGCACTTTGGGAGGCTGAGGCAGGCAGATCACCTGAGGTCAGGAGTTCGTAGACCAGCCTGGCCAACATGGTGAAACTCTGTCTCTACTAAAAATACAAAAATTAGCCAGGCATGGTGGCACGTACCTGTAATCCCAGCTATTGGGAGGCTGAGGCAGGAGAATCACTTGAACCCAATAGGTGGAGGTTGCAGTGAGCCGAGATCGCGCCATTGCACTCCAGCCTGGGGGACAAGAGAGAGACTTTGTCTCAAAAAATAATAATAATTTAATAAGTAAACAAAAACAAACAAACAAAAGAAACATGGAGAAACCCCACAGGCAGAGCCACAGATGACAAGACAGAAATGTTTTCCTGGAAGATGTCTAAATTAGTCAAGAGTCAGCCCATACATCTATCTGTCTCTAACTAAACTTTTTAGCAATCATCACTAAGATGAAAACAGTTACATAACTCAGGGTTCAAAAGATGAAAGCAAACCAATCCTTCAGGTGAAATTCTGACACCAAAATCAAAAATTTCTCCCAAGGGTTCTCATAAGGATGTCACGATAGAAGAGCATGAATAAGGCTGAGAACAAACCCCCAGGACTGGTTGTCACAGACCCCATCTACCACAGGCCAATGACATCACACGCCAAGGGCCAATACATCCTGTGGAAGCCTGCAGCAGCCTAACTGTCTGGCTTAACTCTAAAAGGATGGCAGGACACTCGGGGTCAGGGGCAGTCACCTCATTCCCTCAGTGAAAATGGCTAAGCACTCATGGCACTTTTTGATTACCTTGACTGCAGCCCTTGTTACTATCAACTAGTTACCCATATACGTGCCATTTATTTGAACTAAAATTGATCCCTCATCTATAAAGGCCTAGGTATGCTGGGTGGGGTGGCTCATGCCTATAATCCCAGCACTTTGGGAGGCCAAGGCAGGTGGATCACAAGGTCAGGAGACTGAGACCATCTGGGCTAATACAGTGAAACCCCGTCTCTACAACAAAATACAAAAAATTAGCCGGGCGTGGTGGCACCACCTGTAGTCCAAGCTACTTGGGAGGGTGAGGCAGGAGAATCACTTGAACCCGGGAGGCAGAGGTTGCAGTGAGCCGAGATTGCACCAGCCTGGGCAACAGAGTGAGACTCTATCTCAAAAAAAAAAAAAAAAAAAAGCCTAGGTACTACCTTTAATAAAGTTTAGATATTTCACTATATTAAGCCCTTATTTATATTCATGACTTCCCACTGTTGCCTTCTACTTTATCTGAGTTTTATTTTTTATCGCACAGACTTTTAAAAAGTTAATACAATTAAGCCTTTTACCCGGTCATTAAAAACAATTCTTTTGGCCGGGTGCAGTGGCTCACGCCTGTAACCCCAGCACTTTGGGAGGCTGAGGCAGATGGATCACCTGAGGTCAGGAGTTTCAGACCAGCCTGGCCAATAGGGTGAAACCCCATCTCTAATAAAAGTACAAAAATTAGCTGGGCGTGGTGGTGTGCACCTGTAGTCCTGGCTACTTGGGAGGCTGAGGCAGGAGAATTGCTTGAATCCGGGAGGCAGAGGTTACAGTGAGCCGAGATGGTGCCACTGCACTCCAGCCTGGACAACAGAGTGAGACTTCATCTCAAACAAAACAAAACAGAAACAAAAACCAACTTTTCAATTTTCTTTAAAAAAAAAAAATAATAAGACAAGGTCTCACTGTGTTGCCCAGGCTGGTGTCAAACTCCTGGGCTCAAGTGATCCTTCTGCCCTGACTTCCCAAAGTGCTGGAATTACAGGTGTCAGCCACTGTACCAGAGCAAAACAATTTTTCGATAGTTCAATTTTAGCTCCTCTCCACTGCTGAAATACATGTTCTAATCTACTCCCCAACCCCCACACACAGTCTTGCTCTCTCACACAGGCTGGAGCGCAGTGAGTGATCTCACTGCAACCTCTGCCTCCCAGGTTCAAGCGATTATCCTGCCTCAGCCTCCCAAGTAGCTGGGATTACAGGCATGAACCACTACACCCAGCTAATTTTTGGTTTATTTTGTTTGTTTGTTTGTTTTTTTGAGACAGTCTCGTTCTGTCGCCAAGGCTGGAGTGCAATGGTGGGATCTCGGCTAACTGCAATCTCCGCCTCCCGGTTCAAGTGATTCTCCTGCCTCAGTCTCCTGAGTAGCTAGGATTACAGGCACCTGCCACCACGCCCGGCTAATTTTTGTATTTTTAGTAGAGACGGGGTTTCACCATGCTGGCCAGGCTGGTCTTGAACTCCTGGCCTCAAGTAATCCGGCTGTCTTGGCCTCCCAAAGCTCTGGGAGTAAAGGCATATATCCTAACTATATACCCAGCCTATATCCTAACTACTTTCTTCTCAATTTTTTCATGTTTAGCTCTTTGATTTGGCTGGAATGTAAGGTGCATGGTACGAAACACAGAACTAAAATAAACTCTATACAGGTATCTGTCATCATCAGCAGTAGTTAGTAAAGTGCGATCTTGTTCCCCCTCATCCTCCCAGTTGTCATATAAATTGCTCCTCAGAAATTAAATCTATTTCTGAAATCTCTGGTTTATTTCACTGTTCTATATTTTCATTTTTTACCCAAATCTCATCTAGGTGTGATGACTTTCATTTTAGAATATATTTAAAAGTCTGCTGAATTTAGAAGCCTCCCTGCTTCACAAATTCTTGCTTTTTACCCCTCACAAAAAGAATCATATGGTATGTTTGTTTCCTTGTTTTCATAGAATAACGTAACATTATAACTTAAATGATATTTTAAGTGTTTATACTGACCTGCAAAGTATTTTTCATATTTTTCTTTTCTTTTTTTTGAGACACAGTCTCGCTCTGTCACCCCGGCTGGAGTGCAGTGGCATGATCTCAGCTCACTGAAACCTCTGCCTCCCAGGTTCAAGCGATTCTCCTGCCTCAGCCTCCTGAGTAGCTGGGACTACAGGTGTCCTCCACCATGCCTGGCTAATTTTTGTATTTTTAGTAGACACAGGGTTTCATCATGTTGGCCAGGTTGGTCTTGAACTCCTGACCCCAAATGATCCACCCGCTTCAGCCTCCCAAAGAGCCAGGATCACAGGTGTGAGGCACCACGCCCCACCACCATCAAACTGTCTTTTAATTCTTTAGATGAACTTCTAATTTGCTACATTAAATTCTCAATATTTAACATTCTTTATTGCTGTTGTCTTTAAAAATTACTATTTTTAAAAAACATGCTAGGCTGTTTAATTTTCTTATCACTAGTATGTACACTGTAAGTAAATTTTTTAGACTTATCTTGCCATGTTGCTATATTTGTACTTTTATTACTGTTCTGTTTTCCCTTGGATTTTCCTAAGATTCTTTCTTTCCTGGATTTCCTAAAAATTACATTTGCATTCCTTCTAAAAGCACTCATTACTCATTACATGATTAGTAGAACTCAAGCCACTGTACCAATTCTATAAAAAGGTCAAGAAAATGCTCAGATGGCTTTCAATTTAAGTGAGAAGACTGAATACAATCATTATAATATTCTATAATTACAAACAAGAAGGACAAAGTACTGTGGGGCATACCGTCAGTCTCACTTTTTCTTACTGGAGCTGTCTCCTTCTCTAGATAGGTACTGTGGCAGCAGCAGTTAAGTGTGCTTATTTTATACTAACGCCTGTTGTGAGATGGTGGTGACCAGATCTTTCTAGCGATGCTCGCGAGAAAGATTGTTACCTTCCTGCTCTGCGGTGTGAACCCAAGTAGATCCAGAACTACTCTATGAGAAAAGTCCTGATGTTACCCACCCTACCACTACAGTTGACTGTGAAAGCAGGATGAGCCTCGATCTGAGCATGCTCTGTACGTCAAATGCACAGGTTTTCATTACCACCACCCCACATCTCTATTTCCAGTTCTCCAAAGAGACTTCCATCTACCCCTCATCTATGAATTGATGAAATACATTTACCTTATAAATTCTCTAAGTTTCATTTCTGACAAATACATCCATGGACTACACTTTAGATCTGCTGGAGATATTTTTTCAGAGAACTAGTTTTAGTTTTATGCCTGGGATTTTTTTGTATTTTTAGACAAGAGTCTTGCTATGTTGACTAGGCTGGAGTGCAGTGGTGCCATCTCGGCTCACTGCAACTTCGCTTCCCAGGTTCATGTGCCTCAGCCTCCCTTGTAGCTGGGATTATAAGTGAGTACCATTGCACCAGCTAATTTTTGTATTCTTAGTAGACACGGGGTTTTGCCATGTTGAACAGGCTGGTCTCAAACTCCTGGCCTCAAGTGATCCTCCTGCCTTGGCCTCCCAAAGTGCTGGGATTATAGGCATGAGCCACCACGCCCAGCCTATGCCTGGACTTCTATGTAGGTAATCACAGTAGTAGCTACATGAAGAACATGTCCATAAGAACATGTTTATCAACTCCAAGTACCATCAAATTATGACCCTGTTCTCTCACTCTTATTTTAAATTCATTCTGTAAACCTCAAATCCTTTCAATAAGTAGAATGGGTCTGTATAACAAAAGGACTACCATTATGGAGTGTGACATTTTTTCTCTCTCTCTTTTTTTTTTTTTGAGACAGAGTTTCGCTCTTCTTGCCCAGGCTACTAGAGTGCAATGGTGCGATCTTGGCTACTGCAATCGCCACCTCCTGGGTTCAAGCAATTCCCCTGCCTCGGCCTCCTGAGTAGCTGGGATTACAGGTGCCTGCCGCCACGCCTGGCTAATTTCTGTATTTTTAGTAGAGATGGGGTTTTACCATGTTGGCCAGGCTGGTCTTCAACTCCTGACCTCAGGTGATCTGCCTGCCTCGGCCTCCCAAAGTGCTGGGATGACAGGTGTGAGCCATCACGCCCGGCCAAGATGAGCTTTTTTTTTTTTTTACTATTAAGACCTCAAGTCTAACTTTAACATGGGTGACAGCATTTTAACTGATATTTGAATTTTCTTTTATGGTGCTATAATTTAACTTGTTATTGTTTAATTTATTTATTTTTCTTTAGAAGTGGCATTTCACTACATTGCCTAGGAGGGAATGTAGTAGCTGTTCACAGACGTAACTGTAGCTCACTGCAGCCTCACATTCCTAGGCTCAAGCAATCCTCCTGCCTCAGCCGCCTCCTGGGTAGTGGGGACTACAAGTATACACTGCAGTGCCCAAATCTGTCCTTTTAGTTCATGTATTTTCTGCAAAACTTATGCATTCATTCAGTATTCTTAGGTAGTTTACAGATGGTTTTACACCTTTCTTTTGCACCGAATTTTAGCACTTAACTTAGAAGAAACTATATTCATTATTGTGATTATTATTACAGGTTTGAGCATTCCTAACTCAAAAATAAAAAATCTGAAATGCTCAAAAATCCCAAATTTGTCAGTGTCGATATGACACCACAAGTAGGAAATTCCACACCTGGCCTCATGTGATGCGCTGTAGTCAAAAAGCAGCCAAAACTGTTTCATGCACAAAACTGCTTAAAATGTGGTATAAAATTACCTTCAGGCTATGTATGTAAGGTATATATACAACAAATGAATTCTGTGTTTGGACTTGGGTCCCAGTCCCAAGTTATCTTATATATGTGTAAATATTCCAAAATCTGGGAAAACCCCAAAATCTGAAACACTTCTGGTCCCAAGGCTCTCGGATAAGGGATACTCAACCTGTAGTGCTCGCTTCCAACTAGAAACCCTCTGAGCTCCTTTTAGAGACCCGAGAGGCCTGTCTTACTGGTGTCAAGGGATCATGTTCTCCTCCCCGAGCCCCGCACAACCCCTGTAATTTTACAATACAATGCCGAAAACTCCTTTTCTATTCCTACTGCAGTTTATGCTCCAGTACAGTATTGCTCTCATAATGTAAAAGAACTCCCCTGCCACTCTCTCATCCTGCTTTCCATTCTTATAGGACTTACCACTATGTAACAGATCTCTTTATTGTCCATTTCCCCAACTAAAATGTTAGCTCCACGAGGGCACTGTTCACCACCATATCCTCATGCCTAGAACAGGGCCAGGGACATGGTTAGTGCTCAGTATGGGTTGACTGAATGAATGTGGACATTTATTACCATTCCTCCCTTTATAAGATGCTGAAGACAATTCTCCATAGATTTCTTTCTACCTATCTGTGAGCAGAGGCAATGACTGCCTTTGTTTTGCAACATCTTTTCAAGGATATCTGTATAACAAACAGCTTTGGGAGACAGAGTGCCTCCTTCAAGAGAAAATGGTAGACTGCTTACTGTCCAATAAGGATCCCTAAGTCCAAGGTTCTTCTCCTCTAATACAACTCACTGCATGCACAGGCTTTCCCTGGTCTTCTCTGCATTATCCCATAGGAACAGATACTCAGGGGATAAGCACAAATGCAAATGCACTGGCTACTGCTACTGCTGTAAGAAACTGGCCTTTGTGTCTGACCCAGGAGACTCGTGTCTTTGACCAGTATCTGTGAAACCGTGGGAGGTTAGGGTTAATTTGTTAGCCTGCAAATAAGGTAACTCTCAGGCCCCCCCTCAGTGTTTGCCAAAGGAGCAAAGTGAGAGCAGGTTTGTGTTGGTAAGTTCTTTTAGGCTCTACAAAACTCCAAAAGGTTTGTCATAGTTTTCCAAGAAAAAAGGATAGTAGAGCAGTGAAAGTAAACCCTTTTCCTCAAGTACTCTCTAATCATTGTATGGGATCATCTTTTCTATAACATCTGAGGTAAATCTGTCATTTTATTTTTCTAAAATAAATTTTTTACTTTGTGATTACAACATTGAAAGTTGGGTGTCTTTCTTTGACTATTATGCTGAGAGGCACTCCGTACACTTTCTTAACGGTCTGGCTGAGATCTTTGTTTTCACCTCCAGTTTTGAAAACCTTTGACTATTTTCCTTAACTATGTTTTCTGTGTATTTCATCTGGAACTCCTGTCATTTCAATGTGAATCACCACAATCGATTTTCTGGGTTCATTAAGTTTTGTCTGTACTGATGTTAACTGCTTCATCTATTTAGGTTTTAGTTTTGATGTCCTTTTTTTTTTTTTTTTTTTTTACCAATTTGTGCTGCCTTAAGTAGTTTTTTAAAGGAAAATAAACATATGAGGGCTTTAATCCTCTTGAAAAATGAAACGCTAACATTTCAAGTGTGCCAGGCATGCAGTCCTCATATTCTGAGAAAGTCCATCTCACCAGGGAATATATCTTGAGGTCATCAGTACCTAGCAGAACACAGATTTAAACATTTCCATATTTAGATGAAGAAAACAGGGCAAAACTAACTAATTTTCTCAAATTAAATTACTGGCAAAATAAAGGTGGTGGGAACCGTTAAGGTACATATGCTCATTTTGCATCTCCGAAAACAAACCAACCAAAAACCAGAAATCCGTCATTTTCAGCAGCTAGACAGTGTCTAAGGAACGCACATGTTCTTCACAAAGAGACAATTTGCTTTAAAAAAAAAAAACCCTTTAAAAATATAAATGACAATTAATTCTACTAGCTAGTTACGATCATAGAAGTTACTGAAGTCAACACTTGGTTGTTTTTCTCTAAGTTTTCTAAAAATCAACCTCTGTGAAGAAGAAGGAAATATGGAAAAGGACAACCTCACCCACATTACAGTTTATAGTTCTGGCTAAGGCTCAAATGGCAAGTGCTTGCTCTTCAACTTAAAGTCACCTTGTGTTTGTTTTTTTTGTTTTGTTTTTGTTTTGTTTTGTCTTAATCAAGGTCTCACTCTGTCACCCAGGCTGGAGTACGGTGGCCAGATCACAGCTCACTTCTGCCTCAACTGCTCAGGCTGAAATGATCCTCCAACCTCAGCCTCCAGAGTAGATGGGGCTACAGGCACTAGCCTAGTTAATTTTTTTTTTTTTTTTTAAGAGATGGGGTTTCAAAAAAAAAAAAAAAAAAAAAGAGATGGGGTCTCACTATGTTGCCTGGGCTGGTCTTCAACTCTTGGGATCAAGCAATCCTCCTGCCTCATTTCAGTCTCCAAAATGCTGGGATTACAAGCATGAGCCAGTGGACTCAGCTACACCTTATGTTTTTAATACAGAAACAAAGCTTGTGTTTCAGGTACAGCAAGTAGACCATGATTGTCAAGCCTTCCATTGCCCAGTATCTCTCTCTCTCTTTTTTTTTTTTTTTTTTTTTTTTTTTTTTGAGAAGGAGTCTCACACTCCTCTGGCCAGGTGGGAGTACACTGGTACAATCTCGGCTCGCTTCAACACTGCCTTCCAGGTTCAAGCAATACTCCTGCCTCAGCCTCCCGAGTAGCTGGGATTACAGGAACAGGCCACCATGCCTGGCCAATTTTTGTATTTTCAGTAGAGACAGGTTTTGCTATGTTGGCCAAGCTGGTCTTGAACTCCTGGCCTCAAGTGATCTGCCCGTCTCGGCCTCTGAAAGTGTTGGGATTACAGGCGTGAGCCACTGCACCTGGCCTGTCTCCATGCTTCTTCCACAGCCTGCAGAACGGTGAGCCAAATGAACCTGTTTCCTTTACAAGTGACCCAGCCTCAGGTATTCTTTTGTAGCAATGCAAAGGGATTAAGCCATTGTTTTATGTACCTTACAGGATAGTTACCAAATTCAGGAAAATTTACATTGATACGATACTTTTACTAAATTGAAAATCCATATTCCAATTTTCTCAATTGTTCACAATGCTCCCAGCCTTTGTTTCTCTCGCATGACATTTCTGAAGAACACAGGCCAGGTATCTTGTTGAATGCCATTTAGATTGGGTTAGCCAGTTGTTTCCTCATGACTGGATTCAGGTTGTTAAAACTTTTCGGCTTAGATATTTCATAAATGATGTTGTGTTCTCAAAGTGTCATGTCTGGAGGCACATGACATCTATCCTTGCCTCACACATCCCCATTTTATAGTTACCATTTCTCTATTTATAATTAATAATCTGGCTGGGCATGGTGGCTCACACCTGTAATCCCAGAACTTTGAGGCTGCAGTGGTGGGATCACTTGAGGCCAGCAATTCAAGACCAGCCTGGGCAACATAGTGAGACCCACCTCCAGTCTCCACAAAAAAACGAAAAAAAGAAAAATAAATAAATGATTCATAGGCAGTTAATTTGAGATCACGTTCATAACTTGTTCCCTGGGAAACTCCCTCCCCTCATCCCAGATTTAGCACCCAGATAAAGTTTACTTGAATCAATTTTTACTACTAACATGACAACTTTTTTTTTTTTTTGACATGGAGTCTCGCTCTTGTTGCCCAAGGTGGAGTGCAATGGGATGATCTCAGATCGCCGCAATCTCCGCCTCCTGGGTTCAAGCCATTCTCCTGACTCCGCCTCCCAAGTAGCTGGGATTACGGGCACGCACCTCCACACCTGACTAATTTGGTATTTTTGGTAGAGACGCGATTGTGCCATTTTGGCCAGGCTGGTCTCAAACTCCCGACCTTAGGTGATCTGCCCGCCTCGGCCTCCCAAAGTGCTGGGATTATAGGCCTGAGCCACCGTGCCCGGCCTTATTGTTCTTATTTATTTTGACACTCAAATTTATCCCAGACTTGGCCAGTGGAAACCCCTCCAAGCTGGCTTCTGGATCTTCTGAAATGTCCCCAAAATATTGAAGGGGCCCTTTTTTCCCTGGCCCAGCCCCAGAATCAGTCATTTCTCCAAGAAGCCCCGGTTCACTTTAGTGAATAATAGTATTTAGAATCTAAGGTCTGGGTGGTATTGGTATTTTAACTCTAAAAAAGGAAAGATATGCTTTGGAGGATCACTGTTTTCAGATCCATTTGTGAAAGAGGTACACAAGATTCTACTTGGGATGACAAGATTATAGGAGTTCTGAAAGAAAAGGGCACTTTGGAATGTATAAGCAAGTATCTCAGCTTGGCCAACCACTATGACTTCCTCTATACAGCTCACTCACCCTGACTGTGGAGACTAAAACACTTTAACTAAGTCTTTACAGTCAAGATATTCCATTTACTTTCTCTGACGGCATATCCCACTCTAAAAGAATGTAAAAATATTCTTCAAATTCCTTAGAAGGTTATTTGTATTTTGTCTGCTACCAAGCTGCTATGTATGGCATAAAAGCTTTCCTTTTTACTACTAACAGAAACAAGTAAAATACCAAGAGCAAGGGGATCACGGACTAAAGAAGGCAAAGAATACAGAATCCAAAAAGTCTGTTTCTAATCTAGACCCAATACATTAAAACTGCAGAGGCTAACCTTATCCAAACACAATGGCCAAACAAGTAATCAGTGTGAAATGCAAAATTTACCTGGCTAAGTTATATTAAGTGATCTGTGAAACAAAGACATAATGGAATCTTCTTTTCTAACATAAATTTTTAAATACTTTAAGGTCTTTATCCCCAAAAGCTTTCTACTGACAAAAAGCAACTAAAGAACAAAAAATCAAAAGTACAAATCTACCATTCAAAAAGACGGGGGGTGGGGAGAAACAAGAACAAAGGTAAAAACCATTCTGCATACACATTTTTAAAATAAAAGTCACTCGGCTGTTTCTTTTTTAAATTAATTTTTTTAATGTTGGTGTCTCACTCTGCTGCCCAGGCTGGAATACAGTGGCACAATCACAGCTCACTGCAGCCACTAACTCCTGGGCTCATGTAATCCTCCTACCTTAGTCTTCCAAATAGCTCAGATTATAGGTAGGTAGAAACCACTGCACCCGGCCCCAGAATTGTTTCTTTTCAAAGTACAGACTGCACTAACTTGTAAATCTTCTTTCCATAGTATCATGCACACCGTACAGAGGCTTTTGAGACACAGGTTTTTAAAACCACCAAGGAGAGTCAGTGAATATAAATGACAATTATGTACTTAAGTAACAGAAACGTATTTATATATATATATATATATTTACTATTTATTATATACATTAAATAACCTAGGTTTCTGAAGTATACACATTGAATAAAGGAATACAATGGAAAAATATTGACCCAGGAGTTAGGAGACCTGAGTTCTCATGTGCAAACTCATCGTGCAACCTTGGGTAAATTAGTTAACCTTTATGGACTTTCATATTGTCATCTGCAAAATGAGGCTATTAGAGCTGATAATTTGATAATTTTTTTAATATTTCATCTGTTATCATAAATACTTACCACTTCACTACATATCAGGAAGAAACAGACTTTAAGCTAAATAGGAATGAAGGATCTTAATAATAAATGGCCTTGAGCTCCCTGCAAGATTATTCTATCAGAAGAATAACTTGCATTTTAAAAAAGCTAACACTTACTGGAGATCTACTGTGTGAGTCAGGCACTGTGCTAAGCTCTGTACATGTGTCAACTCATGAAATCCTCATCACATGTCTCTGATAGGTATTACTGTCCCTCAGTGTGGACAAGACTTGGAGTGGTTAGTCCACCCAGGGTCACAAAGCTGGTAAATGACAAAACTAGGACTCAAACCAGGAATGACTGCAAAGTCACCTGACTAACCACCTGGAAATTTCACCTCCTAATAGATAAATCATGAGCTGAATACATTCTTATTTAATCTCTGGCAGGTACTAATTTTTCCCCCTTTTTAGTAGAGACAAAATAGCTACAACTGGCAGCCAACCAAGAAACAACTTCAAATTAATCATGTGAACAAAGATTTATTACTTAAAGCTAATCAATCTTTCTTTTTTCTTTTCTTTTTATTTTATTATTTTTTTTGTTTTTTTTAATTTTGAGACAGGGTCTTGCTCTGTCACCCAGGCTGAGACTACAGGCACATGCCACTGTGCCTGGATAATTTTTTTATTTTTTGTAGAAACGGGGTTTCACCATGTTGCCCTGGCTGGTCTCAAACTCCGGAGCTCAGGTGATCCACCCGTCGTGGCCTCCCAAAGTGCTGAGATTATAGGTGTAAGCCACCACACCTGGTATCCATGTCTTAAAGAGAAGTATGTTTTTGGTTATATGCAATATTTCCTTTTATTTCCTTACAATAAACCAAAAGAAAACAGCAAAAGTCACAAAACCTAGAGGACTGGCAAGGATCTTAAGGGATAAAAACTGTCTTATTATTCATTCCCCTGCCTCCAGGGGAGAAGATCTCATTACAATTACCCCAGGGTAAGAACTGGGGAGCAAGTGAGGGGGCTCCCAGAGAACAGGTTTTCTGACAGCATCAGTGTTGGTTCCCAGTCTCCCTCATTATTTCACATTCACTGCATAACTCAACATAAATTTTCAAAGACCGAGTACCAACATAAATTTTCAGAGACCAAGGCCTAACAACAGAGATTCTTTCTTGCTTCATATTGGGCCACTTCAACTGGGTTGTCTGCTCAATGGTAGAACAACTGTGACTTAAGTGACAATCCTCTTGATGGTTATATGGCATTTTAAGAAGCCGAGTGAATATGATCACCTACATACAAATCCATGCACTGGAAAATAGCTACTATGGCTCACTTTCATCCCTCCAGGAGCCCAATGTGGGCCTTTTCCTATATGTTCTCAATACAATTCCTCATGACACAAGCTGTCTCTCAAATAAGCTCTCAGGCAGAAAATCTCTCAGATGACCTTCAAGGCTAGAAATTGCCATTTCTGACAAGCTATGAACAATGAGGGTATGATACTACAGAACAAACCAGGATCCACAAATAAAAGGCGCAAAAACCAAATCATCCAAAGAGATAGTCATTTGGATGGGGATGAATTTCATAAACAAAACTACCTATTTCAATTCTCTTTATTCCTCCTATAAAGTAAACAAATTTCTCTAAAACACAATATCTTTCAACCAAAGAGAGTATTGGTTTCATATACTGTCTGACCCTCAAACCCAATTTCAGTGTCAAATCTGAGCTGATGTTCTCAAAAAGTTGACAGAAATTACAAAGCTGAGCCTATGAGCATTGGGGATCTCCTCTGTGTCTCACTCAGGCAGAGAAGAAAAAAAAGAGTATCACAACATTACCCTTCTTTGATCCGACCCTGGAAGACGTACTGAAGATTTCTTCACTGTGGTAACCTTGCGGGTCTTCTTGTTGGTTTTCTTTCCTTCAAACTTGGAGAATGTGAGGGATTGGGCCCCTTGGCTGCTCTGACTGCTGGCAAAGGCCTCTTCTTCCTCCCGCTGGAGTCTGCAATTCAAGAGAGGATTAGAATGATCTAGATATTCTCCAAGATTTCTCTATACCTGAAGGTTATTACTCCATTAATTCAGGAGGATCTAAAGATTTTAGACCTAGAGACTAAATATGCCAAATCAGTCTGAGGTCTCACATAGCTACAGGATGGACGGCTCTTCATGCACTACAGATTTCAAATGGGATCCTCTCATGCTCATTCAGCAACTGCTCTAGGTTACATGAAAGAAATCAAGTCTAGTCCTTTTCCCCAACAAGCTCAGTGAAATAAATAAAGTCTAGTCCTTTTCCCTAACAAGCTCAAGGCTGGAACAGACGAAAAGGTAAGTAAACAACTGCTACAGAATGGGACAGCTGCTACATCAGAGAGTAAAAGTTGAGTGCTGTGAGAACACAGGAAAGAACAACGCAATCTGCTGGGGGGAGCTGATAAGGCTTTACAACGGTGATGTTTGGGTGGGGTCTTAAAGGATAAATAGGATCCTTTTTTTTGTTGTTTTTTATTGAGACAGAGTGTCACTCCATCACCCAGGCTGGGGTGCAATAGTACGATTTCAGCTCACTACAACCTCTGCCTCCCGAGTTCAAGCAATTTTCATCCCTCAGCCTTCCAAGTTATTGAGACTATAGGTGCACACCACCACGTCTGAGTAATAAGGCTGACTAGGATTCTAAGTGAAAGGACATTCCAGGAAGAAGGAACTACAAATGTGCAAGCCTGTGGTTTGCTTCACAACAAGCTGAATGTAGCCAGAGCACTGGGCGTGTGATGAACTGTGATGCTGGATACACAGGAAGGCTCCAGAGGGTAGGGAATCTTGATTGCTGAGCCCACTATTCTGGATTTCATCATGTGGTGGGGAAGCAAGAAAGACTGTAAATCCAAGAAGTTATCGTTGTCAGATCGTTGTATGTACTTTAGAAAGATCATGCAGGTAGCTGTGTGAACAACTTGAAGGGTAGAGAAACTAGAGACAGGAACAAGAAGTAAGAGTATATTATAAAGGTTTAAGTAAAAGAAAATAAGCACCTGGAAAATAGGAGTACAAAAGGTAAAATTCAAGACTTTTCTGAGTTGGAAGAAACAGAACTTGGTCAAGTTGTAGGCAGCATAGGAGATGAAAGAGAAATCAAGAATGAAACCAAGGTTTTTTAGCTAACTTGGTAAATAGTGATGCCATTAATTGACTCAGGAGAAGGGTTAGGAGGAAAATGTTCAGAATGCGGAGAATAATAAATAAAAGCAATAAATTTGGGTTTGGATTAGCTGCATGTGAACCATCTGTAATAATTCCCAAACACAGGCGGGGTACAGTAGCTCACGCCTGTAATCCCAGCACACTGGGAGGCCAAGGCAGCCGGATCACTTGAGCTCAGGAATTTGAGACCAGCCTGGGAAACATGGTGAAACCCTGTCTCTACATAAAATACAAAAATTAGCTGGGCGTGGTAGCATGCTCATGTAGTCCTAGCTACTTGGGAGGCTGAAGCAGAGGGATCACTTGAGCCCAGGAAGCAGAGGTTGCAGTGAGTCCAGACTGTACCATGTACCACTGCACTCCAGCAGGGATGACAGAACAAGACCCTGTCTCAAAAAAACAAAAAACAAACAAAAAACTCAAGCACTATCTATAAGACAGTGGTTCTCCAAGTGTGATTCCCCAGACAGCAATAGCAGCAACACCAGGCAACTTGTTAGAAATGCAAATTCTCTAGTCTTACTCCCAAACTACTAAAATCAGAGATTCTGAGGGTAAAGTCCAACAATCACTGCTTTTACAAGCTTTCCGAGAGATTTAGCAGGGTCACAATTAAAAGCAGTAAGAAATAGAAACAAAAATCACAGGTGGAGGTGCTAAGTCTGAGGATGGAATCGGGACACCTCTTTCTCTGGGACAGACAAGAAGTTAATATAAAGGTATTAGTACATTTTATGTAGCCAGGGGAGGAAGCTGAGAGAGTTTGTGCCTAGTGGCCTCTACTCTGTTTTCGAAACAGGGTCTGCTACTGACAGCATGAGGCATGCAGTCGGAAGCCTGAGGAGATCATTCACGTTCTGGGTTAAAATTTTCTCTCTTTGATTGACCACAGTCACTGAAAGCAATGTGTAATTTCTAATTCTCTGGGTTTACCACAGATACCAGCAAAGAAGTCAACTCAACAAATATTGGCTGACTGGATGAAAAAAAAAAAAAACTAGCAAGAGTTAGCAGAATTCCATTTGACTTTCTTCTGTTGAAGCAGTTTTAGAATTTCTAGAATGCTCTGGCAAAGAATTAACATTATTTATGGCATTTTACTAGTTCCTATGCTCACTAGCCATCCCATCATTTAATTTTGTTTTGTTTTTTGTTTTTTTTTTTGAGACCAGAGTCTCACCTTGTTGCCCAGGCTGGACCGCAGTGGCACGATCTCAGCTCACTGCAATCTCCGATACCTGCATTCAAGGAATTCTCCTACCTCAGCCGCCCAAGTAACTGGGATTACAAGCACGTACCACCACATCCGGCTAACTTTTTAAATATTTTTAGTAGAGATTGGGTTTCACCATGTTGGTCAGGCTGGTCTCGAACTCCTAACCTCAGGTAATCCAGCTGCCTCAGCCTCTCAAAGTGCTAGGATTACAGGCGTGAGCCACTGCGCCCGACCCATCATTTAATTTTTAACATCACTGTATATCCAGATAATACAAACTGCCTTTGAGTAACCTAATTTTTAAGGAATAAATTTCTATAATGCAAGGACTATGTATACGAGTCACCAGAGTTCTACTACTGTTTTATCACTGAGCTACATGCCATGCTGAATATAGTAAAAGAACGAGAGAAATAATGCTTGATGACTGCCATTTGCAAGCCCTGCGCTGGGTACATCATATTTATTAGCTCATTTAATCTTCACCAGGAAATATGCCTGTCTCCATTCTTCCACTCCAAGGAATTTGTCTAAATTTGAGAACTAAGACTAACACAATCCAAAGAAAATAACCAGAAGTTAAGACAAACACAAAATGAAGAAACTACTGAAAGCTGTTCATTAAAGGTTGACTGAGAAGAAGAGGGGAAAACATCCTTTTCCTTAATATTAAACTGACTTGCTGATAGCTGAATGCAGAAGAGAAAAAATGTATTTGCACGGTGACAGAGCTATGTATCCAGTCACATCACTGATCAACCGCCCCTAGTTAAGTCCTTTTACCGTTCCACCAGCTCCCAGTACTCCTGAATCTGCTTCTGCCTGGCTTTGTGCTACTCTTCCCTCCAGCACTTGGAGCAGAAACCCTGCCAGGTAGGGTTGCCACAGTAACCACATCCTTTCTTGCACAGGATCCACATGAATTCCTCGGCGTTCAGACCTAAGGCTCATCTTCTTCCTGCTAACCAATGAACAAACAAGAAAGTGCTGTTGAAAATGAATTATCATCCTACTAAACTAAAACCTTACCAGTTACGAACAAAACCTGAGTGATTCCATTATCTTCAAGCCGTAAGAGAGGGAAGGAGGGAATGAATGAGGAAGGGAAGGAGGGAGGGAAAGAGGGGAGGAAGGAAGAAGGAAAAAGTTAAATATAGTAAATTCCTGACAGTTACATTAAAGAAAGACTTATTCCCTGCCCAAAATACAAAGAACTCATTAAGAAAGGGCTAACATTGGATTAAAGACCTAAATGTATAGGCTTGAAACTAGAAAACTCCTAGAGGAAAACTTAGGGGAAAAGCTTCCCAACACTGGATTTTGCAATGACTTCTAGGATATGACACCAAAAGCACAGGCAACAAAGGCAAAATCAGACAAATACATTACATCAAATTTTAATATCTCTGCACAACATAGGAAGCAAATGACAGAGTAAGAAGGAACAATATACAGAATTGTAGAACATATCTGCAAACCACATATCTAATAAGGAGTTAATATCCAGAACATAAAGGAACTCTTACCACTCAGTAACAAAAAAAACAAGATAATCCGGTTTACAAATGGGAAAAGGACTGCAATAGACAATTCTCCAAAGACATACCAACAGCCAATAATCACGTGAAAAAGTGTTCAAGATCATTAAATCAGGGAAATGCAAATCAAAACCACAATGAGATATCTCTTTGTACCCATTAGGATGGCTACTACAAAAAAAACATTTGCAGTTTTTGACGTGGTGGCAAATAAGCACATGAATAGTTGATCAACATTGTTCAATCATTAGAGAAATGCAAATTAAAACCACCATGAGATATCACTCAAACCTATTAGAATGGCCAAAATAAAACATACTGACACAGCCTGGGCAACATGGCAAAACCCAGTCTCTACCAAAAAAATACAAAAAAAAAAATTAGGCAGCGATGGTGGTGCATGGCTGTGGTCCCACCTACACAGTAGGCTGAGGTGGGAGGATCACTTGAGCCTGGGAGGTGGAAGTTGAAGCAAGCCAATATTACACCACTGCACTCCAGCCTGGGTGACAGAGTGAGACCCCACCTCAGAAAAAAAATAAATACTGACAATACCAAGGGGTGGCAGGGATGCAGAGCAACTAAAACCCTCATACCTTCCTAGTGGAATGCAAAATAGTACAGACACTACTAGAGAAAACACTTCCATAGTTTCTTAAAAATGTGTAACATACAATGACCATCCAACCATGCAATCCCTCTCCTGGGTATTTCCTCTAGAGAAATAAAAACTGCTATTTACAAAATTCTATACACAGTTATAGTAGCATTATTTGTGATGACAAAAAATGACAACTAAAATATCCTTCAATGGGTGAATGAATAAACAAATTATGGTACATCCATACAACAGAATGCTACTCAGGAAAACAACAACAACAGGTATCAGAACACCCAACAACTTCGATGAATCTCAGAGGCTTTATGCTGATAGAAACCAGCATCTTAGTTCCTTCTGGCTGCAGTAACAAAATACCATAAACTGGGTAGGTTATAAAAAACAGAAATTTATTTCTCACAGTTCAGGAAGCTGGCAAGTTCAAGATCAGGAAGTCAACAGATGTTGGTGTCTGGTGGTTCACTGAAGGTACCTTCTCCCTGTGTCCTCACATGGCTAGGCTCTCTGCGGTCTCTTATAGGTGCACTAATCCCAATCATGAGGGCTCCACTTTCATGAACTAATCACCTCCCAAAGGCTCCACCTCCTAGTAGCATCACCTTGTGGATTAGAATTTCAACATATGAATTTGGAGGACACACAAAGATTCAGACCATAGCAGCCATCTTAAAAGTTTACATACTGTAAGATTCCATTTAAGAACTAGGGATAGGAAAGAATGTGACTTATAAAGGATTAGCACGAGAAAGTTTTTAGGGGTGATGAAACTGTTCTGTATTCTGATTGTGGAGGTGTTTACATAAATCTATTAAAATTTAGAAATTTGCAGAACATTATATTCCTCCCAAATCAATTTTACTCTATGATAAAAAAAACAAAACAAAACAAAAAAAAACCAACCTCAGCCGGGAACGGTGGCTCACACCTATAGTCACAACACTTTGGGAGGCCGAGGCAGATGGATCACCTGAGGTTAGGAGTTCGAGACCAGCCTGGCCAACATGGCAAACCCCGTTTCTATTAAACATACAAAAATTAGCCAGGCGTGGTGGCAGATGCCTGTAATCCCAGCTACTCAGGAGGCTGAGACACGAGAATCACTTGAACCAGGGAGATAAAGGTTGCAATGAGCCAAGATCACGCCACTGCATTCCAGCCTGGGCAACAGAGCGAGACACCATCTCAAAAAAACAAAAAACAAAACAAAACAAAACACTTGAGAGGCAATTTCTAGGTTGGATTAGAGAGAAGTACAGAACAGGAGACACGGATACTGACCAAGACACAACTACAGTCAAGGACTAGAGGTAACACAGTGGGTAGCTAGGTGTGGTGGCGCTTGCCTGTAATCCCAGCTACTCGGGAGGCTCAGGCATGAGAATCACTTGGACCCGCAAGGCAGAGACTGCAGTAAGCCAAGATCCCACACCAGGGCACTCCAGCCTGGGCAACAGAGTGAAACTCCGTCTCAAAAATAAATAAATAAATAAATAAATAATCTTGCCATTATCATCCCGTGTCCCTTTTCTTCCCTTTCAAGAGAAATGGGCAAAAGGAAATACTTATTTTTTCGCATAGATCAATTATGTTTTTTAAATTTTGTACTGTTAAGTATGATAGTACTACTCAATGTTACTAAAATGAACATAAGTTTGGGGAGTCTGCCTAGCACGTGCAAATACCTCCTGTGTATCAGGAAACTGTCCTCTCAATCCACAAATATAAGCTGGCAGCAGCTATATTTGTATGAGGTGAACAGTCCCCCAATTCAGGGTCACAGCTGATTGCCTCCAAATGTGTTAGAGTCTTTTGCTTGGAGTTTTGGAAATGGGACTAAGTCACGGCTGTTCTCTTGAATGATGGAGCTGTGTGACATGATCATCTTCCATCCAGTGGTCTGAGAATCAGGACAGTCTACAGAGTAAAATAGACATATCCCAAGAAGCAGAGAAAAGTAGAAGGTCCTATACGTCCTGAGTGATTTCAATCTCCCAGTTCCAATCCCTGGCTAAGGTTTACATGCACGCCCATCCTCAGATTCTGAGTCATACACCCTGGTCCCCTAACTACTTTTGTCGTTTTTTCTTAAGCTGGTTCCAGTAGAGCCTATTATCTATGCCAAAAGACTTGTACAGATGCTCTTTAAGAGCTAGAAAAACATAAAGGAGTGCTCTGTGGATTACTTGGCATACAATAAAAGCTCACTATGTATTAGACAGAAACAATAGCTCTGAGTCTAAGAAGACTGATTTGGTGTGGACCATGAAATCACAGAGATCAGTCCTATCTGCACTCCAACCCCAGCTCTGCCACGTACTGGAAATGTAACTTTAGGCAAACTATGTAATATTTCTGAAACTCCCTTTCCTATCTCCCTCTCCAACCTCTCTGCTCCTATCATTCTCCACCTTTTCACCCAACTAAGCCTCATAGGACCTGTGCACCCATGACCTTCACTCTCTGGTGCTACACCTGTGATTATGTCACCTTACACTGCAAAAAGGACTTTGCAGATATAATTAAGTTGACTAATCATTAAAATAAGGAGACTATGCTAGATATCTAGATGGGCCCAATGAAAGCACATGAACTCTAAAATGCAGAAGAGAACAAGGACCCAGAATGGCCAAAACAATCTTGAAAAAGAATGTAAGAAAATTGACATTTCCTGATTTCAAAACTTACTACAAAGCCATGGTAATTACTACAGTGTGGTACTGGCACAAGGACAGTCATAGAAATCAACGGAATAAATTGAGATTCTAGAAATAAACCCACAATTCTTCTGTCAACTGATTTTCCACAAAAGTACCAAGACCATTCAATGGCGAAAAAAGAGTCTTTTCAGCCGGGCGCAGTGGCTCGCGCCTGTAATCTCAGCACTTTGGGAGACCGAGGCGGGCAGATCATGAGGTCAGGAGATCAACACCATCCTGGCAAACATGGTGAAACCCCATCTCTACTAAAAATACAAAAAAATTAGCCGGGCGTGGTGGTGGGCGCCTGTAGTCCCAGCTACTCGGGAGGCGACCACCTCAGACTCCCAAAGTGCTGGGATTACAGGCATGAGACACCACGCCCACCCCCAGGCTTTTGTTTTAAGGCTGAGTGTGTTAGGCCTCATGGGCAGCCTCTCTGACTTTCTCCTGCCCTCCTTTTACCTGCCCCAAGGCAGGACTCTACTCTGGATTGGTCTTAAACCCTCCCCAGCGAGGGTCCAGCTCTATACTCTGAGGGACGAATGCTGATGTCAGGAAGCCTCCATAAAAACCCAAGAGAACTGGGCCCGGGAAGCTTTCAGATAGCTGCACAGTGGAGGTTCCTGGAGGGTGTACGCCCAGGGAGGGCATGGAAGTTCTGCACCTTCCCCCATTCCTCGCCCCCAGCATCTCCTTCACCTGGATCCTTTGCAATATCTGTT
Organism: Homo sapiens; assembly: GCF_000001405.40. NCBI lineage: Eukaryota > Metazoa > Chordata > Mammalia > Primates > Hominidae > Homo > Homo sapiens. The sequence continues at coordinate 66,581,550 of NC_000007.14, forward strand.
GTAATAAACCGGTAAACATAAGCATCTCCCTCAGTTCTGTAAACCACCTCAGCAAATTATTGAACCTAAAAAGGCAGCCATGGGAACCCCAACTTGAAGCTGGTCAGTTAGAAGTCCTAAAGGCCCGGAGTTGCAACTGATGGGGGTTAGGAGGGGCAGTCATGGTGACTGAGTCCTCACCCTGTGCGATCTGACCCTATCTCCTGGTAAATAGTGCAGGAACTGAACTAAAAGACACCCAGTGCAGAAAGTGAACTAGAAGACACCCAGCTGGTGTGTTGTGTAGGGGAAGAATCCCCACACATATGGTCATGGAAGTCTTCTGTGTTGATGACTGCTGTGGCATGAGCAGAGGAAAAATACAGTTTGAGGAGTTTTTTCCCTGCACAAATGGGCATATCATAGGTTCTCAAATCTTTGTTGCAAGAACAATAACTGAATGAATAAGGTTATTGTAAAGACTATAGAATAACATGGCTAAAAAGCAATGATACTTAACTGCTTAATAAATACAAAAATCCCTTCCCCGGGGCCAGGTGCAATGGTTCACGCCTATAATCCCAGCACTTTGGGAGGCGAAGGTGGGAGGATGGCTTGAAACCAAGCGTTCAAGACCAGCCTGGGCAACATAGCAAGACCCTGTCTCTATTATTTAAAAATGTTCAAAAATCTCTTCCCCTCATGAGTGATTAGCCATTTCTTCCCCTCATGAGTGATTAGCCATTACGTTAAAATTATACATGCTGGATGGGCACGGTGACTCACGCCTCTAATCCCAGAACTTTGGGAGGCCAAGGTGGGCAGATCACAAGGTCAGGAGTTTGAGACCAGCCTGGCCAACACAGTGAAACTCCGTCTCTATTAAAAATACAAAAATTAGCCGGGCATGGTGGTATGCGCCTGTAGTCCCAATTACTCAGGAGGCTGAGGCAGGAGAATCACTTGAAACCAGAAGGCAGAGGTTGTGGTGAGCTTAGGTGGTGCCACTGCACTCCAGCCTGGGCAACAGAGCAAGACACTATCTCAAAAAAAAAAAAAAAAAATTATACACGCTATCCAACTTTACAAGGGAAAATAAACATCATCTATGGGATGGTTAAATAAACTGGGGCATGATCACACGAGAGAATACCTAACACCAAAAAGAACAAACTATTAACACATGTAAAGACCTGGATGCTCAAGAGCAAAATGTTGAGTTTTTTAAAAAGTGCATCTTAAAAGGTCACATACTCTAGGATTTCTACAACCTTTCCAAATGACAAAACTACAGATATGGAGGACAAATTAGTGCTTTTTCCAGGTTAAGAGTGGCGAAGGCAAGGGAGAGGAGGGGAAGGAAAATGGTGTAAGCAGTTAACCCAGCAGGCCTGAGTTGCTCAAATGATGCACATTCTCAGACAGGCCTGCTTGGTCAGCTGGGTTAGACTGGCCCTTGGTCAGCTCCTAGAAACTAAGGTCTTGTACTAGCCCTATGCCCTAAATGATAAGGGTGTTTTTGTATGGTTACGGTACTGAACCACACTGTCCAGCTTGTCTAGATATTTTGTGCAAACTGTATGATTTATGGTAAACACCTGATTTCCTTCTGGAGTTGCTCTAAAAGTGATAACCACAAAGGGACTATATGCCTATGTGATATGGTTTGGAACTGTGTCCCCACCCAAATGTCATGCTGAATTGTAATCCCCAATGTTGGAAGTGGGGCCTGTGAAAGGTGATCTGATCATGGGGCAGTTACTCATGAATGGTTTCGCACCATCCCCTGTGGTTCTGTGCTTGTGAGATCCGGTTGTTTAAACATGTGTAGCACCTTCTCTCTTGCACCTGCTCCCACCAGGGGAGACACTTTGCTCCCCCTTTGCTTTCCACTATGATTGGAAGCTTCCTGAGGCCTCCCTAGAAGCAGAAGCTGCAATGCTTCCTGTACAGCCTGTAGAACTGTGAGCTAATTAAATCTCCTTTCTTTATAAATTACTCAGTCTCGGGTATTTCTTTATAGCTATGTGAGAATGAACTAATATACTATGTGACCAGTCTCCAATAAAAACCCTGGATTCTGAGGCATACATGAGCTTTCACAATAAAAAACACTTCACACATGTTGTAGAGTTTAAGGCTGGGGAAGTAAGCACATCCTGGGTAACTCTGCTGGGAGAAGACTCTTCAAATCTTAACAATGCTGGTGTCCTGTAGAATCTGCTGAATGCACAACTACCTTTTATTAATCCTGCTTTGCATCCCCCCTCACTGTAACAAACCACAGCAAGGAATAAATATGTCCTGTGAGAGCCTCAAGTGAATTACAAAAACTGGGGGCAGCCCTGGGGACTGCTGACACAGGATGTGACTAAAAGGGCATGAGGGAAGTCTTTAGGGTAATGGAATAGTTCTGTATTTTGACTATGGCGGTGGCTACAGGAATCTACATATGAGATAAAATGTGCATGACACTATACACACACATTGCACAAATATCAATTTCCTGGTTTCACATTATATTATAGTTATGTAAGATGTAACCATTAAGCAAACTAGAAGAATACACAGGACTTCTCTGTACTATATTTATAGCTTCCTATGGATTTGAAGTTATTGATTATTCCAAATTTTAAAGTTTTGTTAAAAATCACACGAGGCCGGGCGCGGTGGCTCACGCCTGTAGTCCCAGCACTTTGGGAGGTCAAGGCGGGCAGATCACGAGGTCAGGAGATAGAGAACATCCTGGCTAACACGGTGAAACCCGCCTCTACTAAAAATACAAAAAAAAATTAGCCGGGCATGGTGGCAGGCGCCTGTAGTCCCAGCTACTTGGGAGGCTGAGGCAGGAGAATGGCGTGAACCTCGGAGGTGGAGCTTGCAGTGAGCCGAGATCGTGCCGCTGAACTCCAGTCTTGGCGACAGAGCGAGGCTCCATCTAAAAAAAAAAAAAAAATTCACACGAACTTTTTAATAAAAATAAACACCTATCATGGGACTAATGTGTATCAGTTAAACACACGACTCAGATCATTCTGCTGCTTCTAAGTATAAAAAGAGAGCAAGGGTACCACCAAAAGAGAGTGCCATCATTTGAAAGGCTATGTGGTGGTGGTGACAGCTGTAATGGTAGAGAAGGTAGGACAGTCGGCACACCCAGATCGGACATCACAGCTACAGACAGCATATCCTGTAAACACAGGAAGAAACAGGGGGATCGACTGCATGAGACTCAACTCTTTCCTGGGCAGACAGACCTGTCCCTAGACAGGTAACCACCACCAGCACTGCTTCCAGGAGGGAGCTCCGAGGGGCCGCACATTGCTCCTGTTGGAGCACTGCACTCCAATAAATAGGAGCTTGATTGAACAACCTGGACATAAAGAATGCACAATTCAATTGGTCCCACCTATGTCAGGGAAGACAGAGTAAAAATGATCTCTGCTGCTGGGACAGTTAGGATTCTACAAATTATGCCCCAGGGCTGGGATTTATTCTGGGTCCATGTACTCTAAAAAGGACAGACAGGTACAAAGCATACTTACAAAGCTCACAGAACTATTAGTGTTCTTTCTTAAGGCTCTGGATGCAAACCAGTTTCATCTCAGAAAAGCAAAACGAAAACACTTTGCAGATGTGAGTATTTTCCCTCTATCCTTGAGCGGGCCCTGCTTCCTATTCCTGGGTTCAATGTCATGCCCTCACAGGTCACTCCTATCTCCAGGCAACTCATCTGGGACTTACAGGAAACACCCAATCAATTCTAGTAAAACGATAAGCTATCCATTGACCTCAGTTAAGGAATAAAACTTATGGGTGATTTTTTTCCCTTAAATTTTTTTTTCCAGTTAGAAAAGTAAAGAATACTCATTATTTACAAAACCTGATAATATATAGACAAGTAGAAAAAAAATGTGTTAATCATCATCCAGAGACAGTTACTATATGTAGTACATATTCCTATAGTGTTCCCTCTGCACTCATTCACCAAATATTTATACACTGATTGATTACTGTACGACAGCCACTTGGGACACAGGCACTTGGGACAGGCACTTGGGATACAAATGTAATTAAAAATAAATCGAACAGTTTGCTAGAAACAGAAACGGAATGCCAAAGGGTATGTGCATTTAAAATTTTGACATATACCAAACTGGTCTGACAAAATATACTATTTACATTCCCACCTACAGTGTATGAGAATCTGGTTTCCCATAACCTCATAAGCATAACATTATTGAACTTTAATTTGTCAATCTGACAGGCAAACAAAAAAAACCATTTAACGTGCATTTCCCTAAGGTTAGCCATCTTTGCAGATATTTATTGTCATTAATATATTTTCTTTGAAGAAATTAACTGATTTTGCTCATTTTTCTATGTCATTACTATTTTCTTTCGATTTATAGGTACTCTTCTCATATATCTTTCAGTCCTCAACTTCATGGTATGAAGACGCCATCATTCTAATAAAAGACTTATTAGCATCTGCAATCTGTAATCCAAGTTTCACCAACTTTCATATGATTAAGTATAATGCTTCCAAAATCAATGTGAATGTCAATGTCAGAGTTTTAATGTTAAATATAACAAAACATTATTTGTCCAAACATTAGCCTTGGAAAATAATTCCAAATGATAATCAACTCCCTAGAATACAATGTAGAGTTGATTGCTGCTGGAATGAGCAGAGCAAGCAGGGGAGCATTCTCAAGGAATGAGTTCTAGACAACAATCTTCTATTGCACTAGATCACACCCTCCTTGGTTAAGCAAAATTGTAACTCTAATCTGAGCATGCCCTTCTCCAGACTAACAGCTCAAAATTACATACAAGATAATCTGGCTACTGCAGCCTACTTTGTACCATTCTCTATGCCCTCGCCCAGGGAAGTAGCACATATGGTCAATTTATTCACTAAGTCACTAACCAAAAATTATTTATCTTAACTCCACCTAAAGTAACAGCAACCTGCAATACATGAGATGGTCTCTGTTAAAGGCATTTCTTTTCTTAAGTTTCTTTTCTTTTCTTTATTTGACATATTGTCTCGCTCTATAACCCAGGCTAGAGTGCAGTGGCATTATCACAGCTCACCATAACCATGACTGCCCGGACTCAAGTGATCCTCCCCACTTTAGCCTCCCAAGTAGCTGGGACTACACGTGTGCACCAACAACCCTGGATAATTTTTTTTTTTTTCCAGACTGAGTCTCACTCTGTCGCCCAGGCTGGAGAACAGTGGCGCGATCTTGGCTTACTCCAAGCTCTGCCTCTGGGTTGATGCCATTCTCCTGCCTCAGCCTCCAGAGCAGCCGGGACTACAGGCACCCGCCACCATTCCTGGCTAATCTTTTGTATTTTTATTAGAGACGGGGTTTCACCATGTTAACCAGGATGGTCTTGATCTCCTGACCTTGTGATCCACCTGCCTTGGCCTCCCAAAGTGCTGGGATTACAGGTGTGAGCCACCGCGCCTGGCCAACAGAGACAGGATCTAGCTATATTGCCCAGGCTGGTCTCAAACTCCTGGCCTCAAGCAATCCTCCCATCTTGGCCACACAAAGTGCTGGAATTACAGGAATGAGCCAATGCACTCAGCTCAGAATTTTTTTCTGAAAGGCATATCATAGTTTTAGCTTTGCTGCAGCCATTTCATCCATACTCACTTGCTGTGGCTGGGTAAAGTGATACACACATACACACACGCCCACACTAGTTTAGAGAAATACAAAACGCAATGCCTAGACCTGAAATGTATTTATTCAGATTTGTTAGATGGCGCAATCAAATAAATATCTGTGTTATGCTCTAAGCTTTTAAGAAATCTCTTGTATCTAAAATATAAGACACATATGTAAATGACATCCAACTGAGCTGGACTGACCAATGTACTGAAAAAGGGCTACCACATGCTGCTACAGGGCCTCACCCTGTTGGCCAGGCTGGTCTCCAACTCCTGGGCTCATGTGATCCGCCTGCTGTGGCTTTCCAAAGTGCTGGGATTACAGGTGTGAGCCACCATGCCTGGCTTAAATTCTAAACAGAAATAATAAAAGCCAGAAGATAATTTGACAGTGCTGAAACAATCTAAAGTATGATGGCTTTAAAAAAAAAAAAAAAGCTGAAAGAAAAAACCTGCCCACCTAGGATACAGTTCTAAGTGACCACTTCCTTTAAAAGCTGATGGCAAAGGCCTGGTACAGTGGCTCACACCTGTACTCCCAGCACTTTGGGAGGCCAAGGTGGGCAGATCACGAGATCAGGAGATGGAGACTGTCCTGGCTAACATGGTGAAACCCAGTCTCTACTAAAAATACAAAAAATTAGCCAGGCATGGTGGCATGTGCAAGTAGTCCCAGCTACATGGGAGGCTGAGGCAGGAGAATCGCTTGAACCCAGGAGACAGAGGTTGCAGTGAGATGAGATCGTGCCACTGCACTCCAGCTTGGGCGATGGAGCGAGACTCCGTCTCAAAAAAAAAATGGCCTGGCGAGTTGGCTCATGCCTGTAATCCCAGCACTTCAGGAAGCAGAGGCAGGTGGATCACAAGGTCAGGAGATCAAGACCAGCCTGGCCAACATAGGGAAACCCCATCTCTACTAAAACTACAAAAATTAGCCGGGCGTGATGGCGTGCGCCTGTAGTCCCAGCTACATAGGAGACTGAGGCAGGAGAATCGCTTGAACCAGGGAGGGGGAGGTTGCAGCGAGCCAAGATCTCACCACTGCATACCAGCCCAAGTGACACTGTGAGACTCTGTCTCAAAAAAAAAAAAAAAAAAAGGCTACATAGACATTTTCAGATGAGGAAAAAAAATTGTTATGGGAAGACATCCACTGGAAGAAATACCAGGGACAGCTCTTCAAACTCAAAGGAAAATTACCCTACCCCAACTGAAACACAGAGATGCAGAGGGAGTCTGGCCCAAAATACAACTTTTATATCCACTGGGTAACACAAAAATTTGTGTGACTCACTTTATTGCAGTGATGTGGAACCAAACCCATAACATCTCCAAAGTATGCCTGTAATATTTTACAGCAGCCCTAGGGAAAAAAACATACCATCCAATAAGAATTGTTGTAAACTCTACAAATAATTAGAAGAAATGAGTTTTCCACAAATTTACATCGAACTCTGGGTTCACAGCATCACTTATTCTTTACAAATAGGGCAATCATACACCCCAGTTAGCAAGCAACAGTCCTGGCCTAAAAGCACCCCCTTTGATTCTCAAAAGTGACCACCTGTGGATAATAAATTGCATGGTCATCCTATGTACGAACCCACTTAGAATACCCTTCTGTCTGTTCACCTTCAAATCCTACCCTGTTCAAGGATCAAGGGACATCTGACTCCAACTTCCCCACTGACAGGGTAATTCTCTCTCCAGTTCCTGTAGCTTTTTATAAATACAGCCATTATAATACTCATGTCCTATTACAATTACTTGCTTACATGTCCACCCCATGCTCTTAGCCACTTAGCACAGTGCCAGGAACTGAGCAGGTGCTCAACAGATGTTTTCTAAGTTTCTCAAACGATTCATCAGAAGACTGGCACAGTACCTGCAGAGACAGTGTTCTCTCACTTTTGTCCCTTCCACACTCTCCAGGGCCCAGTGAAGGTGGGAGTAAAAAATTAAACAGCAAACAACTAACCTGACAAGCAGTGTTTCTCAGACTTGAATGCACATCAATATCACTTGGAAGACTAGTTAAAACACAGAGTACTGGGTCCAACCTCAGTTTCTGATTCAGCTGGCCTGGGATAGGGCCTGAGAATTCGAATTTAACAAGTTTCCAGGTGATACTGCTAGGAACTACCTTTGAGAACCACTACTATAAAGAAAACACCACAATTATGAAAATGTCCATTTCTTCTCATGACTTCATTCCCAATGGGAGACTCCCTTTTCTGAATATGAGGAACCATGAGAGAGCTTTTGGAAAATACGAAAATCAAGACTTTTTTTTGTTTGAGACAGAGTTTCACTCTTCTTCCACAGGCTAGAGTGCAGTGGCGTGATCTCGGCTCACTGCAACCTCCACCTTCCGGTTTCAAGTGATTCTCCTGCCTCAGTCTCCCAGTAGCTGGGATTACAGGTGCCCACCACCACAACAGGGTTTCACCATGTTGGCCAAGCTGGGCTCGAACTCCTGACCTTGTGATCGGCCCGCCTCGGACTTCCAAAGTGCTGGGATTACTATAGATGCGCGCCTATAGTCCCAGCTACTCAGAAGGCTGAGGCAAGAGAAGCCCTTGAACCCAGGAGGCGGACCTTGCAGTGAGCCCAGATCGCGCCACTGCACTCCAGCCTGGAGGACAGAGCGAAAATCCATCTCAAAAAAAAAAAAAATTAACGAGGCAAGCTAAATTAGTAGGTGGCAGGCCTGTGGTCCCAGCTACTTGAGAGTCTGAGACAAGAGGATCGCTTAAGCCTGGGTGGTGGAGGCTGCAGTGAGCTGTGTTCCCGCCACTGCATTCGAGAGAGAGAGAGAGACCCATTTTTTTTTTTTTTTGAGACGAAGTCTCACTGTGTTGCCCAGGCTGGAGTGCATTGGTATGATCTCGGCTCACCACAAACTCCACCTCCTGGGTTCAAGCAATTCTCCTGCCTCAGCCTCCTGAGTAGCTAGGATTACAGGTAGGCGCCATCACACCTGGCTAATTTTTGTGTTTTTAGCAGAGATGGGGTTTCACCATGTTGCTCAGGCTGGTCTCGAACTCCTGACCCTGTGATCCAACCGCCTCAGCCTCCCAAAGTGCTGGGATTACAGGCGTGAGCCACAGTGCCTGCCAGAGAGACCCGTTTTAACCATAAAAGGACCCAGCTAAAAACTCTTCCCTGGTTCTGTCACCATCAGATGAAGCCTAAGCTCCTACATCTCTGTCCTGCACTTTTTCACTTTAATAACCACCCTCCAGGCTCGGTAGCCCATGCCTGTAATTTCAGCACTTTGGGACACTTGAGGAGGGAGGACTGCTTGAGTCCAGGAATTCAAGACCAACCCGGGCAACACAGCAAGACCCCATCTTTACAAAATCTTTAAAAATCAGCTAGGTGTGGTGGCACGCATCTGCAGTCTTAGGTACTCAGGAGGTTGAGGTGGGAGGATCACTTGAGCCCAGGCAGTTGAGACTTCAGTGACTCGTGATCGTGTCACTGTACTCCAGCCTGGGTGACAAAGTGAGACCCTCTCTCTCAATTAAATAAATAAATAAGCACCTCCTTGTAGTTACTGGCCTCCTCTCCTTTGGTTCCCCCCTCTCCGTCACTCCACCCTGTTAGTATGAATGTTACTCATTCTTCAAGACACATGCAGAAAGTATTCCCTGATCCCTTCTAGGCTCCACACCCAACAGCACGGCCTAAATGCCCGGCTCCTTCCTCGGTGCTCCATCTTAGCTCACACTCCTTACCACACTGTTTTGAAAGTATCTTGACTGTCCCTTCTCCTCAACTGGCTAACTTCTAGAGAGCAGAAACATGACTGCTTGGAAGGTCATTAAAAATTCAAATCCTGAACACTTCTTAATCCTGCAGATATGAATCAGTAACTCTTAAAAGCAAAATGTTATTTATCATTAAATATTAACAATATAATCACATTTTCTTGCATCTCTGGCAAGTTTCTTGGCATAACAATTTTAAGGAGCAGACTCCAACAGCAGTTAAAGCCACGCGATGGCTCACGCCTATAATCCCAGCACTCTAGGAGGCCGAGGCGGGAGCATCGCTTAAGGCCAGGAGTTTCACACCTGCCTGGGCAACACTGTGAGATCCCATGTCGAAAAATATAATAAATAAAAACAAAGCAGTTTCAGGTTTAGAGGGAGGAAAGTAGCTCTCCGAGCCAAAAACCAACTCCCAAGGTGCTCCGGTAAACTCGTCCTGGAAAAATCTCCTATTTAATCTCAAAGGCAAAACGAGTCCACGGGCGCCCACGACACATTTCCCAACCGCAAGGATTGGTCACCCGCGCTGAGACACCGCCAGCTGCCTATGACCTAGCCTCCAAAGCGGCAGAGTCCCCCCTTCTCTCTCCCTCAACTGCCGTGATGGGCACCCCTCGGCTCTCCTCCCAGACGGTTCGGAAGCAGGGACTTCTGCTCCTAACCCCAGCCCCGCAGCCTCGCCCTCAGCCACGGGGTGGAAATCAGGACCACAGGCTTCAAATCCCCTCCCCACTCCGGGACGCTTCTGTCCCCCCAGGGCAACGCGGGATCAAGTCCCGGCGCCCCTGCCGCGGCCGGGGTCTGTGGTTTGGGTCCGAGAGTCCCATCCCGGAGCGTTCCGGGGATGTTCTGTGAGAGGCCCCGCCCGACCACAAATGTTGCTTCGGAACCAGCGTCCTGGACGGGGAAGTGGGAGCCGGGCCGAGGGAAGCCGCCGCAGAGGGAGGCGGCCAAGAAATGCTCCGCCTCACGCCTTCGGGGCTTGGCCGGCCGCTGCAGACGCCGGCAACCAGCGCCTGAGACAGAGAAGCCGCGCACTGGGAGGATTAAGGGAGCCGAGGGCGGCCTGGAACGGGGCAGGCGGGGCTGACGAGGCTGGAATGTGGGACGAAGGACAGCGGGAGGCACCGACGCGCAACCGCCCCCGCCGCGCGGACGGCACAGACCAACCGCTCCCCCCAACCCCGGCCCGAGACACCTCGCCGCCCCGCTCCCGGAGCTGAGAGCCGCGCTGCTCTTGGCCCTAGTCCTTCCGCTCCGTACCTCGCCTGCGTCTCCACCGGCGTCCAAAGCCCCGCTCGCCCGCGTCGTTCGGGTAGGTCTCGACTCCGCGGTCCGCTACCGCCTCATACCCACCCTCCTCCTCGCCCCGCTCCCGGCACCGCCAGAATGCACGTTACGCACGGCGTGCAAACGTCACTTCCGTGGCCTTTGGCTCAGGACGGGAGGAGGTGTGGATCCAAAGGTGGCGCGTGCCTGTAACCCCACCTACTAGAAAGGCTGAGGCAGGAGGATCTGTTGAACCTGGGAGGCAGAGGTTGCGGTGAGCCGAGATCGTGCCACTGCACTCCAGCGTGGGTAAAAGAGAGAGATTCCCTCTAAAAAAACGAAAAAAAAAAAAAAAAAGAAATCCAAGATAAGATCACAGAACTGGCAGGTTTGGTTTCTCCTGAGGCCTCTCTTCTTGGCTTATAGATAGTCACTGTCAGGCCTCCGAGCCCAAGCTAAGCCATCATATCCCTTGTGACCTGCATGTATACATCCAGATGGCCTGAAGTAACTGAAGAATCACAAAAGAAGTGAAAATGGCCTGTTACTGCCTTAACTGATGACATTACCTTGTGAAATTCCTTTTCCTGGCTCATCCTGGCTCAAAAGCTTCCCCACTGAGCACCTTGTGTCCCCCGCCCCTACCTGCCAGAGAACAACCCCCTTTGACTGAAATTTTCCTTTACCTACCCAAATCCTATAAAACAGCCCCACCCCTATCTGCCTTCCCTGACTCTGAGTCCCTTCCAGGACTCAGCCTGCCTGCACCCAGGTGAAATAAACAGCCTTGTTGCTAACACAAAGCCTGTTTGGTGGTCTCTTCACACGGACACCAGTGAAAGTGACCTCTTCACTGTGTCCTTACATGGCCTTTTCTCTGTGAACATGCATTTTTAGTGTCTCTGTGTGTGTCCAAATTTCCTCTTTTTATAAAGTCACCAGTTGAATTGGATTAGGGCCCACCCTAATGGCATCATCTTAACTCACCTCTTTAGAGACCTTGTTTCTAAATACAGTTGCATTCTGATGTACTGGGATTAGGACTACAACATATGAATCTGGTGGGGATCACAATTAAGCCTATAACGTAATCATAATTACTTAAAAAATAAATAACATGGTGATATAGAATAACCAGGCAGGAGTGAGGGTTAGGGAGGCTAGGGAGATCGTGATAAGATGATGGCTCCAAGTTGAGAGCATGAGGGACTGTGAGGGTGAAGCCACGTGAGAAGAAAGAGGAGAAGGAAGATGCCAGCTGTCCTGGAGTTTAGGCAGGACTTAAGTGACTTTCAGACTGATCACTTATCCAAATATGAAAACTCTCAGGACTCAGAAAATGATACGACTGAGCAACAGTGCAGCACCAGGGCAGATGTTTTGGCTTCTTCTTGTGTAGCTCATCTCATATCTCCAGTTAGAAACTTTCCTTTTTTTTTTTTTTTTCTGAGACGGAGTCTCGCTCTGTCACCCAGGCTAGCGCAGTGGTGTGATCTCGGCTCACTGCAAGCTCTGCCTCCCAGGTTCTCGCCATTCTCCTGCCTCAGCCTCCCGAGTAGCTGGAACTACAGGCGCCCACCACACCCGGCTAATTTTTTTGTATTTTTAGTAGAGACGGGGTTTCACCGTGTTAGCCAGGATGGTCTCGATCTCCTGACCTCGCGATCCGCCCACCTCGGCCTCCCAAAGTGCTGGGATTACAGGCGTGAGCCACCGTGCCCGGCCAAGTTTCCTTGTATTTAATGTAGAATCTGATGGGAACAGGCCCCCCAAAATCTGGCCATAAACTGGCCCCAAAACTGGCCATAAACAAAATCTCTGCAGCACTGTGACATGTTCATGATGGCCATAACGCCCTTGCTGGAAGATTGTGGGTTTACCGGAATGAGGGCAAGGAACACCTGGCCCACCCAGGGCGGAAAACCAGAAAAACGCTTATAGGCATTCTTAAGCCACAAACAATAGCATGAGCGCTCTGTGCCTTAAGGACATGCTCCTGCTGCAGTTAACTAGCCCAACCTATTCCTTTAATTCGGCCCATCCCTTCGTTTCCCATAAGGGATACTTTTGGTTAATTTAATATCTTATAGAAACAATGCTAATGACTGGCTTGCTGTTAATAAATACGTGGGTAAATCTCTGTTCAGGGTTCTCAGTTCTGAAGGCTGTGAGACCCCTGATTTCCCCCTTCACACCTCTATATTTCTGTGTGTGTATCTTTAATTCCTCTACCGCCGCTGGGTTAGGGTCTCCCTGACCGAACTGGTCTCGGCAGAATTCCTCTTGCTGGGATATAAACCTGTATCCTCTTGTTCTGTCCCCAGAGAAGAGATGTCACAAGTCTGTTCATGTATTGGAATACTATTATTTATCTTTTCGGCAGACTTATTTTCTGCAAGTTGTTTTGGCTTTTCTTCTATAACTGCATCTGGGTAACCTGGCAGTGCAGAGCCAGGCCCTGGGCTTCAAGACAGGGACACACCAAGTCTCAGCACACAGACATGTCCCCACTCTGCTACCCAGCAGCCTAGGGAGTCAGCTGGACTAGTTAGTCGGCTTTGTGAAACTCTTCATCTGGGAAACAATGTTAGATTCTGGTTAAATTTAGCTCTGAATATGATCTTATCTATTTAATAATTTTTAAGTTTTTCTAAAAATCAAGTCCTCTGTACTTCTCTTAAGCTTTGGAGCCTAAATTAGAAATAGTCCTGAAATCAAAGTCTGATTTCTCCCTCTTATTTTTCTTTACATTCTGTTTCAGCTAATGATGCTTGTTCATTTATTGAACAGTTAAATAGCAGCTTGGACTCAAGTTCACTATAAAGTTCACAATTACTCCTTGGCCATTTCCAGCCAACAGTGGCTGCCATATTCCAGCCATGCCTTTCCTCATTTTGGTCACCCACTGACATCTAAGTTGTTCACTAAATCCAACAGTGTGTGGGCACTTGGCAGATAGTGGGTCTCCATGCTGGACATCCATGACAACGGCCCATTTGATTTTTTTGTTTGTTTTGTTTTGAGACAAAGTCTCACTCTGTTGCCCAGGCTAGAGTGCAGTGGCACGATCTCGGCTCACTGCAACCTCCACCCCCAGGTTCAAGCGATTCTCCTGCCTCAGTCTCCAAGGAGCTGGGATTACAGGTACACACCATCATGCCCGGCTAACAATGGCCCATTTGATATTCTCACCTTCTGGCTTCTAACTGCCACCTCCCCTCATAGAGTTAGGTAGAGTAGATCCCATCCAAAATCTAGTCTTATGGAATCCCCATCTGATGACCATCATCTTACTTTCTCAACACCCTTGTGTCATAAGCTTGCTTTCAGACCCTATCAGGCTTTGGACCTGTACACCTTTCCCAGTTGCAGAGTCCAGAAACTGGCCCCTGTCTTATTTCTTCTTTACTTCATCCAGGTCCCATCATTCCAACCACATTCCCGCAGGTTAGCCCCATCCTTTGATGCTCACTGCTTGAGCACTGCCTCTACTCGTCATCTTGCCAGGACCCCCCAGCTATCTGGCTTTCTCGCTCTCTCATGTTGATCGCTGGGCCTTGTGAGACAAATGAAAAGCTGATCTGATCTGAGTTACTACAACTCATCAGAGCTGGTTTTCTCGCTTCATCCAGGTCCTCAGTGCTGCTTGGAAATTATTGTTTGTCCTCATGCAATTTCGTCTCTGTTTCTCCCACAATGGCTATCCCAAAATGTCGCCACTTTGTTCCAGCCCCTTTCTTGACCTATTTCTTTATAGTTATCTTTATTTGCTGATCCCTCACTTCTCTAATTAAAGGTATAAATTATTCAAATTACTCTGTGATTTCTATCTCCTAATACAAATGACCCTAAATACAAGACAGGCCAGATGACCCAAGGAGACAATGATGGTGTAGACTTTTTTTTTGAGACTGGGTCTCACTCTGTTTCCCAGGCTGGTGTGCAGTGGCCTGATTACAACTCACTGCAACCTTGACCTCCTGGGCACAGGCAATCCTTCCACCTCAGCCTCCTAAGTAGCTGGGACTACAGGCATGTACCACCACACCCAGCCAATTTTTTTTTTTTTTTTTTGAGGCAGAGTTTCATTCTTGTTGCCTAGGCTGGAATGCAATGGCATGACCTCAGCTCACCACAACCTCCGTCTCCCAGGTTCAAGCAATTCTCCTGCCTCAGCCTCCTTAGTAGCTGGGAATACAGGCATGCACCACTACGACTGGCTAATTTTGCATTTTTAGTAGAGACAGGGTTTCTCCATGTTGGTCAGGCTGGTCTTGAACTCTCGACCTCAGGTGATCCACCTGCCTCGGCCTCCCAAAGTGCTGGGATTACAGGCATGAGCCACTGTGCCCAGCCCAATTTTTTTTTTTTAATATTTCTTGAAGAGACAGGATTTCACCATGTTGTTCAGGCTGGTCTGGAACTCCTGTGCTCAAGCAATCTGCCCACCTCAGCCTTCCAAAGTGCTAGGATTACAGGTGTGAGCCCCTGCACCCAGCCCAATGTGTAAGCTGGTCTTACATGTCAGATACAAGGTTCCAAGAATTCCATGTTATTTATTTTGAATGGGTGACACGTGAATGCACATGGGATGCATTTGGGCAGAGCAGCAGCACCAGAGTTCATCTTCCTCTCTTGGGTGGGACATCAGGAATAGTCCCCGCTGGTGTCCACTTTGGGAAGCTCTGGGATTCAGCTGGCCTCTGCTGCACATGGGTACCTAACTGCAACTTGCAGTGGCTCTTCTCAGTCAGGCATAAGAGCTGGAATTTCTGTTAATCTCTCAATATTTGCATATGTAATGAAGTGTCTGCTGAAGCCAAAATATTTGAAAAAGAATGCCCCCCACCCCTTATTGTGTGGGTCAAAATCTCAGGTTCACCTTGGCTGCTCCAGGCTGCTGTAGATAGGCATCCCTAAAGCGGTTCTTTCAAACGGTGCCTGTAGACCTTGAAACTGTTGATTATATTGCAACTGTCACACCTACAAGGATTGCTGGCCTCAGCCAACCCCTCATCATGGAGCTGCAGAAACAAGGGAGAGGCTGCCCCTGCTTATGGCCCTCTGTATAGCCTTACTGAGGGGTTCAAGTGTGTCTTGGGTAAGGCAGGATAGGAGAAAAGATATACAGGGTTTTCAGCTATTGGAATGCTGGATCCTTGGCCAGGGATCTGGTAAACCCATATCCTAAAAAGACAGAATGATTAGGTAAAAAACAGGGTCACAAATGGCCAGTACTGCTTATAAACCCCAGAAATCCTGGGACACTGTGAGAGCCTTCCACTCTGGAAACATCACTTGATATTGGTTGGACTGTCTGGAAATTCTACCTTTGGATCTCAGTCCACAAATCCAGGTTGTCCCAGGGGTATTGTTGCCATAAAACGGTCAGAATTGCCATGCAAACAGAGAATATGTTGACAGGTGTTCAAAATCAAGTCGTAAACCCTATCTCAGTGGAATCCTCTAGCCCATGGAAGTGGTGGAATATTCCTGCAGGTAACTGGACAGGGGATTTCTTCTCATTATTCTGCCTCTCTGGACCAATGGGAGTTTCCAAATATAGCTGCCTTTGAAGAATAAAATTAGATAATTGGGTGGAATATCCCCTGAATATGTCTGGAAGCAATTACATTCTGCCTTGACTCCTGGGAGTGGTGAGTGAATAATACCACCCTCATTTCAACTAATAGCGATGTGGTCAGCTCATTAGTGAAGTTCATATTTTTGTTAGGAAACTCGTGGTGAACTCAGTTTCCAGGTAACATATTTATTTATTTATTTATTTATTTTACTTTTTATTTTAGAGACGGGGTCTTGCTCTGTCACTGAGGCTGGACTGCAGTGGTGCAATCATGGATCACTGCAACCTCAACCTCATGGGCTCAAGTGAACCTCCCACTTCAGGCTCCCAAGTAGCTGGGACTGCAGGTGCACACCACCCTGCCTGTCTTATGTTTTTGAATTTTTTTTTTTTGAGACTGAGTCTCATTTCGTTGCCCAGGCTGGAGTGCAGTGGCGTGATCTCGGCTCACTGCAACCTCCGCCACTTGGGTTCAAGCAATTCTCTGCCTCAGCCTCCTGAATAGCTGAGATTGCAGGTGCCCGCCACCACGCCCGGCTAATTTTTTTGTATTTTTAGTAGAGATGGGGTTTCACCATCTTGTCCAGGTTGATATTGAACTCCTGACCTCATGATCCACCTGCCTTGGCCTCCCAAAGTCCTGGGATTACAGGCGTGAGCCACCGCGCCTGGCCTGAATTTTGTTTTTTTTTAGACACAGGATCTTGCTGTGTCACCCAGGCTGGTCCTGGACTCTTGGCCTCAGGCAATCCTCTTGACTCTGCCTCTCAAAGTGCTATAGGATTACAGGTGTGAACCACCATGCCTGGCCAGGCAAAAATAATTAAATTCTTCCTTTCTGGTGCAGAAGGTGAAGCTAGTGTGTCTGCTCAGTGGGATCCTGCAGGCATCCTCTGCAGCTGTTGTGGAGGTAGATACAGAGCTTCCAGGATGTGTATCCACCTTACCTTAACTTAGGTGGATATAGAGCCTGCAGGATCCTCTGCTGCTGCTGCTGCTGCTGCTGCTGCTGCTGAGGAGACTGAAAATGCTCTCCAGTTCCTAGCAGGCCACATGTAAAAGCTGACTTGGAAAGCAAGGGACATCAGTGCTGGGAGCACCTACCTGCCTGAGAATAAGAAGCAGACAGTCCTGGGTATGGCATCACTGTCATGGTTGGCTAACAGGTACCAGATAAGGCATGGCCAGAAGTGGCCAACCGGCATTTTTTTTTTTTTTTTTTCCTGAGTCTCACTCTGTCACCCAGGCTGGAGTGCAGTGGTGTGATCTCCGCTCACTGCAAGCTCCACCTCCTGGGTTCACGCCATTCTCCTGCCTCAACCTCTCGAGTAACTGGGACTACAGGCACCTGCCACCATGCCGGGCTAATTTTTCTGTATTTTTAGTACAGACGCGGTTTCACCATATTAGCCAGGATGGTCTCGATCTCTTGACCTCCTGCTCCGCCCACCTCGGCCTCCCAAAGTGCTGGGACTACAGGCGTGAGCCACTGCACCCAGCCATGGCCAACCAGCTTTTAAATGCCAAAGACAGGACAGTTACAAACAGAGGGGAGAGGTGGAGAGGACATGGTGAGAGGGACAGTAAACACCTGCAACGTGTGCACACACGGGTGGGTCCTTGGGGCAGAGTCAGCTGAGGTACAGTTGGTGATGAAGATGCTATGTTGAGAAACTGGATACCCAAGGCATTTATAAAAGTTCATACACATTGTAGGGACTTAAGCCTACTCATGATACCACCCTGACCTCTTTACAAAAATACTGAAGATATAAAGATTTCTTCAACTGGACTCTGAACCTGTAAATTTCTTTTAATGGGGGTCAAGCTCCAAGTTTTGTGTTGCTATGTGATTCTATTTCTTGATTTTAATAATGACTGAGAAAAGTATGGATATCTCCATTCCAAAAATCTACTGGGGCTGGGCCATCTTCCAGGATCATATGATACGGGGAAGAAATGAGGGTCTGTATTACATTAAGATAATCCTGGCCAGGCGCGGTGGCTTATGCCCGTAATCCCAGCACTTTGGGAGGCTGAGGCGAGTGGATCACCTGAGGTTGGGATTTTGAGACCAGCCTGACCAACATGGAGAAACCCCTTCTCTACTAAAAATAAAAAATTAGCCAGGCATGGTGGCGCATGCCTGTAATCCCAGCTACTCGGTAGGCTGAGGCAGGAGAATCGCTGGAACCTGGGAGGTGGAGGTTGTGTTGAGCCAAGATCGCATCATTGCACTCCAACCTGGACAACAAGAGCGAGACTCCATCTCAAAAAAAAAAAAAAAAAAAAAAAAAGATGGCAAAGGCCAGGCCTGGTGGCTCATGCCTGTAATGAGCCAGCACTTTGGGAGGCCGAGGCAGGCAGATCACAACATCATGAGATCGAGACCATCAGGCTAACACAGTGAACCCCCATCTCTACTAAAAATATGAAAAATTAGCCAGGCATGGTGGCGGGCACCTGTAGTCCCAGCTACCCAGGAGGCTGAGGCAGGAGAATCGCTTGAACCAGGAAGGCAGAGGTTGCAGTGAACTGAGATCATGCCAATGCACTCCAGCCTGGGTGACAGAGCGGAACTCTGTGTCAAAAAAAAAAAAAGAGTCCAGAGCGGTGGCTCACGCCTGTAATCTCAGCACTTTGGAGGCCGAGGCGGGCGGAACATGAGGTCAGGAGTTCAAGACCAGCCTGACCAACATGGTGAAACTCCATCTCTACTAAAAATACAAAAATTAGCCAGGCATGGTGGCGGGTGCCTGTAATCCCAGCTACTCAGAAGGCTGAGGCAGGAGAATCGCTTGTACCCAGGAGACGGAGGTTGCAGTGAGCCAATATCGCGCCACTGCACTCTACCCTGGGCAACAGAGAGAGACTGTCTCAAAAAAAAAAAAAAAAAGAAATAAAAGAAATAGGGATAGACATGCCTGAGCCTCGGTAATTTATATTAAAAAAAGAGGTTTAATGGACTCACTGTTCACCATGGCTGGGGAGGTCTCACAATCGTGACGGAAGGCAAAGGAAGACCAAAGGCACATCTTCCATGGTGGCAGGCAAGAAAGCATGTGCAGGGGAACTGCCCTTTTATAAAACCATCGGATCTTTTAGACTTATTCACTATCATGAGAACAGCCTGGGAAAAACCTGCTCCCATGATTCAATTACCTCCTACTGGGTCCCTGCCACAACACGTGGGGATTATGTGAGCTAAAATTCAAGATGAGATTTGGCTGGGGACACAGCCAAACCATATCATTGGTTTTTCCCCAGGTTCCCCCACATAAGCCAGTGGATGCCGATGGATATTTGTGACAAAGGGCACCATTGAGGTCTAGACACTGAATACACTGAGGTCCCAGCTCCTGCTCTACCAGGATACCCTCTCCCACCTGCTAGGAGCTCCCCTCAACCATCTCCCTGTTCAGGAGGTACCCATATATTCAAGAGAGAGTTTTCATAACTTTCTTTCTTTCTTTTTTTTTTTTTTTTTTGAGACAGAGTCTTGCTCTGTCACCCTGGCTGGAGTGCACTGTCATGGTCTCTGCTCACTGCAACCTCCACCTCCAAGGTTCAAGCCATTCTCATGCCTTATCCTCCTCAGTAGCTGGGATTACAGTGCACGCCACCACACCCGGCTAATTTTTTTTTTTTTTTTTTTTTTGAGACGGAGTCTCGCTCTGTTGCCCAGGCTGGACTGCGGACTGCAGTGGCGCAATCTCGGCTCACTGCAAGCTCCGCTTCCCGGGTTCACGCCATTCTCCTGCCTCGGCCTCCCGAGTAGCTGGGACTACAGGCGCCCGCCACCTTGCCCGGCTAATTTTTTGTATTTTTAGTAGAGACGGGGTTTCACCTTGTTAGCCAGGATGGTCTCGATCTCCTGACCTCATGATCCACCCGCCTCAGCCTCCCAAAGTGCTGGGATTACAGGCGTGAGCCACTGCGCCAGGCCTAATTTTTCGTATTTTTAGTAGAGATGGGTTTTTGCCATGTTGGCCAGGCTGGTCTCAAACTCCTGACCTTGAGTGATCCACCCCAGTTGGCCTCTCAAAGTGCTGGGATTACTGGCATGCGCCATCACACCCAGCCAGTTTTCATGATTTTCTTTACTTCCACTATGGTGGGAGAACTGGCTTCAGAGAAAGCCATCCTGGACTGGTGAGGTGGCCCAACCAGGAACAGGTTTCAATGAGGTGTTTTAGAAACAGTGATGCCTGTGCACCCTGGTGAGAAGGAGCGTGGCATGAACATCAGGAACCAGACTTCACCCTAGAAAGAAGGAGAGGCCACAGGTGGGGGCTGAAGGAGCAGTTCTCACAAGCCATCCTGTGGGCACTGGGGCCACACCATGCACCTTGGTGCACAAGTGTCAATGTGGTTGAGTGGGGTAGAGGACTCAGGGCATTAAAAGCATCAAGGAATCCAGGGAGAGCCACCGCACCCAACTTTACTTTCACCCACAGACTGATGCAGCCCGAGGTCATGTTACTCCACAAGGACCTCAACTATACACACAGAAGCTGTTTGCCAGGCCCTTGCCACAGGCTGTAATCTCAAAATGGGGGCTGTCAAGGCTTGTTAGAATACCTGCGACTCAGAGGAAAAATTTTTCTTTTTTTTTTTTTGAGACAAGGTCTTGCTCTGTCACCCAGGCTGGAGTGCAGTAGTGTGATCATAGCTCACTGCAGCCTCTATCTCCCAGGTTCAAGCCATCCCCCTGCCTCAGACCCCAAGTAGCCAGGACCACAGGTGTACACCACCACACCCAGCTAAGAAAATAATTTAAACATTTTATTGATTGATTGATTGAGACGAAGTCCTGCTCTGTCACCCAGCTTGGCGTGAAGTGGCACGACCTCAGCTCACTGCAACTTCCGTCTTCCTGGTTCAAGTGATTCTCCTGCCTCAGCCTCCGGAGTAGCTGGCATTACAGGCACCCACCACCATGACCAGCTAATTTTTTGTTTGTTTGTTTGTTTTCTTTTTTTGAGACAGAGTCTTGCTCTGTCACCCAGGCTGGAGTGTAGTGGCGCAATCTCGGCTCACTGCAAGCTCTACCTCCTGGGTTCATGCCATTCTCCTGCCTCAGCCTCTTGAGTAGCTGGGACTACAGGCACCTGCCACCACGCCCTACTAATTTTTTGTATTTTCAGTAGAGACGGGGTTTCACCATGTTAGCCAGGATGGTCTCGATCTCCTGACCTCATGATCCACCCGCCTCGGCCTCTCAAAGTGCTGGGATTACAGGCGTAAGCCACGGCGCCCGGCCTAATTTTTGTATTTTTTGTATTTTGCATTTTGCATTTTGTAGAGACGGGGTTTCACCATGTTGGCCAGGCTGGTCTTGAACTCCTTACCTCAGGTAATCAGCCCGCCTTGGCCTCCCAAAGTGCTAGATTACAGGCATGAGCCACTGCACTGGCCTAATTTAAACATTTTAAAATTTTGTTTAAACTTTAAAATAAAATCTCAATTTGGTTTTTAAAAAACTCTGTCTGGGTTGTGATGACTCACATTTGTAACATCAGCACTTTGGGAGGCTGAGGTGGGAGGATCACCCAGGAGTTCAAGACCAGCCTGGACAACATAGGGATACCCAGTATCTCTAAAAAGTAATAATAGCCTGGGCGAGGTGGCTCACACCTGTAATCCCAGCTCTTTGGGAGGCTGAGGGGCGGGGGGATCACAAGGTCAGGGGATCAAGACCATCCTGGCTAACACAGTGAAACCCTGTCTCTATTAAAAACACAAAAAAATTAGCTGGGCCTGGTGGCGGGCACCTGTAGTCCCAGCTACCCAGGAGGCTGAGGCAGGAGAATGGCGTGAACCTGGGAGGCGGAGGTTGCAGCCTCTGCACTCCAGCCTGGGCGACAGAGTGAGACTCCGTCTCAAAAAAAAAAAAAAAAAAAAAGTCATAGTAATACAAAAATTAGCCGGATGTGGTGGCAAGTGCCTGTGATCCCAGCTACTTGGGAGGCTGAGGCAGAAGGATGACTTAAGCCTGGGAGGTCAAGGTTGCAGTGAGCTGAGATTGCACAATTGAACTCCAGTGTGGGCAACAGAGTGAGACCCTGACTCAAAAAAAAAAAAAATAGTGCTTAGTGCCACATGCCAGGAACCACAATGACAACAAGTCAGCAGGTTGTTGAGTCAGGTCCCACCGAGAGCCGGCAAAGAGTCTGACTGTGGGGACCCTGCCCTTTTCCAGAAGGTGGAGGTGCAGAGGAGCTCGTAAGGATCACGGCTTCTCAACCTGGCCCTGAACCCACTCACATCAGCAGCTCTCTGCAAGGCCAACTGGACAGACAGCTGTCACCAATAAATTAAACCTTATTTCTTGCCAGGTGCAGTGGCTCATGCCTGTAATCCCAGCACTTTGGGAGGCCAAAGTGAGAAGATCACTTGAGGCCAGAAGTTCAAGAACAGCCTAGGCAATATAGTAAGACCCTGCCTTTACAGAAAATTAGGTGGGAGTGGTGGCATGTGCCTGTGGTCCCAGTTACTCAAGAGGCTGAGGCAGGATGATTTGTTGAGCTTAGGAGGTTGAGGCTGCAGTGAACTATTGCACCACTGCACTCCAGCCTGGAGGACAAAGCAAGACCTTGTCTCATAAAAAAAACAAAAAAGAAGCAAGCCAGCAGGTCTAATCCAGACTTAAGAGGGTGGTATCAGACAGGCACAGTGGCTCACACCTATGATCCCAGCACTTTCAGAGGCCAAGGTTGGCAGATCACATCACATGAGGTCAGGAGTTCGAGACCAATCTGGACAACATGGTGAAACCCCATCTCTACTAAAAATACAAAAATTAGCTGGATGTGGTGGCACGCACCTGTAATCTCAGCTACTCAGGATGCTGAGGCACGAGAATCGCTTGAATCCGGGAGGTAGAGGTGGCAGTGAGCCGAGATCGCGTCACTGAACTCTAGCCTGGGCGATGAGCTAGACTCAGTCTCAAAAAAAAAAAAAAAAAAGAGAGAAAAGAAAAGTCCCTTCAAATCCAGCCATCTGCACAGTGCCTGAATTCCTCCTATATCCCCAGCAAACTGGCTCTTTATTCTTTTCAGTCTGCACAGTAACATGGTTAGGAAACGTATCCTAATTTTGTTGCAATGCAAAATGTCTACCTGTAACATTCACTATTTCTTGCAGGCACCTATGACCTGTGGAAAGGGTGAAAAGCTCAGAAGATTCTATTGTCTATTTTATTTTATTTATTTATTTTTGAGGCAGGGTCTTTCTCTGTCATCCTGGTTGGAGTGCAGTGGCACAATCATAGCTCACTACAGCCTCAAACTCTTGGGCTTAAGCAGTTCTGCCTCAGCCTCCCAAGTAGCAAGGACTACAGATTTGCGCCACCACAACCCACTATTTTTTTTGTAGAGATGGAGTTCTCTCTATGATAGCCAGTCTGGTCTCAAACTCTTGGCCTAGAGTGATCATCCCACCTTGGCCTCCCAAATGGATGGGATTACAGGCCTGAGCCACCATGCCTGGCCATCTTGTCTCTAAATGCAAGTTAACTGCTTTGATGGAGCAGGCACGGTGTCTCACGCCTGTAATCTCAGCACTTTGGGAGCCTGAGGTGGGCGGATCATGAGGTCAAGAGTTTGACCTTCAAGGTTTAAGCAATTCTCATGCCTCAGCCTCCCGAGTAGCTGGGATTACAGGTGCCTGCCACCATTCCTGGCTAATTTTTAATATTTTTAGTAGAGATAGGCTTTCACCATGTTGGCCATGCTGGTCTCGAACTCTCCATCTCAAGCAATCCACCCGCCTCGGCCTCCTAAAGTGCTGGGATTACAGGCGTGAGCCACCACGCCCAGCCAAGATTCAGCCTAATTTTTTTTTTTTTTTGAGGCAGAGTCTCGCTCTGTCACCCAGGCTGGAGTGCAGTGGCACGATCTCCGTTCACTGCAAGCTCTGCCTCCTGGGTTCATGCCATTCTCCTGCCTCAGCCTCCTGAGTAGCTGGGACTACGGGCTCCTGTCACCACACCCCGCTAATTTTTTGTATTCTTTAGTAGAGACGGGGTTTCACCGTGTTGGCCAGGATGGTCTTGATCTCCTGACCTCGTGATCTGCCCACCTTGGCCTCCCAAAGTGCTGGGATTACAGGCGTCAGCCACCTCATCTGGACTTTTTTTTTTTTTTTTTTTTGAGGCAGAGTCTCACTCTGTTGCCCAGCCGGGAGTGCACTGGCACTATCTCTGCTCACTGCAACCTCTGCCTCCCAGGTTCAAGCGATTCTCCTGCCTTAGCCTCCCAAGTAGCTGGGACTACAGGTGCGCGCCGCCATGCCTGGCCGTATTTTTTTTTTTTTTTTTTTAAGACGGAGTCTCACCCTGTCACCCAGGCTGGAGTGCAGTACCCCGATCTTCACTCACTGCAACCTCTGCCTCCCGGGTTCAAGCAATTCTCCTGCATCAGCCTCCAGAGTAGCTGGGACTACAGGTGCATGCCACCACACCAGCTAATTTTTTTGTATTTTTAGTAGAGACGGGGTTTCACCATGCTGGCCAGGCTAGTGGCAAACTCCTGACCTCATGATCCACTGGCTTCTGCCTCCCAAAGTGCTGGGATTACAGGCGTGAGCCACCACACCCGGCGATTTGGCCTAATTTTTAAAGTAAGCTGGAGCACAGAAAATGTTTCTGCAATTATTAGTCTACTTGGTTTTTTTGTTGTTGTTGTTATTGTTTTTTCAAGAGAGGGTCTCACTCTGTCACCCAAGCTGGAGTGCAGTGGCATGATCATGGCTCACTAAAGCCTCGACCTCTTGGGCTCAAGCGATCTTCCTGCCTCAGCCTTCCAAGAGCTGGGACTACATGCATGCACCACCACGCCCAGATAATTTTTTTTTTCTCAGCCATACGTGCTTTATTGACAACGCGCACCTCAGGCCTTGACCGCTCACTGCCGCAGCAGGTACAGCCGCTCCTTCCGCTGCTGCTTCTTGGTCTTCAGGTTCTCCTCGTGCTTGTTGAGCCGGCGGCGCATGGCGCGTGTCTTCTTAGGCCGCAGGTCCAGGGGCTTGTACTTCTTGCCCTTGTAGAATTTCCTGAGGTTTTCTTTCTGAGTCTGGTTAATAACTGTGAGAACATGGGCAATGGATTTTCGGACGACTAGGATCTTAGGGAGCTTGGAGGCCGCACCGCCTGTCACTTTGGCGACACGCAGCTGGGACAGCTCCACCTTCAGGTCGTCCAGCTGTTTCAGCAGCTCCTCCTTCTTCCCGCGAAGATCTGGAGCCTTGATCTTGGCCATTGCTGCACAGGCCGCTGCCGCCTCCGCCGCTGCCCGCTCCTCGGGAAAGAGCTACTTTTTTTAGTTCTTGTAGAGACGGGTCTCACTATGTTGCCCAGACTGGATTTGAACTCTTGGGCTTGAGAGAGCCTCCCACCTTGGCTTCCCCAAATGCTGGGATTACAGGCGTGAGCCACCACACCTGGCCTCACATATTTTGACGTATAAAACACCAAAGATTTTTTTAAGGAGCTGAACAAACGAGTAATTTTTAAAGAAAAAAGTAGTGGGAGTGTCTAGCACAACCAAAATCAGGAATCAAATTCAGCAGTTAAACATTCCAGGCTGGCCGTGGTGGCTCACAGCTGTAATCTCAACACTTTGGGAGGCTGAGGTGGACGGATCAATTGAGGTCAGGAGTTTGAGACCAGCCCCGTATCTACTAAAAGTACAAAAATTAGGCCGGGTGTGCTGGTTCACGCCTGTAATCCCAGCACTTTGGGAGGCCGAGGGGGGCGGATCACCTGAGGTCAGTAGTTCGAGACCAGCCTGGCCACCATGGTGAAACCCCATCTCTACTAAAAATACAAAAATTAGCTGGGTGTGGTGGCGGGTGCCTGTAATCCCAGCTACTCGGGAGGCTGAGGCAGGGAGAATCACTTCAACCCAGGAGGTGGAGGTTGCAGTGAGCTGAAATCACACCACTGCACTCCAACCTGTGTGACAGAGTGAGACACCATCTCAAAAAAAAAAAAAAAAAAAGGGACAAAAAAATACCCAGGCGTGGTGGCGCATGCCCATAATCCCAGCTACATGGGAGGCTGAGGCAGAAGAATCACTTGAACCAGGGAGGCGGAGGTTGCAGTGAGCCGAGATCACACTACTGCACTCCATTCTGTAAGACAGACTAAGACTCTGTCTAAAAAAATAAAATAAAATAAAATAAAATTTGCAATTCCGAGTTTGGTAAGAACAGCGAACTGTGGGCCGGGCGCGGTGGCTCACGTCTGTAATCCCAGCATTTTGGGAGGCCAAGGCGGGTGGATCACGAGGTCAGGAGTTCAAGACCAGCCTGGCCAACATGGTGAAACCCCGTTTCTACTAAAAATACAAAAATTAGCTGGGCGTGGTGGTGCGTGCCTGTAATTCCCAGCTACTCAGGGGACTGAGGCAGGAGAATAGCTTGAACAAGGACCCATGAGGTGGAGGTAGCAGTGAGTGAGATCATACCACTGCACTCCAGCCTGGGCTACAGAGAGAGATTCTGTCTCAAAAAAAAAAAAAAAAAAAGAAGAAGAAGAAGAAGAAGAGTGAACTGTGGCCCGGTGACCAGCACATAGCATTCTAGAGTTCACGGCTTGCTCTCTGGGAAACTGTTTTAGCCAAAGTTGTGGCATCATCCCTGGCCACTCACTTTACTCAAAAGACCTGGCTCAAAATGACTATTTATGGAAATCAACTCTAGCCTCAAAAGACAAAACCACTGCAGTTCTAAAGATATTCAAAAGAAGGTAATTAAGTTTATTAAAAAGCAATGAATGGCCAGGCACAATGTCTCACGCCTGTAATCCCAGCACTTTGGGAGGCTGAGGCAGAATGATCACTTGAGGCCAGGAGTTTGAGACTAGCCTGGGCAACATAGTGAGACCCTGTCTCTACAAAATAATTCTAAAAATTAGCTGGGCATGGTGGTGTGTGCCTGTTGTTCCAGTTACTCCAGAGGCTGGGATGGGAGGATCACTTGAGGCCAGGAGTTGGAGGTTGCAGTGAGCCAGGATTGCACCACTGCTCTCCAGCCTGGGTGACAGGGAGAGATTTTGTCTCTAAAAAGGAAATAAAGGAAGCAAGGAAGGGCTTCTCTTCCAAATACTCCCACTTCATTTGGGGCAATTACAAGATTCCAGGAAACACGGAAAACCTAGCTTGAGTGCCTTTTTGGATGTATGCTAATGGGAAAACAAATCTCATTAATTAACTCATAGAATGGCTAAGAGGAAAGGATCTTAGGGGACGTGTGCTTTCACTCCCTAAATTTAAACATGAGGAAACTGGGTACCAAAGAGACAAAGTAACTAAGCAGGTAGAGACAGAAGAGCCTCTCTTACCATAAGGGGTCTCTCATTGAAAAACCAGCAAAACTCGTTCCCTGCCTGCATCCTCCAAGATCCTAGCCCAACGTAGAATAGAAATGTCTTCACTTCAGAGGACAACCAGTTTGTCCTTTGCCTTTTACATGCCTTTTAACAAGCAGTATTTCTCAACTTCGTGTTTGTGCAAACTCTTGAGTAGCACAAACTTCTTAGCTAAGAGACACTCCACTCTGTTTGCAATTGAGGGCAAAGGCTGGGATGCTTGGGCACAGCTCTGGGTTCCTTTCCCAGAAGTCTGGGGTGGCAGAAAAAAAAAAAGCATTTAATTTTTCACACACTGAGTAGAGACCTGGCTCATCAAGTAAAGGTAAACTTACTCTTTTGTTCTTTTTTTTTTTTTTTTTGAGACGGAATTTCGCTCTTGTTGCATGGGCTGGAGTGCAATGGCATGACCTCGGCTCACTGCAACCTCTACCTCCTGGGTTCAAGCGATTCTCCTGCCTCAGCCTCCCAAGCAGCTTGGATTACAGGCACCCACCACCACGCCCAGTTAATTTTTGTATTTCTTTTTTTTTTACTTTTTAATTTAATTTTATTTTATTTTTGAGATGGAGTTTCACTCTTGTTGCCCAGGCTGGAGAGAAATGCTGCGATCTCAGCTCACTGCAACCCCTGCCTCCTGGGTTCTAGTGATTCTCCCTGCCTCAGCCTCCTGAGTAGATGGGATTACAGGCACCCACTACCACGCCCAGGTAATTTTATTTTTATTATTATTATTTTTTTGAGACGGAGTGTCACTCTGTTGCCCAGGCTGGAGTGCAGTGGCGCGATCTCCACTCACTGCAAGCTCCGCCTCCCGGGCTCATGCCATTCTCCTGCCTCAGCCTCTGGAGTAGCTGGGACTACAGACGCCCGCCACCACGCCCGGAGAATTTTTTGTATTTTTAGTGGAGATGGGGTTTCACTGTGTTAGCCAGGATGGTCTCAATCTCCTGACCTCGTGATCCACCCGCCTCGGCCTCCCAAAGTGCTGGGATTACAGGCGTCAGCCACCACTCCCGGCCATTTTTTTGTATTTTTAGTAGAGATGGGGTTTCGCCATCTTGGTCAGGCTGGTCTCAAACTCCTGACCTCAGGTGATCCACCCGCCTCAGCCTCCCAAAGTGCTGGGATTATAAGTGTGAGCCACTGTGCCCGACCACCATGTGACAACTTTTAAGTAGCTGCCATGTACTTAGTAAATAGATAGGTATAATTGTGTGTGCCAAGGCAGATCGCTGCCCTTAGGACTTTATGATTTTGGTGAAAATCAAGAAAAACATACATAAAACCTTTATTTCGGCCGGGTGCTGTGGCTCATGCCTGTAATCCTAGCACTTTGGGAGGCCGAGGCGGGTGGATCATGAGGTCAGGAGATCAAGACCATCCTGGCTAAAACAGTGAAACCCCTTCTCTACTAAAAATACAAAAAATTAGCCGGACGTGGTTGCGGGCACCTGTAGTCTCAGCTACTCAGGAGGCTGAGGCAGGAGAATGGCGTGAACCTGGGAGGTGGAGCTTGCAGTGAGCCAAGATTGCCCACTGCACTCCAGCCTGGGCGACAGAGCGAGACTCCGTCTCAAAACAAAAAAAAAACAAAAAACCTTTATTTCACACTCTATGTAACAAACGTGTAGTATTACCTAGTGAAAACTGGCTGGTAAGTAATGGGTAAGTTAAGACTTGGTGTAGTTAAGACTCAATTCAATGTTAACCCAAAATTTGTATTTCTAGGGAGCTAAAAATCTTGGGGATCTTTGGCAAATTCAGTATTTTTGGGAAGAAGGAAGGAAAGGAGGGAAGGAGGAATTTTCAGGATTGAGTTGCATTTACTGCCAGTCACTATTAACCACAGTCTTCTACAGAGACCTCATGTCTTTTCATAAACCAGAACACTCCTTTAGTAATTCTGAAATGAGCAAAAGAGGTCATTTTTGGCCGGGCACAGTGGATCACACCTGTAATCCCAGCACTTTGGGAGGCCAAGGCAGGTGGATCACTTGAGCCCAGGAGTTCAAGACTAGCCTGGACAACATGGTGAAACCCCATCTCTACTAAAAACACAAAAATTAGCCAGGCATGGTGGTGCGTGCCTCTAATCCCAGCTACATGGAAGGCTGGGGCAGGAGAATCACTTGAACCCTGGAGGCAGAGGTTGCAGTGAGCCGAGATCACACCACTGCACTCCAGCCTGGGTGACAGAGCGAGACTCTGTCTCAAAAAAAAAAAAAAAAGTCATCTTTATTTTGCAGGGGGGTTAAGTCCTAACAAAGCAGCTCATTATTTGAGTATTGGGGAGGGGGTGTTTAATCTTGTTAGACAAATAAATGACTTGTTCTCCCCTAGGAGTTTGTTAATAATTACTGAAAATTGGCCGGGCGCGGTGGCTCACGCCTGTAATCCCAGCACTTTGGGAGGCCAAGGTGGGCAGATCACTTAAGTCAGGAGCTGGAGACCAGCCTGGTTAATATGGTGAAACCCCGTCTTTACTAAAAATACAAAAATTAGCCTGGGGTAGTGGCACGTGCCTGTAGTCCCAGCTACTCAAGAAGCTGAGGCAGGAGAATCGTTTCAACCCGGGAGGCGGCGGTTTCATTGAGCGGAGATCGCGCCACTGCACTCTGGTGACAGAGCGAGACTCTGTCTCAAAATAATAATAATAATAATAATAATAACAACTGAAAATCCAAAATTGAATAAGTTTCACAATGAAACCACTTTTTATTTGTTTTTGTTTGTTTGAGACAGAGTTTCATTCTTGTCACTCAGGCTCCAGTGCAATGGTGCAATCTCTGCTCACGGCAACCTCCGCCTCCGGGGTTCGAGCGAATCTCCTGCCTCAGCCTTCACGAGTTGCTGGGATTACAGGCAGGCATGAGCCACCACCCACGGCTAATTTTTTTTTTTTTTTTTTTTTTTTTGAGATGGAGTCTCACTCTGTTGCCCAGACTGGAGCGCAGTGGTACCATCTTGGCTCACTGCAACCTCGGCCTCCCGGGTTCAAGCCATTCTTCTGCCTCAGCCTCCCGAGTAGCTGGGATTACAGGTGCCCGCCACTACGCCCAGGTAATTTTTGTATTTTTAGTAGAGACGGGGTTTCACCACCTTGGCCAGGCTGGGCTGGAGCTCCTGACCTCGTGATCCACCCGCCTTAGCCTCCCGAAGTGCTGGGATTACAGGCATGAGTCGCCGTGCCTGGCAGACCCCCGTCTAATTTTGTATATTTAGTAGAGACGGGTTTTCTCCATGTTGGTCAGACTGTTCAAGAACTCCCGACCTCGGGTGATCTGCCTGCCTCAGCCTCCCAAAGGGCTGGGATTACAGGCGTGAACCACCGCGCCCGCCCACTTTTAAAAATTATATACCATAGAGGCCGGGTGCGGTGGTTCACGCCTGTAATCCCAGCCCTTTGGGAGGCTGAGGCGGGTGGATCACGAGATCAGGAGATCGAGACCGCCCTGGCTAACATGGTGAAACCCCGTCTCTACTGAAAATACAAAAATACAAAAATACAAAAAAAAAAAAAATTAGCCGGGCGTGGTGGCGGGCACCTCTAGTCCCACCTACTGGGGAGGCTGAGGCCAGGGAATGGCATGAACCCGGGAGGCAGAGCTTGCAGTGAGCAGAGATCGCGCCACTGCACTCCAGCCTGGGCGACAGAGCGAGACTCCGTCTCAAGAATAAAAAAAAAAATTATATACCATAGAAATGCCCTCATGGCCCTGTCGTGTGAAGGAAATCCTAAGATGCCCTCTGATAGCCATACATGGAATGCTAAACCTATGAAAAAGTTTTTTTTTTTTTGAGACGGAGTCTGGCTGTGTCGCCCAGGCTGGAGTGCAGTGGCGTGATCTTGGCTCACTGCAAGCTCCGCCTCCCGGTTCATGCCATTCTCCTGCGTCAGCCTCCTGAGTAACTGGGACTACAGGCGCCCGCCACCAGGCCAGGCTAATTTTTTGTATTTTTAGTAGAGACAGGGTTTCACCATGTTAGCCAGGATGGTCTCGATCTCCTGACCTTGTGTTTCGCCCGCCTCGGCCTCCCAAAGTGCTGGGATTACAGGCTTGAGCCACCGCGCCTGGCCGAAAAAGTTTTAAAGTTAAAAGAAATAAGGAAATAGATCATGAACATGTTGAAAGCTTTCTCTACAAACGTGTCCATTGCAATGCAGTTTATAAAAGCAAAACATTTGAAACAATCTAGTAATAAGGCGATTGGTTGAATGAATAATGGCACATTCACATCATAAAATACCACTCAAGGCTAGGTTGGGCGCAGTGGCTCACGCCTGTAATCCCAGCACTCTGGGAGGCCGAGGCCGGTGGATTACCTGAGGTCAGGAGTTCAAGACTAGCCTGGCCAACATGGTGAAACCCTGTCTCTACTTAAAAAATACAAAAAATTAGCTGGGCGTAGTGGCGGACGCCTGTAATCCCAGCTACTCAGGAGGCTGAGGCAGGAGAATTGCTTGAACCCAGGAGGTGGAGGTTGCAGTGAGCCAAGATCGCATCATTGCACTCCAGCCTCGGCGACAAGAGCGAAACTCCGTCTCAAAAAAAAAAAAAATACTACTCAAGGCTCCCTGTAATCCCAGCACTTTGGGAAGCCGAGGCTGGAGTTCAAGACCAGCCTGGGCAACATGGTGAAACCCCATCTCTACTACAAAATACAAAAATTAGCCGAGCGTGGTGGCGGATGCCTGTAGTCCCAGCTACTCAAGAGGCTGAGGCAGGGAGAATTGCTTGAACCGGAAGGCAGAGATTGCAGTGAGCTGAGATCACGCCACTGCACTCCAGCCTGGGAGACAGAGCGAGACTCCATCTCAAAAAATAACTAAATCCTCTCCCTCTCCCTCTCCCGCGGTCTCCCTCTCCCTCTCTTTCCACGGTCTCCCTCTGATGCCGAGCCGAAGCTGGACTGTGCTGCCGCCATCTCTGCTCACTGCAACCTCCCTGCCTGATTCTCCCGCCTTAGCCTGCCGAGTGCCTGGGATTGCAGGCGCGAGCCGCCACACCTGATGGTTTTCGTATTTTTTTGGTGGAGACGGGGTTTCGCTGTGTTGGCCGAGCTGGTCTCCAGCTCCTAACCGCGAGTGATCTGCCAGCCTCGGCCCCCCGAGGTGCCGGGATTGCAGACAGAGTCTGGTTCACTCAGTGCTCAATGGTGCCCAGGCTGGAGTGCAGTGGCGTGATCTCGGCTCGCTACAACCTCCACCTCCCAGCCGCCTGCCTTGGCCTCCCAAAGTGCGGAGATTGCAGCCTCTGCCCGGCCGCCACCCCGTCTGGGAAGTGAGGAGCGTCTCTGCCTGGCCGCCCATCGTCTGGGATGCGAGGAGCCCCTCTGCCCGGCTGCCCAGTCTGGGAAGTGAGGAGCGCCTCTTCCCGGCCGCCATCCCATCTAGGAAGTGAGGAGCGTCTCTGCCCCGTCGGCCATCGTCTGAGATGTGGGGAGCGCCTCTGCCCGGCCGCGACCCCGTCTGGGATGTGAGGAGCCCCTCTGGCCGGCAGCCGCCTCATCTGAGAAGTGAGGAGCCCATCCACCCGGCAGCCACCCCGTCTGGGAAGCAAAGAGCGTCTCCGTCCCGCAGCCACCCCTTCCGGGAGGGAGGTGGGGGGCAGCCCCCGCCCGGCCAGCCGCCCCGTCCGGGAGGGAGGTGGGGGGTCAGCCCCCGCCCGGCCAGCTGACCCGTCCGGGAGGTGGCGGGCGCCTCTGCCCGGCCGCCCCTTCTGGAAAGTGAGGAGCCCCTCTGCCTGGCCACCACCCCGTCTGGGAGGTGTACCCAACAGCTCATTGAAAACGGGCCATGATGACGATGGCGGTTTTGCGGAATAGAAAAGGGGGAAAGGTGGGGAAAAGATAGAGAAATCAGATTGTTGCTGTGTCTGTGTAGAAAGAAGTAGACATGGGAGACTTCACTTTGTTCTGTACTAAGAAAAATTCTTCTGCCTTGGGATGCTGTTGATGTATGACCTTACCCCCAACCATGTGCTCTCTGAAACATGTGCTGTGTCCACTCAGGGTTAAATGGATTAAGGGCGTGCAAGATGTGCTTCGTTAAACAGATGCTTGAAGGCAGCATGCTCCTTAAGCGTCATCACCCGCTCCCTAATCTCAAGTACCCAGGGACACAAACACTGTGGAAGGCCTCAGGGTCCTCTGCCTAGGAAAACCAGAGACCTTTGTTCACTTATTTATGTGCTGACCTTCCCTCCACTATTGTCCTATGACCCTGCCAAATCCCCCTCTGCGAGAAACACCCAAGAATGATCAATAAAAAAAATAAATAAATAAATCTAAAAAAAAATAAATAAATAACATTAAAAAAAACCCTCAGAAATAAGATGTAGAAAAATATCTACTAACTCACAAAAAAGTTCATATTATATTATATTAAGTGAAAATTTGAGGTCACAAAGCTGTTTAGTATGATTCTATTATTGTTAGAATTATTACTATTTTTATTTTTAGAGGCATGGTCTTACTCTGTCTCTCAGGCTGGGGCACAGTGGTGCAATCATAGCTCCCTGCAGCTCTGAACTCCTGCATTGAAGAGATCCTCCCACCTCAGCCTCCTGAGTAGCTGGGACTACAAGTGCTCCACGACATCTGCATGACTTTTTTTTTTTTTTTTTTTTGTAGAAATGGGATCTCACTCTGTTGCCCAGGCTGGTCTCAAACTTGTGGTCTCAAGCATCACTGAGATTACAGATGCAAGCCACTGTGCCTGGCTCTCCATTTTTATTATTTAAAGGATAGACAAAAAAGCAAATAGAAGCTAAGCACAGTAGCTCACACCTGCAATCCCAGTACTTTCAGAGGCCAAGGCAGGAGGATTGTTTAAGCCCAGGAGTTCTAGACCAGCCTGGGAAACATGGTGAAACCCCATCTCTACTAAAAATACAAAAATTGAAGCAGAAGGATCACCTGAGCTTGTGGAGGTTGAGACTGCAGTGAGCCGAGATCACACCACTGCACTGCACTCCAGCCTGGGTGACAGAGTGAGACCTTGTCTCAAAAAAAAAAAAAAAAAGGAGAGACAAAGAAAAGGCCAGGTGCGGTGGCTCATGCCTGTAATCCCAGCACTTTGGGAGGCCGAGGAGGGTGGATCACGATGTCAGGAGTTTAAGAGCAGCCTGGCCAACATAGTGAAACCCTATCTCTACTAAAAATACACAAAATTAGCCAGGCGTGGTGGTGGGTGCCTGTAATCCCAGCTACTTGGGAGGCTGAGGCAGGAGAATCGCTTGAACCCAGGAAGTGGAGGTTGCAGTGAGCCAAGATAGCACCATTGCACTCCAGCCTGGGCCACAGAGCAAGACTCTGTCTCAAAAAAAAAAAAAAAAGAAAAAGAAAGAAAGAAAAAGAAAAGAAAAATAAATAGCATCACTAAATTGATGGACATTAAAGCAAAATGTTGCCAGTGGTATCTCTTAGTGGTGAAGCTGTAAGGATTTTTGATAAACCTTGTTAATCAAAAATTAACAGACCCTGATGGCTGTTAACTGATTAACTCTGTTTTCTATTCTTCTTCTCTCTTTTTTTTTAAATAGAGACAGGGGTCTTGCTATGTTGGTCAGGCTTGTCTCCATCTCCTGGGCTCAAGTAATCCTCCCGCCTTGGCCTCCCAAAGTGCTGGATAACAGGCATGAGCCACCACACCTGACCCTAATGCTGTTTTCTAAATGTGCTATGATGAATATGAATTACTTTTGTGAAAAAAGTACAAAAACAATGAAAGGTTTTTTTTATTTGTTTTTTTGAGATGAAGTCTTGCTCTGTCGCTCAGGCTGGAGTGCAGTGACACGATCTCGGCTCACTGCAGCCTCCGCCTGCAGGTTCAAGTGATTCTCCTGCCTCAGCCTCCCGAGTACAGGCATGTGCCACCATGCCCAGCTAATTTTTATATTTTTAGTAGAGACGGGTTTTTACCATGTTGGCCAGGCTGGTCTCGAACTCCTGACCTCAAGTGATCCACCCACCTCAGCCTCCCAAAGTGCTGGGATTACAGGTATGAGCCACCGTGCCTGGCCTGAATAACTGAAACTCGAATCAGAAATGAAGCAGTGTGTCAGCTATTAGGACATTAGACTGGGTACACTTGAAAATATCACAGTGCGGTTAAGATTTATTTCGTTCTCCTTTGCAGGGGTTGGCAACTACAGTGAGTGAGCCCAGTCTCACCATGCCCGTTCGTCTATGTCTTGTCTGTCCATTCTCCTTTCCTGCAACAAGGGCACAGTTGAGTAAAGACAGAAACCATATGGCCTGGTAAACTGAAAATATTTACTATCAGGTTCTTTGCTGAAAAAGTTTGCAGGCCAAGCACGGTGACTCACGCCTATAATCCCAATGCTTTGGGAGGCCGATGTGGGAGGATTGCTTGAGCGAGCAGTTGGAGACTAGCCTAGGCAACATAGCAAGACCCTGTCCCTACAAAAAAT
This sequence comes from Homo sapiens, assembly GCF_000001405.40. NCBI lineage: Eukaryota > Metazoa > Chordata > Mammalia > Primates > Hominidae > Homo > Homo sapiens. The sequence goes on from NC_000007.14 coordinate 66,617,656, forward strand.
TAAAAAATTAGCTGACCATGGTGGTGCATGTCTGTAGTTCCAACTACTTGGGAGGCTAAGGCGGGAGAATAGCTTGAGCCTGACAATTCAGGGCTGCAGTGAGCATGATCGCACTACTGCACTCTGAGACCCTGTCTCTTAAAAAAAGAAAAGTTTTGCAGACCCCTGCTCTTTTTTTTTTTTTTTTTTTTTTTTTTTTTTTTTTGAGACGGAGTCTCACTCTGTTGCCCAGGCTGGAGTGCAGTGGTACAATCTCGGCTCATTGTAAGCTCTGCCTCCAAGGTTCAAGTGATTCCCCTGCCTTAGCCTCCCAAGTAGCTAGGATTACAGGCACCCACCACCACACCCAGCTAATTTTTGTTGTTTTAATAGAAACGAGGTTTCACCATGTTGGCCAGGCTGGTCTCAAACTCCTGACCTCAAGTGATCCACCCACCTCTGTCTCCCAAAGTGCTGGGATTACAGGCGTGAGCCACCGCGCCGGGCCCCCCTGCTCTTACAGATTATTTAAATCCTATACTGCCTTGGGATATTTTAATATTTCACTATGCCTTAATGTTTCTAGCCAACCAAGAGAACTCTCAGCTGGCAGTTCCCAACAAATGTCAGAACTCCAGAGCTAGAAGCCACCAAATGGCAACTTGTTTTTCCCTGGTACTCTACTCCTGCCTCTGAGAGAAGCAGGTGCATCCCAGCCTCAAATCCAATGCTGTTCTTAAGAGGGTTGGGAGGGCTGGGAGAAGGAAGCCTGCAGAGCGGAGAAGCCTTAGAAGATGGGGACATTAGGAGACAGGGTTCATTTTATCTGGGTGTCAGGGATTATATTTCCAGCGAAATTCTTTTTCCACTTAATGGAATCATACTGAGGTAATAGATATAGAAGCTGTTTGGTGCTTAAATCTGAAATGATGCACCAGTGGAAATGACACAGAAACTGGCTATGGTGTGGGACGAGAACTGAAGAAGTGGCTCCAATATACTTACACCCATGAGTGGGATTTGACCACAGTGCTTCCAGAGGTGGCTAGAACAAGAGCTCACTTAGAGATGTAAGGATTGAGCTAGGCACAGTGGCTCACACCTGTAATCTTAGCACTTTGGGAATCTGAGGCAGGAGGATCACTTGAAGCCAGGAACTCAGGACAAGCCTGGGCAACATAACAAGACCCTCATCTCTACAAAAAGTTTTTTAAACTACCCGTGCGGAAGTGGCTCATTCTGTAATGCCAGCTACTTGGAAGGCTGAGGTGGGAGGATCCCTTGAGCCCAGGAGTTTGAGGCTGCAGTGAGCTACCATGGTAAAGGGGTGGGCTGCCCCTCCACACCTGTGGGCATTTCTCGTCAGGTGGAATGAGAGACTTGAGAAAAGAAAGAGACACAGAGACAAAGTATAGAGAAAGAAAAGTGGGCCCAGGGGACCGGTGCTCAGCATACGGAGGACCAGCGCCGGCCCCAGTCTCTGAGTTCCCTTAGTATTTATTGATCATTATCTGGCGTTTCTCGCAGAGGGGGATGTGGCAGGACAATAGGGTAATAGTGGAGAGAAGGTCAGCAGGAAAACATGTGAACAAATGTCTCTGCATCATAAACAAGGTAAAGAAAAAAGTGCTGCGCTTTTGATGTGCATATACATAAACATCTCAACGCCTTAAAGAGCAGTATTGCTTCCAGTATGTCTCACCTCCAACCCTAAGGTGGTTTTCTCCTATCTCAGTAGATGGAATATACAATCAGGTTTTACATCAACACATTCCATTGCCCCAGGGACGAGCAGGAGATAGATGCCTTCCTCTTATCTCAACTGCAAAGAGGCCTTCCTCTTTTACTAATCCTCCTCAGCACCGACCCTTTATGGGTGTTGGGCTGGGGGGCGGTCAGGTCTTTCCCTTCCCATGAGGCCATATTTCAGACTATCACATGGGGAGAAACCTTGGACAATACCTAGCTTTCCTAGGCAGAGGTCCCTGCGGCCTTCTGCAGTGTTTTGTGTCCCTGGGTACAAGAGAGTAGGGAGTGGTGATGACTTTTAACAAGAATGCTGCCTTCAAGCATTTGTTTAACAAAGCACATCCTGCATAGCCCTTAATCCATTAAACCTTGAGTTGACAGAGCACATGTTTCTGGGAGCTCAGGGTTGGGGGTAGGGTTACAGATTAACAGCATCTCAAGGCAAAAGAATTTTTCTTAGTACAGAACAAAATGGAGTCTCTTATGTCTACTTCTTTCTACATAGACACAATAACAGTCTGATCTCTCTTTCTTTTCCCCACATGATGGTGCCACTGTACTCCAGCCTGGAGGACAGCGGGAGATCCTGTCTCCAAAAATAAATAAATAAATAAATAAATGAGAAAGAAACATAATGATGAAAAAGCAACATGCAATATTATGCAAGACAACTATGGATTCTCAAACTAACTTCAAGGAACACTATTTTCTTTCTTTCTTTTTTTTTTTTTTGAGACGGAGTCTCGCTCTGTCACCCAGGCTGGAGTGCAGTGGCACGATCTCGGCTCACTGCAAGCTCCACCTCCCAGATTCACGCCATTCTCCTGCCTCAGCCTACGGAGTAGCTGGGACTACAGGCGCCCGCCACCACGCCCGGCTAATTTTTTGTATTTTTGGTAGAGACGGGTGTTTCACCATGTTAACCAGGATGGTCTTGATCTCCTGACCTCATGATCTGCCCACCTTGGCCTCCCAAAGTGCTGGGATTACAAGCATGAGCCACGGCACCCTGCTTCTTCTTTTTTTTGATATGAAGTCTCACTCTGTCACCCAGGCCGGAGTGCAGTGGCGCCATCTCAGCTCATTGCAACCTCTGCCTCCCGAGTTCAAGCGATTCTCCTGCCTCAGCCTCCTGAGTAGCTGGGACTACAGGTTCATGCCACCACGCCTGGCTAATTTTTTGTATTTTTTTGTAGTAGAGACGGGTTCACCATGTTGGCCAGGCTGGTCTCGAACTAGTGACCTTGCAATCCACCTCCTTCGGCCTCACAAAGTGTTGAGATTACAGGCATGAGCCACTTCAATATAATTATATTAATAATTTTATTAAATAAAATAAATAAAAATAGAAAACAGAATTCATCAAAAGCTTACATGTAGGCTGGGCATGGTGGCTTATGCCTGTATTCCCAGCACTTTGGAAGGTTAGGACAAAAGGATCACTTAAGGCCAGAAGTTCGAGACCAGCCTCAGCACCATAGTGGGACCCTGTCTCTACACAAAATTTTAAAACTTTAAAAATTGTCTGGGCATGGTGGTGCATGCCTATAGACCTAGGTCCTCGTGAGGCTAAAATAGGAGGATCACTTGAGCCCAGGAGTTTGAGGCTGCAGTGAGCTATGATCACACCACTGCACTCCAGCCTGGGCAACAGAGCGAGACCCTGTCTCAAAGAAAAAAAGACGAGCCTGGGCAACGTAGTGAGACTCCAACTCTATGAAAAATTTTAAAAATCAGCAGAACATGGTGGTGCACTCCGGTAATCCCAGCTACTTGGGAGGCTGATGTGGGGGAATCACTTGAGCTTGGGAGGTCGTGCCTGCAGTGAGCCATGTTCACACCACTGCACTCCAGCCTGGGTAACAGAGTGAGACCTTGTCTCAAAAAACAAAAACAAAAAAAAAAAGGAAAACAAAGACCGGGCGCGGTGGCTCACGCCAGTAATCCCAGCACTTTGGGAGTCTGAGGCGAGTGGATCACGAGGTAAGGAGTTCAAGACTAGCCTGGCCAAGATGGTGAAACCCCATCTCTACCAAAAAATACAAAAAATTAGCTGGGTACGGTGGCAGGCGCCTGTAATCCCAGCTACTTGGGAGGCTGAGGCAGGAGAATCACTTGAACTCGGAGGGCGGAGGTTGCAGTGAGCTGAGATTGTGCCACTGCACTCCAGCCTGGGCGACAGAGTGAGACTCTGTCTCAAAAAAAAAAAAAAAAAAAAAAAAAGGAAAGAAAAAGAAAGGAAAAAGAAAAGGCTGGGTGCGGTGGCTCATGCCTGTAATCCCAGTACTTTGGGAGGCCAAGGCGGATGGATCACAAGGTCAGGATAAGGAAGGAGGCTGGGCGGGAGGCTGAGGCGGGCGGATCACGAGGTCAGGAGATCGAGACCATCCTGGCTAATATGGTGAAACCCCGTCTCTACTAAAAATACAAAAAAAATTAGCCGGTCATGATGGCGGGCGCCTGTGGTCCCAGCTATTCAGGAGGCTCAGGCAGGAGAATGGCGTGAACCCGGGAGGCGGAGTTTGAAGTGAGCCGAAATCGCGTCACTGCACTCCAGCCTGGGCGACAGAGCGAGACTCCGTCTCAAAAAAAAAAAAAAAAAAAGATAAGGAAGGAGCCCACTACTACTCCTGCTGCCCTTCTCCCACGACATTGCCTAGTTCACAAAACGGGAGGAAAGAGAGAAAGCAAAAAGTTGGAAAGAAACAGAAGATAAGTAGCCAGACAACCTTGGCACCACCATCCGGCCCTAGGAATTAAAAAAAATAATAACTACTTGTGTTATCTGTAAATTCCACACATTGTATGAAAAAGCATTGCAAGACCTAGCTCCTCGGGAGGCTAAAATGGGAGGATCACTTGAGCCCAGGAGTTTGAGGCTGCAGTGAGCTATGATCACACCACTGCACTCCAGCCTGGGCAACAGAGTGAGACTCTGTTTTTAAAAAAACAACAAAAGGAAAAGAAGCCTACATGTAAAGAGCTTGAGTTGAGAGCACTTCAGGACCTGTGTCATCGTGCACAGTGAAGATATCTATGGTGACTAACGTGCATCCCAAACCAAAGAGCCCTCCCTGAATGCTTTGCTCTGGTTAATACTCCCAGGACGCTCACCACTTAAGACCCTTCCCACCAGCCCAGCATTATAGTATCCTGGGATTCCCTACCTCTATGATATTAATAACAGCAATTTATTCCTCTATATGCTAATAGCACTAATGAAATAGATGAGAAAAAAATCTATGGTCATTGGTAACTATTTGAGCTTGATCATAGCACAAACTTCTTTCACATATCAATTTATTGAGTTTCTACTATGCGCCAGGCATTGTACTAGACTGCGGAGATATTACAGAGATGAATAGAACAGCAAAATGGATGCTTCCATCTGTCTTTTTTTTTTTTTTTTTTTTTAGAGACAGAGTCTTGCTTTGTCACCCAGGAAGTGCAGTGGTGCGATCTCCACTCACTGCAACCTCTGCCTCTCAGGTCCAAGCAATTATCCAGCCTCAGCCTCCTGAATAGTTAGGATTACAGGCACCCACCACCATGCTCAGGTAATTTTTGTATTTTTAGTAGAGACGAGGTTTCGCCATGTTGGCCAGGCTGGTCTCGAACTCCTGACCTCAGGTGATCCGCCCGCTTTGGCCTCCCAAAGTGCTGGGGTTACAGGCATGAGCCACATGGCACCCATCCATCCATCCAGTCTTTTGACATCCATAAAGCTGGAGACCAACACTGGGACCTCTGCTACAGCCACAGCAAAAAAGAAAAGTCTTAACATATTCGTGTCCAAGCTTGCCTGCAGAAAGAGCAAAAAGTATATGGTCTTCAATCCGGTGTTCACATTTGCCCTCCAAATCTCCAGGGTATTGATCCGCTTGGTGAAGGCTGGGTCACCTGCAGAACCCAGAACACAAGGTACTCTGGGAAAAAGTAACTTTTAGATTTCAAGCTTCCAGCATTCAAGTGAGGCACACTTTAGGGAGGCCAGAAAAGAGATGAGAGGGCTGGGAGAGGTGGCTCACACCTGTAATCCCAGTACTTTGGGAGGCCGAGGCAGGTGGATCACTTGAGATCAGGAGTTGGAGACCAGCCTGGCCAACATGGTAAAACCCCGTCTCCATTAAAATACAAAAAAAATTTAGCCAGGCGTGGTGGTGTGCGCATGTAATTCCAGCTATTCGAGAGGCTGAGGCAGGAGAATCCCTTCAACCAGGGAGGCAGAGGTTGCAGTGAGTCGAGATTACACCACTATACTCCAGCATGGACAACAAAGTGACACTGTGTCTCAAAAAAAAAAAGAGATGAGAAAGCCAATCTGAACTATTGGCCACATTTACGAAGTGGACAATTGGAAGAAAAGTCCAAGCTAAGGAATAACAGTGGGTAATGAATGGGGGTGTATCAGCGACTGAGGGGGAGTTGAGAGCAGTAGGCCCTTAGCCAAGCTTTTATGCCAGGGGAGGCTGCTGGCAAAAAAACTTTTTTCTTTTCTTTTTTTTTTCTTGAGACGGGGTCTCACTCTGTCACCCAGTCTGGAGTGCAATGGCATGATCTCAGCTCACTGCAACCGCCACCTTCCTGGTCCAAGTGACGGTCCTGCCTCAGCCCCTTGAGTAGCTGGAACTACAGGCAGTCACCACCACACCTGGCTAATTTTTGATTTTTGTATTTTTATTAGAGACCAGGTTTCACCATGTTGGCCAGGTTGGTCTCTAACTTCTGATCTCAGGTGATCTGCCCGACTCTGCCTCCCAAAGTGCTGGGATTACAGGTGTGAGGTACCGTGTTCAGCCCCTTCTCATGGATTCTGCAGTGTTGGATTCTAGAATTAGTCACTGGCTTGCTTCCTTTCCCATTCTGCATATTCTCTCAAAGTGACTTCATCTGCTTTCTTGGTTTCAATTACCACCTGTATATAGTAAAGATTCCTAAATTTAAATTGCCAACCCAGAGTTTTCTCTTGAACTTCAAATTTTTATCCTACGTGAAACCGACAGTGCCTACTGATGTCCCCAGGGGCACCTCAAACTTACCATGTCCAAATCTAACATCATCTTCCCACCAAATATTTTCATCTGTCTTTATTTCCCTCAATTTTTCAATTTTTTTTTTGACAAAGTCTCACTCTGTCACCCAGCCTGGAGTGCAGTGGTGTGATCTCGGCTCACTGCAACCTCTGCTTCCTGGGTTCAACTGATTCTCATGCCCCAGCCTCCTGAGTAGCTAGGATTACAGGTGCCTGCCACCACGCCTGGCTAATTTTTGTATTTTAGTAGAGATAGGGTTTCACCATGTTGGCCAGGCTGGTCTCAAACTCCTGACCTCAGGTGATCCACCTGCCTCAGCCTCCCAAAGTGCTGGGAATACAGGTGTGAGCCACCACGCTTGGCTAGTTCCTTCAATTCTTTCAATTATTTGTCCCTTAGCCAAGAGGAATGAAGGGAGAAATATCAGTTGAGAGGGTGGAGTTAGAAGTTTGGCCTTCACTTGCTCTTTCATCCTTAAAAAGTGTTTTTTGGCCAGGCACAGTGGCTCACACCTGTAATCCCAGCACTTTGGGAGGCCTAGGTAGGTGGATCACCTGAGGTCACCTGAGTACAGGTGACCTGTACTCCCAGCTACCTGGGGGCTGAGGTGGGAGGATTCCTTGAGCCCAGCAGGCAGAGGTTGCAGTGAGCTGAGTTCACGCCACTGCACTCTAGCCTGGGTGACAGTGAGACCCTGCCTCAAAAAAAAAAAAAAAAAAATTGATGAGAGGGGAGAATGGGATCTGCAAAAAAGATAGAAATGAGATGGAGATCAGAGGAGAGCCAGAAGAGGGTTGTGAAATTCAAAGGAGTGAAGTGAAGTAGGGCTAGGTGAGGTGGCTCATGCCCGTAATCCCAGAACTTTGGGAGGCCGAGGAGGGCGGATCACCAGAGGTCAAGAGTTCAAGACCAGCCTGGACAACATGGTGAAACCCCATCTCTTCCAAAACTACAAAAATGTAGCCAGGCATAGTGGCACACATTGGTGGTCCAGCTACTTGGGAGGCTGAGGATGGAGGATCACTTGAACTCAGGGGGTGGAGTTGCAGTTAGCCAAGATCACACCACCACACTCCAGCCTGGGCAATAGAGTGAGACCCCATCTCAAAAAATAAAAACAAACAACAACAAAAAAACAAAGGAGTGAGAAAGGAGGTAGGACTGGACTCTGGAGGTGGAACTCAGACACCACAACAAATTGAAGACTAGCTAAAACAGGTCTGGGGTGGAAGCAGCTTTCCATAAGATACACACACAAGTGTGCATGGTCAGTTTACCATTGCCATAGCAACACTGCCCCTTTCCACAGCAGTGACCCAATGACCTGACCCTCAAGTTACCAACCTCATCCTAGAAATTGCTATGTAAACTGCCCCTCAATTTGCATATAATTAAAAGTTGGTATAAATATAAGTGCAGAACTGCCTCTGAGCTGCTACGCTGGGCACACTGCTTATGGGGTAGCCCTGCTCTGCAAGGTGCAGTATCTCTGCTGCTGCTGTACATTGCTGCTTCAATAAAAGTTGCTGTGTAGGCCAGGCGTGGTGGCTCATGCCTGTAATCCCAGCACTCTGGGAGGCCGATACGGGCAGATCACCTGAGGTCAGGAGATCAAGACCATCCTGGCTAACACGGTGAAACCCCGTCTCTACTAAAAAAAATACAAAAAATTAGCCGGGCGTGGAGGCGGGCGCCTGTAGTCCCAGCTACTCGGGAGGCTGAGGCAGGAGAATGGCGTGAACCCAGGAGGTGAAGGTTGCAGTGAGCCGAGATTGCGCCACTGCCCTCCAGCCTGGGCGACAGAGACTCTGTCTCAAAATAAATAAATAAATAAGATAAAAATAAAATAAAATTCCCTGACTGCTTAAACTACTTTTGGTTGCAGTTTCTTGGTACAGCTGAAACATCCCAATTGGCATAAGGATTGAAAGAGGAAATTTTGTTACAGGTATTTTTGAGAAAGACTAGAGTATAATGGAAGACAAGAGAGGGCCTCAAGGGGCCTCCTTTAGGGCAGTGTTACTCAAAGTGTGGTTCATGGACCAGCAGCATCATAATTATCCTGGGATTTGTTAGGAATGCAAATTACCAAGTGCTTCACCCAAGACTGATCAACTCAGATTCTCTGAGGGTGGGACTGGGGCTCTGTTTATTTTTTTATTTTAACTTTTTATGGATACATAATATTTTACATATGTATGGGATATCTGTGATATTTTGTTACGTGCATAGGATGTGTAATGATTAAGTCAGAGCATTAGTGGTATCCATCACTTTGGGAATTTACTCATGTGTTGGAAACAATTCAAGTCCTCTCTTCTAGATTTTTGTTATTGTTGTTGTTGAAACAGAGTCTCTGTCACCTAGGCACTGGAATGCAGTGGTGCAATCACAGCTCACTGCAGCTTCGACCTCCCTGGCTCGCATGATCCTCCTTGCTTTACCCTCCTAGTAGCTGGGACTACAGATGTGAGCCACCACACTCAGCTATATATATATTTTATTTTTTGTAGAGGCAGGGTCTAACTACGTTGTCCAGGCTGGTCTTGACCTCCTGGGCTCAAGGTATCCTCCCGCCTTGGCTTCCCAAAGTGTCTTCCAGCTATTTTGAAATATACAATCCATTGTTGTTAATTATAGTCACTACTCTGCTTTTGAACCATAGAACATAAACCTTTTTATCTAACTGTATGTCCTTCATTAACCTAAATCTCTTCATTTCTCACCCAACCGTTCCCAGCCTCTGGTTTCTTTCTACTCTCTAAATTTATGAGATCGATTTGTTTTAGCTGCCACAGATAAGAACATGCAATATTTATGTCTTTCTGTGCCTGGCTTATTTCACTTAACATAATGACGTCCATCCACGTTGCTGCAGATGACGTGATTTCATTCCTTTTCATCTGTGTTTAAACAAGGTCTCCCTCCAGGGATTTTGATGCAACTGAAGTTGGAGAAAACACAGACCTAGGACACTCCTGCAGCTGGGAGTGCGATGGTCTAACAGAGGAAGTGCTATGCCACCAGCTCATCTTTGCCATCCTGGAGCTGTCTAATCTACGACTCAGTTTTCTTTTCTGTCACTACACTGTGAGAATGAGATGAGGAACTGGGTGTGAAAACGGTTTGAAAAGGAGAAGCATGGTTGCACACGCCTGCGATCCCAGCACTTTGGGAGGCTGACGAGGGAGGACAGCTTGAGGCAAGGAGTTTGAGACCAGCCTGGGCAACATGACAAGACCCCATTTCTTAAAAAAAAAAAAAAAAAAAAATTTTTTTTTCTTTTTTGAGACGGAGTTTCGCTCTTGTTGCCCAGGTTGGAGTATAGTGGCCGTGATCTCGCCTCACTGCAATCTCCATCTCCTGGGTTCAAGCGATTCTCCTGCCTCAGCCTCCCTAGTAGCTGGGATTGCAGGTGTGCCACCATGCCTGGCTAATTTTGTATTTTTAGTAGAGATGAGGTTTCACCATGTTGGCCAGGCTGGTCTCAACTTCCTGACCTCAGGTGATCCACCCGCATCGCTTACCAAAGAGCCAGGATTACAGGCGTGAGCCACTGCGCCCGGCCAAAATTTTAAAAAATCAGCTGAGTGTGGTGGTGCGCGTCTGTGGTCCCAGCTACTCGGGAGGCTGGGGCGGGAGGATTGCTTGAGCCCAGGGGTTGCAATGAGCTATGATTGCGCCACTGCACTTCAGCCTGGGTAACAGAGTGAGACTTTGTCTTTTAAAGAAAGGAGAAAATGGCTTGAACGGGCTAAGAACCTTGACCCCCAGGAGACTCCCTGCGCTGATAGAGCCTCTAGGGCTGGACTCCGCCTCCCAGGGAGCCGGGAGCATCTTGGGGAAGGGCCTGTCTCCATCTGTGTGTCCCGGTGGAAAAACGGTCACGGTGGGGAGTCACTGTCATTATTCATTGAACTCAAGCGCTCCTATTTTGGGTTTTCTCGTTCGGATTTCTGCGCGAGCGAGTGAGGAAGAACTGGACACCCGGGCGGTGCCCTGCGGCTCGGGGCGGGGCCAGCCGCGGTGGCGTGTCCGCAGCCACCTCAGCCCTCCTCCCGCCACATCCTCCAGGAAAGGCTGCTCAGGCCTTCCATTGAGGAGACAAGGACCCGCTGCTCTGGGGCCAGACACACGAGTAAGTCGTGACCCCCTGTGTGAAGGGATAAGGCGTCTACCCTGACGCGGGTGAGAACCCTCTTCACGGCAGACTCCGACGCCCAGTTATGAGAGCGTAGCGGCGCACCACCGCCGGGTCTCTCGGAGAGGGCGCGCCCGCTGGCCAGAGGACCAATCAGTGCACGGCAGGCTCGCAGGCCGCCCCCCCCCCCCCCCCCCAACCCAGGGACCACTCAGGCGCCGGCCGCTGGCGCTGCCTGCTCTTCGACTGGGCGAGCTTCCTGCCAATCAGGGCGGAACCAGCGCGGCGTCGGCCAGTAGCGGGAGGCGGTCGGGTCAGGCCCCAGCTGGGCGCGAGCGGGTCGGCGTTGAGGGAGCCACCGCCCTCCCGCCTGCGCACTGCCTCTCGCCCCCCTCCGGCCAGCCCGCAGCCGGCCGCGTCATGCCAGGCGCTGCTCGGCGGTAGGGAGTGCCCGGGGCCGCCGCCTCCGCCCGCCCGAAGCCGCGCCCACTGCCCAGAGCCAGAGGGATGGTGGTAGTCACGGGGCGGGAGCCAGACAGCCGTCGTCAGGACGGTGCCATGTCCAGCTCTGACGCCGAAGACGACTTTCTGGAGCCGGCCACGCCGACGGCCACGCAGGCGGGGCACGCGCTGCCCCTGCTGCCACAGGAGGTACCCGGGCGGGCGGCGGGCCGCGGGGCGTGGGGAGGGGCGCGGGGGAGAAGCGGGCGCGGGGCATAGCGGTCCTCGGCGGGTGGGCGGGGCCGGGGTTGGGGGCGGGGCCCGCGGACTTGCGCCCCTCCCCCGCCCACCTGCAACTCCCCCGCCCACCTGCACCCCTACCCACCCACCTTCAACCCCTGTCAATTACACCCACTAGGTGTGCTTCCCCACCCCCTACACCCTCCGCCCAGTAGTCACTGGGGTGATTTACTCCCATCGCCATGTCCCACTTTTACCGAAGACAGGAGGGAGGGTGGGCCGTGGGAGGGGGACCCTGGAGCCCCGAGAGCTGATGGTGTGTCTGACCAGGCACCGTAGCTCGAGCCTGTAATCCCAACACATTGGGAGGGAGGATCGCTTGAGGGCAGGAGTTGGAGGCCAGCCTGGGCAACATAGCGAGGCCCCGTCCCTACTACGACTGGAAAAACAAAGGCATTTTGGGTTGGATGAATAAAAAAAAGAAAAGAAAAAGATGTCTTCTAGAGAATCCAACAGGATGCTGTAGTGGTTGCCCACACCTAGTCTCCAGCTACCTAAGGAACAAGGCAAGGAGCTGTCTGCACATAAGGGGCAGGCCAGTTCATAGATGTAGGCACGGTCACCTGGCATCCCATGGCTTTCACTCACAGGCTGCTGTGCTCTGGTGCACAGGGGCTTCCACGGGTCTTACTTAATGTGTGTGATACTATCATGTCAACACCTGAAATGACACTCAAGAGACGGGAGAAGATACCAGGCATGGTGGCTCACATCTGTAATCTCAGCAGTTTGGGATGCTGAGGTGGGAGGATTGCTTGATCCCAGCAGTTAGAGACTAGTCAGGGCAACAGTGAGACCCTGCCTCTACAAAAATGAAAATTAGCCAGGCTTGGTGGTGTGTGCCTGTAGTCCCAGGTGCTCAGGAAGGTGAGTTGGGAGGATTGCTTGAGCCCTGGAGGTTGAGGCTGCAGTGAGCTGTAATTGTGCCACTGTACTCCAGCCTGGGTGTGATAGAGTAAGACCGTACCTACAAACAAACAAAAACAAAAAAAGCAAGAGAAGGGAAACGATGCCAGGTGTGGTGGCTTACACTTGTAATCCCAGCACTTTGGGAGGTCAAGGCAGGAGGATGGTTTGAGGCCAGGAGTCTGGGACCAGCTTGGGCAACACAGACTCCATCTCTACAAATAAAAAATAAAGAGGAGGGAAGGTGAAGCATTACTGGACACCGAAGATGGCTTCTAGGAGGCAGGGACTAAGGTAGTGCCAGATCCAGGAGCATGTGGTATGCGGAGTCCCAGGACAATGGAGGCCCTCAACAATTGAGGCCCTCAACAGGCTGGGCTAGGTGATGCTCTTGGGAAGCAGATAGTGTTGTGCTGGGATTGCAAGCCCCATACACACAATGCCATGGGAAAATGAGCAAAAATCTAGAAGTAATCTCTGCAATTGGAAAAAAGTCATTAGTCACAGTGGTGCTATTTTTTTGTGCACTGTCATTGGGAAAATGATATGGTTTGAGGGAAAGAGCACAAGACCACAGATTGCAGACCAGGGCCCCACCACCAGTTCCCCCCACTGATGACATTGCCCCATGTGAGCTCCAAAACTGTTTCCGATGGCTTTTGTCCTCTCTGCTTCAATCCTCTCATCTCTAATATGGAGCAAGCACTTGGATTGGTATGAAGTATCTTTAGAAAAGGTTTAAAGAGCTCCAGAAATGTTAAGTATTATTATTCCAAAATGATATCTGAGCCCTTGATATACACATAAAATGGTTTTAGAGGACCTACAGAATAAGCGCAAGGCATTTTCATGTCCTGTGGGTGCAGAAGAGTAACAGTGCATACACACACGGAAGTGTAACTACCTGTCTATTTCTTTCATTCATTCGGTGAATTTTGGGTCTTTATTTGAGCCAGGCGCTGCACAAGGCCCTGGGTCAGCTTTATTTAATGTATTTGTACCCTATTTTATTTCACAAAGGATTTGAAAGCTGGGAAAGGTACTGTGTAGATAAGCAGACTTTCACTGGAGCAGGAGAGATGTAATATTGAAAAGGATGCATGGCTATAATCCCAGCACTTTGGGAGGCCAAGGCAGGAAGATCACTTGAGGTTAGGACTTTGAGACCAGCTTGGCCAACATGGTGAAACCCCATCTCTACTAAAAATACAAAAATTAGTTGGGTGTGGCCATGCCCACCTGTAGTCCCAGCTACTTTGGAGGCTGGGGCAGCAGAATCTCTTGAACCCGGGAGGCAGAGGTTGCAGTGAACCGAGATCGTGCCATTGCACTCCAGCCTGGGTGTTGCAATGAGATTCCGTCTCAAAAAAAAAAAAAAAAGATGCATAGGGATACAATTTGAATTGATCTGGAGGAAGTTTGTGGGAAGATTAAAGAGAACTTAAACTGACCTCATTTTTTCAAATGCAGTTTGGTAGAAACCACAAGCAGTGCAAAACAGGAAAAAAAAAAAAGCCTTGCATTTTAAGGGAAACCTCGAGCTTCTTAGGGCACATTTATACCATCATTTTCATGTTCCTCACTCAGCCCTTACCTCCAGAACCTTAGCTGGACCGGAAACCAGGCTCACTCTACAGATTAGGAGAGGAGTAGATGCCTGGAAGTATTCAACACACAACTACTGAGCTCTGCTGTGGGCAGCCCATGATTGGTGACCAAGATGCTTTCCCTGTCTTTGGGAAGCTTGGGGTCTAGTGGAGTGAATTGACAGAGGGAAATAATTGGCGATGTATCGTGCTAGGTGCTATTATAGAGGAGAATATGACACACGGTGAAGGCACAGTCGAAGAATGTGTCATTAACTCTGTCCTAGGGGCAGGTGAGGGACAGTAGACAGAAATGCTCACAGATGAGGGGAACTTGAATAGAAATTTCTAGAATGAGTAGATGCCACTAAACTGTATGGTGTGTTGGTGTGAATTAGAAAAAGGGCACATAGCAGGCCGGGCGTGGTGGCTCACGCCGGTAATCCCAGCACTTGGGGAGGCCAAGGCGGGCGGATCATGAGGTCAGGAGATCGAGACAATCCTGGCTAACACGGTGAAACCCTATCTCTACTAAAAATACAAAAAATTAGCCAGTCGTGGTGGCAGGCACCTGTAGTCCCAGCTACTCGGGAGGCTGAGGCAGGAGAATGGTGTGAACCCGAGAGGCGGAGGTTGCAGTGAGCCGAGATCGCGCCACTGAACTCCAGCCTGGGTGACACAGGCTGGGACTCCGTCTCAAAAAAAAAAAAAAAAAGAAAAAGGGCACATAGCAGATGACTCTCATCCAGGTGCTTTTATGCAGTGAACAACCTATAACACTGTATGGGTCCATTTAACTTGCCATATAGACAGAAGAAGGAGACTGGTAAGAGCATTTTGGGCAAAGAAGACAATGTGAGCAAGAGCACTAAGATAGTAAATTCAGGAAGTGAAAGGACACTGAAGGCTTGAGCTCTAGAGCAGCGATAATGGAGTTGAGGTGGAGAGACCTGATTTAAAAGCTATCAGGGGGCCAGGCACAGTGGCTCATGCCTGTAATCCCAGCACTTTGGGAGGCCGAGGCAGGTGGATCATGAGGTCAGGAGATCGAGACCATCCTGGCTAACGCAGTGAAACCCCATCTCTACTAAAAAAATATATATATATATACAAAAAATTAGCCGGGTGTGGTGGAGGGCGCCTGTAGTCCCAGCTACTCCGGGAGGCTGAGGCAGGAGAATGGCGTGAACCCGGGAGGCGGAGCTTGCAGTGAGCCAACATCACGCCACTGCACTCCAGCCTGGGAGATGAGTGAAACTCCATCTCAAAAAAAAAAGAGCTATGAGGGTTAGAATGGGTAGGACTTGGCAGATGATGAGGGTGGGGCAGAGGGAGGAGAGAGAAGAAAGTGTTCAGATGGACCCGTGGGCTTGAGTGACTGAATGAATGGTGTGGCACCAATCAGACCCCAGGGATTGAAGATGGAGCAGCCCCAGCTCTCATTCCCCGTTGCCTGCCTGAGAGCCCTGGTGATTTCTTTCCAGTTTCCTGAGGTTGTTCCCCTTAACATCGGAGGGGCTCACTTCACTACACGCCTGTCCACACTGCGGTGCTACGAAGACACCATGTTGGCAGCCATGTTCAGTGGGCGGCACTACATCCCCACGGACTCCGAGGGCCGGTACTTCATCGACCGAGATGGCACACACTTTGGGTATGTCTCTCCCTCTACAATCAACTTTGTAGTCCTAGCAGGTGATTAGCGTAGGCTTGAGTATGGGACCTTGATATCTTCCATAGTACCTAGAAGAGGAGATAGCATATTGATGAAATTTAATAAATGGGTTTATTGAAAGAGATCAATTTTTTTTTTTTTTTTTGCCAAAGGAGACAAAGACAGCCAGAGAAATTCGAAATAACACACTGGCTGGATGAAATTGCTTCAATCATAGACAATTAAACAATTTTTATTTTCAGCTCTGCGCGGTGCTCATGCCTGTAATCCCAGCACTTTGGGAGGCTGAGGCAGGTAGATCACTTGAGGCCAGGAGTTCCAGACCAGCTCATTACAGCATGGTGAAACCCCATCTCTACTAAAAATACAAAAATTAGCTGGGTGTGGTGGCTCATACCTGCAATCCCAGCTACTCAGGAAGCTGAGGTCGAAGAATCGCTTGAACCCAGGAGGCAGAGGTTGCAGTGACCCGAGATCACGCCTCTGCGCTCCAGCCTGGGCGACACGAGATTCCATCTCAAAAAACAAAACAAAATTTCATTTTTATTTATTTATTATTTATTTATTTATCTCATTATACACCCACACACACAGATGTACACATACATGCACACATATATATATATGTATATATGGGTGTGTGTATACATATATATATATATATATATATATGTATATATATGAGCTCTGATGCACTGAGGCTTCCACTGGTCTTGATGTGTGTGATTCTATCTATCTATCTATCTATCTATCTATCTATCTATAAAAATAAAGATAGGATCTTGCTGTGTTGCCCAGACTGGTCTCAAGCTCCTGGCCTTAGGCAGTCCTCCCACCTTGGCCTCCTAAAATGCTGGTATTACAGTATTTATTTAAGTTTTAGGTGTTGTTTTTTTTTCGGGGGCTGTTTTTTTGGAGATAGGGTCTTGCTATGTTGCCCAGGGTGGAATGTAGTGGTTGTTCACCAGTGCCATCATAGCTCACTGCATCCTTAAACTCCTGGCTCAAGCAGTCTTCTCCCTTCAGCCTCCTGAATAGCTGAGACTACAGGTGTGCGCCACTGCACCTGGCTGTCCTATGCAATATGAGACCAGGAAGTTGTCATCTGTGTGGAGAGGAATAAGTGTAATCCCACATAGGGGGATAGTCTAAAACAACATGGAGAGTACCTTTAGACCTGGATTTTGGGGCTCAGCGTTGCCATGGGAAGGAGGCATGGTGTGTAGCAGTGGTTACCAGACTTCTTTCAGTAGTTTAAAGGAATAAAAAGAGATGGAAGACTGATACAGTGTTGTTCTTTAATTTTGCCAAGGAAAGTCTTTAAAAAAAAAAAAACCCTCTGTTGTTCTTGTCACTTAACACTAAAATGTGGAAAAACACAATGTCAACAACAGCAAAATAGCAGCCAGGCGTGGTGGTACTTGCCTGTAGTCACAGCTACTTGTGAGGCCGAGGTGGGAGGATTGGTTGAGCTCAGGAGTTGGAGTCTGCAGTGAGCCATGATCCTACCACTGTGCTCCAGCCAGGGCAACAGAGTGAGACTGTCTTTTTTTTTTTTTTTTTTTTGAGTCAGCGTCTTGCTCTGTTGCCCAAGCTGAGTGCAGTGATGCAAGCACAGCTCACTACAGCCTTGACCTCCCAGGTGCAAGCAATTTTGCTGCCTCAGTTTCCCAAGTAGCTGGGACTAGAGGTGCACACCACCACGCCTGGCTAATTTTTGATGTTTTTTAGAGATGAGGTTTCACTATGTTGGCCAGGATGTTCTCGAACACCTGGACTCAAGTGATCCTCCTGCCTCAGACTGCCAAAGTGCTGGGATTACAGGCCCAGCCTGTAGTTTGTGTCCGGCCCGGCCGAGACTCTGTGTCTTAAAAAAGAAAACAAAACCTTTCCCAAGAAAGGACTTCTGACAGTCTTACATGTAAACAATTTAAAGACTTTATGTCTCAGGGGTTCCATGTTTGTGAAATGAGAAATAATTATAGCTGCTGCACAGGCTTGTCAAAGAGGATTATATAAAGAGCCTTGGTGTGACCCCTAGCCATGTCCTTTTCAGAGTACGTGGCTGGAACTCTTAGCTCCTTCAGTCTGACATTGGAGATGACTAGAGACCTTGAACCAAGTGCCCAGGAGGCAGAAACTCTCCAACCACTACATCTCTGTGCTGGCCTCCAAGAAGGATTGCCCACATTGTGGGAAAGATCATTTTTATTCTCAGAAAGGAGCCCCTGGTCAAATAACTTGCTTGGAAGCATCTGGGTTTCCCCAGTGGGCTATCAGCTGCCTCCAATGCTGAGAAAACAAAGTGTCACATCGCTCTGCAGAACTATAAAAAGATGTTTGTTTGCGGGCTGTTTGGGGAAGGAAAGTGCCGGCCCCAGCTAGCAGCTCCCACAGCACCCTTAGCTGGGCCTTGCCCCAGGGTTTTGTTTTTCAGAGCTCACCAAGGTTTGCTGAAGATCTAGAAGGGATTTTGGGGAGGGGTTCTGGGTTTGACTTGAGGTGGATGTGCCCATGCTCAGGTGGCCACAGCTAGAGAGTGACAGCGCCAGGCAAGGGCATGGCAGAAAGCAGGAGATGGCGACATTCTTACTTTGGCTGATGAGCTCCTGTGACCTATGATTCATCAGCAGCAGATGAAGTTGTTGAATGACTCAGATAAAATAGGCGGTTCAGGGCATTTCGTAGGGTGCATTTCTTACTATACAGCTTATGTATCCCTAGCGTCCACCGTGAAGGCTGCTTGGGCCTCAGTCTGGGGTCGTTCCCCATTGTCATCAGCTTGCTGCACTCTGGTCTAAATGTTTCTGCTGAAGCTGGACCATGGTAGATGTGGGTGTAGAATCAGCCATGGCTGGATCTGAGCCTCTGGCAGCGGTGGCTACTTGAGCAAGCATGTTCCTGAACCTGTCTGGGCCCCACTTGAGCCTCATTTATGACATAGAGATAAGATAGCACACACCCCCAATGTCATTGAGAGGATTACATGGGATAACCCATGAATAGTGGCTGGCATGGAGTAATACTTAGCGAGTGTTAGCTGGTGTTGTATTAGGTCATAGACTAAGCTGTTATTGAGGTAGCAGCATTATCTTGGGGTTTACTCACTGTCTTCCGCACGTACGGGTGATGTATCTGATTACTCTGAGCACTAAATAATCTAAAAAGCTGGTGGCTTGCACCTATGGTCCCAGTTATTCGGGAGGCTGAGGCAAGAGGACTGCTTGAGCCCAGGAGTTAGAGGCTGCAGTGAGCTATGATTGCACCACTGCCCTCCAGCCTGGGTGACAGAACAAGATCCTATCTCTTAAAAAAGAAGAAAAAAAATCTGAAAAGTGAATTAGAAGGACTGAATTTTTATTTTAAGAAAATGCAATATGTGATTTTATTCAGCCCTGAAACCAGTTTGTTCAGACATTAGAGTTAGGCATTTTACCTGCTCTGCATAGCTACAGAATAATACTAGTGGCAAGGATGGGGAACACCTAGAACTCTTCTGCATTGCTGTTGGGAATGTAAAATGCTGCAACCACTTTGTTAACCACG
This sequence comes from Homo sapiens, assembly GCF_000001405.40. Classification (NCBI taxonomy): domain Eukaryota; kingdom Metazoa; phylum Chordata; class Mammalia; order Primates; family Hominidae; genus Homo; species Homo sapiens. The sequence continues at coordinate 66,637,012 of NC_000007.14, forward strand.
TGCTTACCCTATGACTGAATGACTCTACTGCTAATACTTAAAAGAAATTTGTGCTTGTGTCCACTAAAGGTTTCTTTTGTTTGTTTGTTTTTGTGATGGAGTCTCACACTGTCACCCAGACTGGAGTGCAGTGGCGTGATCTTAGCTCACTGCAACCTCCACTTCCCAGGTTGAAGCAGTTCCCCTGCCTCAGCCTCCAGAGTAGCTGGGATTACAGACACCCACCACCATACCTGGCTAATTTTTGTATTTTTAGTAGAGATGGAGTTTCACCGTTTTGGCCAGGCTGGTCTTAAACTCCTGAGCTCAGATGATCCACCCACCTCGGCCTCCCAAAGTGCTGGGATCACACGTGTGAGCCACCGTGCCTGGCCTAAAGGTCTTATATAGGAATGTTCATCCCAGCTTTACTCATAATAGCCAAAAACTGGAAACAACCCAAATGTCCATCAACAAGACAACAGGGTAAATAAATTACACCATATTCATGCAAGGGTATACTTACATAATGAATAATAACTAATAAAAACAAAAAAACAAACTACTGGTTTGTTTTTATTATTTATTTGGTGGATACATTTCAAAAACATTATGTTAAAGGAAAGAAGCCAGGTATGAAAGAGAACATACTATATAATTCTGTTTATATATATATTTCAAGAAAAGGCAAAACTCATCTTTACTGATGGAAGGAGAAGTTAGAGTGGTTGCTTCCGTAGGGATTAACTGGGAAGTGGCATGAGGAACCTTAAGGAATGGAAATGTTTCATCTTGATCTAGGTGATGGTTGGATGGGTATATTCATACTTAAAAAAACAACTGAACTGTACAGTTAATATTTGTACATTTATTGAATATTTCACCTCAATTCTAAAACTATATATATATAAAGGGCTAGGTGTCATATCTTTCCATTATACTTACATATACCTAATAATACCTAATATTATACCTAATAATAGTAATTATAGTTGCTTACTGATAACAACAACTAATAACACTTATTGAGGCCCTACTCTGTGCCAGGGATTTTCTAATCACTTAATTCCCTAACACATTATGAGGTTTTATTGTTTTCTCCAATTTTACAGACAGGGAAACTGAGACATGGAGTAGTTAAGTTCATTTACCCAGTGTAACACAGCTGGCAGTCTGGTTTTAGATTTTGTCCAATGCACACTGTGTGGCACTGCCCAGGAGCATAAGCTCCTTGTCACCGACCCTCTTTCCTTCCTGCTTAGAGATGTGCTGAATTTCCTGCGCTCAGGGGACCTCCCACCCAGGGAGCGTGTTCGAGCTGTGTACAAAGAGGCCCAGTACTATGCCATCGGGCCCCTCCTGGAGCAGCTGGAGAACATGCAGCCACTGAAGGGCGAGAAGGTGCGCCAAGCGTTTCTGGGACTCATGCCCTATTACAAAGGTGAGGGTCAGCTGCCCAGGATGGTGGGTATGTGGGAGGAGGTCTGCAAGGCATCTGTGAGTGTTTAGGTCTCCATCAGAACACCGGGGGCAGCATTCATCCAGATTACTCAAGATGCGATGGAGTGTCATCCCTTCCCAGTCACGCTGGGGAGATTCAGGTTAAGGTGGGCCTACCTGGCCTATGACAGTTAGCAAATTGTATTTCAGAAGGACAGCCCTCGTCCCATTGGCTTCCCTTTGCTGTGGAGAACCGTGACCCTTGTTTAAGTTTGTGCCCTTCATTGGCCCCCTGAGTCCCTTCCCCGGGAAATCTGTCTTTCCCCTCCTGCATCCTGCCATCTTCAGGACTGTTTCTCTGTGCATCTCTGCTGCCCTGTCCTGCCTCTTCACCCTAGTGATAGGTGTTGTGTTCATCCTTATAGACCACTTGGAGCGGATTGTGGAGATCGCCCGGCTGCGTGCGGTCCAGCGGAAGGCCCGCTTTGCCAAGCTCAAGGTCTGTGTCTTCAAGGAGGAGATGCCCATCACCCCCTATGAGTGTCCGCTCCTCAACTCCCTGCGATTTGAGCGGAGTGAGAGTGACGGGCAGCTTTTTGAGCACCACTGTGAAGTGGATGTGTCTTTTGGGCCCTGGGAGGCTGTGGCTGATGTTTATGACCTGCTGCACTGCCTGGTCACGGACCTCTCGGCCCAGGGTCTCACCGTGGACCACCAGTGCATCGGGGTGTGTGACAAGCACCTCGTGAACCACTACTACTGCAAGCGCCCCATCTATGAGTTCAAGATCACATGGTGGTGAGTAGCCCCGGTAGGCGAGAGTCCCATCAGGGAGGATGTCCACCTTGCTTGGTGGCTCTGGGAGTAAGATCCCTGAAGGGGCTGCTGACTGCCCCAGAATCTGCCGAGGTGAGAACAGCATCCTGAGGCACAGCTCCCAGGGGACAGAGGTGTAGCTCCAATCTCCCTGACTGCACCTCAGGGTTGGGCTCAGGGCTTGCGGCCTGCAGGCACTCCAGCCAGCGCTCACCTGGCCTTTCCTCAAGGCATGGTAGTCTTTCCTTGAGGCTGATAGCTAGGGCTTGACCAGGAAGTCCCGAGAAGTTTTGTCACCTTCTTGACCTTGCAAGAGAGTTTCTGCCCATTTTAGAGCCACGTTACCAAATCGATGTAGGCCTAATCACTTCCTCAACCCTGTTCAAGCGTCCCTCCCTTGTGCTCAGTATATTGGTGTGAACACGGAACATGATGGGGGATTTACCTGACCAGCCACCCCATAGCCCCTGGCTGAAGAAGAAAGAGCATCTTCTCTCCCACTGCACCCCTTCTCCTCCAAGAATAGTTGCCCACATTCCCAAAATGTGGAAAGACTTTTCTTTTCCTTCCGGAACATGTTCTTCACCACCTTTTGGAGATTTAACCATAGCTGCCAAAGCTATGCACCCAGTTGGCCTTAGAAAACCACAATGTTTACAGCCCTGTCTTAGGGCCGCGGCTTCTCTTATCTTCCACCACCTTCCTTGCTTGCAGGGTTATCTTCTCACAGGGCTGGAATGCAAATTTCAGAGGCTTCTTTTGAAGATTCCCCAAGTCAAGCAGGCAAGATGCCTAGATCTTCTGTTATCTTTGACATGTAACATCCTTTTTAGAGGCTCAGAACACCTCCTTGGCTGCTATCTCATGTGTTAGAATCCAGTTTGTGGTGAACCTCTTTGGAAGGGGACCCCCTCTCTTTAAACCCTGTTCCTCTGTCCTGGTAACATTCTCCTTCTAGGAGAGCCTCTCTTCTGAGAAGGTAAAGGAAGGGCTGGGTGAGACACACAGCTATCCTAGGAGCCGTAGGAAGACAAAACTTCCCTTTTGTTTTACTCCTCACTCCTCTATTTTTGTTTTACTCACTTCTTTATATTTTGTTTTACTCCTCACTCCTGTATATTTTGGTTTACTTACTCCTCTATTTCAGAAATTGAAAAAGATCCCCAAGGATCTGTTACTACTGCATTTCCTTCTTGCTCTGTCTACAGCCTAGGCCAACTAGTCAGGGTCTGGACATGCATCTCCTAAAGGAAGAACTGTGTAGCACCATTGATCACAATGTAACATTTCCATGCTGCATTAAGGGTGTCTCTCTCTAATCATGATTGTACCTGTCTCTTCCTGGGTAAAGGGAGATTTTTTTTTTTAATGTGTAAAGAATTGATGCGAGCCAGGAACATGTCTGTAGTCCCAGCTACTTGGGCACACGCCTGTAGTCCAGGCCACTCGAGCACACACCTGTAGTACCAGCTACTCTGGAGGCTGAGGCAGGAGGATCACTTGAGCCCAGGAGATTAAGACTGTAGTATACTATGATCGTGCCTGTGGCTAGCCACTGTGCTCCAGCCTGGGCAACACCATCGTAAAAATAAATAAATAAATAAATAAATTGGGGAGGACAGCCTCACTGGTATCAGACTTACAGGACCAGATAGACAAGATGGGTATAAGGGGAGCTGAAGTCTGTGTTCATATGAGGAAGAGAAGACCAAGCCCTGGGACTTTGGCTGAATTCCTCCGTGGGGCTGGACGGCAGTGATCTCCTGTTCCCTATGTGTAAACAAAGATTCCAGGGCGTGGTTTTGCACTCCTGTTGTACTCTTTTAGAGGTGGAAAAGAGGTGGATACTGAGATCTAAGAGGAAAGGATAGTCATTCACGTTCTGAGATATGCGCTCTCTCTATTGTTCTCGTACACAAAGGGATAGTCTCTTTTCTGGAGCTGATGTCCCTGCTTGGAGGTTAGCCCCAAAACATGGCTCTTGTATTGTTCTAAGAGAAAAGGCTTTCATTTTGGTTCTTCTGATTGGTGTTACCTACTGCCTAATATGTGTTCATTTTTTGACAGAGAGGCAGACTATTGAAAAAGTCTGTGTGAACAGAGAGCAGTTCATTAAGCCCATTGCTTTCAGTAATGTGGCCTTGACCCCTTCTGCTTCCCCCTTCTCCCATGGAGCATGGCAGGGCTTGGTTATTTAGAGTCCATACATGCAAGCCATTGAGAGACTTGTTTGCTCAAATGCAAGTTTGCTCAAAAACAGGTCCTGAAGGCTTGCTTAGGATTACAGGGATGCTGGGTAAGAACACCGTTCCTCTCTCTCGCTGGAGAAATCCCTGTTTCTCTGACTCCCTTTGTGATCCTCACAGTAATGTATTCTGTGCCACTGTAGGACACAAGGCTCTGGGCCAGTAGAACAGGCAGAGAGGTGACACTGGGCAGCAAGCTGAGAGCTCTTTCTAAATGGAGTGAAGGAATTCAGTGGCCTAGTTTCGCCATTCTCTAATGAGAAACCAAGGCCAGGCTGAAAAGTGCAATTAGATGTGGTGGATTGTGGTAACGGCCTCCAGATAAAGGGGTTATCCCTGTGGAAGTGACTTTTCCCCATTTGATCCCTTTTCAACTCTAAATGGCCAGGCCCAGAACAGAAGAAGGGTTGGGTCTGGAAGGAAGGCTCCAAAGGATGAAAGCTTCTCCCTGATCATAAGGAAGTGCATCTTTATAGAATTGTTGTGCATAATGTCAGTAAATCCCTCTCACTTGACAAGGGACTGGATTCATCTTGCCTTGAGACGGGCCAGTAGTTATCAGTGAGTCAAAGCAAAGTGAAAGTTTCAGGAGATGGGACCAATGGTGCAATGCTCGCCATAACAAAATTCCTTAAAAATAAAAAAGCTAATGTTATAGCAACAAAAAAAGACTGAAGCAAAACCACACTGAAATGCATCCCACTCCAGGAGAGGAATTCTTAGCGTAACACTCTAAATAAATGGAAGGAATCATCACCTTCCTTATTTTACCTCTGCCTTGTTCACCAGGCTGCCCAGTGCTTACCATGCAGAAAGCAGTCAGCTGTACTCTGGAAGTTTCTGTTCTTCTTTCCTGGGGCTTAGGATATTCTGGGAGCTGTCTGAGCCTTGTGCCTAAGGCTTATCAGGTGATATAATCTTCCTGTTCTGGGCTGCTTGCTGGAGGAATAGGAAGTGACATTTATAAGACACAGGCGGTGTGAGCATCCATGTGTGGTCTTGGTCTAAACCAGCTCTTGAACAGGTTAAAGCAAACAGCAATAACAAAACAAAAACTACTGATGCTGAGCGTTTTGATCCTAGTAATATTTCAAATATTGTCCTTCTGCATATGTTCTATCCATATTTGATTCCAATATACATTATTAAGCTTTCTTGGGTACTATTTTGCTGGGGCTCTTGCGTGAAGGTGGTACCTGTCTCATGATCCTTAAAAGAGAGAGGCTTTTTTCATCCAAAGCTGTAGTGTTGGGAACTGGGGTGGGAGAGGCACTTTTTGGAATTCTGAAAGAATCATATCTGTGTATATACATACTGAGTGGGGAAGGATGGGGGTTGGCAGGGGTTGAGGGAGGTGGGAACAAACAGTGAGTATGGGAACAGGCAGTCACCTCGAGTGTGGGAGGTCACCTGGGTCCGTCGTCTTCCTTCTGTATGGTGTTGGGTTTATGTACACACTATAACACTTCCTGTGTGAGTTCATGTACCTGTCTGTGAGTGCTTTGGTGTATTGAGCCTCAGTACACTCCAAGGGCATTAAAGTCAAGAACTAGAACCTGGGTGCTGTGCCTTTCTTTTTTAGAGATGTGCTCTCATCTCTTCTCTGACCCCCACTTTGCCAGCAAATATTTTTTATTTCTGCTTAAAATGTGGTGTGTTTGGGGATGCCCCACACAACAAGACAGGCTTTTCCCTGAGACCAGCAGCTGAATTTCTGCCCTGAAAGGGAGGTGGGCCTCTTGAGGACCCTTCTAGAGTTACTCTAGACTTGTCCCTGTTTCATGTAGGCATGTGCCCACCCCAGCCTAGGCAAAATCTCTGTCCTCTTCTTTTGGGAGTTCTCCAAGGAAAGAAGAGACTGCAGGTGCAGTCACGTGTGTGGCTCACAACCATGTCAGGTAGTTCTAAAATAAATTCCTCCTGTCATATTACCACTTCCTTTTCAATGGGGGAAATAAGTAGCTCTAAATTTATGTAAGCCTCAGTGGTTAAGACCCTTCCTTAAGAAAAATGGACGTAAGTTGCCCTTCCTTTGAAAGCAGAGCTTGACACCTTCCTGGCTAATGAGTGTCCTCATCAAGATGCCCCCTGGAGTCACATCATGGATTAACGCAGAAAGGTGAGTTCTGAGGCTCTGAGTAGCTTCATACCCTCCAACTGCTTCCCTTAAACCTCTGATTATTCTGGCTTTTAAACAAAAGCACTGTATCATCTGTGCCAAATGTATTCCCTGACTAATTACTGAGTACAGTCACATAGTTATAGTACACTAATAATACAGGCTGGAAACTGAAGCTCATAGAAGTATGTAGTTTCCCCAAGAGTGCAGAGCTAGTAAGTGGAAGAGTCAGGATTCAAACCCAGAGCCCCTTTCTGAAATCCTCAGAGGTGTTCAACAGCATGATCCTCCCTTCCTCTTGACAGCTCGTATCCTCCTCCTGAGGTTTAGGGCTTCACTCTACCTGACCTGTGAAGATTTGAAAGCACATATCTAGGACAAGTATTAGAAAGTCTTCATACTTCAGGAAAGGATTTTAGGAAAAAAGGAAAAAAAAAATCTCCCATAGATGTTGTATTAGTCCATTTTCACACTGCTGTAAAGAACTACCTGAGACCGGTTAATTTATAAAGAAAAGAGGTTTAATTGACCCACAGTTCACATCCCTGGGAGGCCTCAGGAAACTTATAATCATGGCAGAAGGCGAAGTTCAGAAGCAAGGCACATCTTATATGGAGGCAGGAGAGAGAGAGAATGGGGAGGCCAGGCATGGTGGCTCATGCCTGTATAATCCCAGCACTTTGGGAGGCCGAGGCAGGCAGATCACGAGGTCAAGAGATTGAGACCATCCTGGCCAACATGGTGAAACCCCATCTCTATTAAAAAACAAAATACAAAAAAATTAGCTGGGCATGGTGGCGTGCACCTGTAGTCCCAGCTACTCGGGAGGCTGAGGCAGGAGAATCACTTGAACTCAGGAGGCAGAGGTTGCAATAAGCCGAGATCATGCCACTGCACTCCAGCCTGGAAACAGAGTGAGACTCCATCCCACAAAAATAAAAAAAGAGTGGGGAAATGCTACACTTTTAAACCATCAGAGCTCGTGAAAACTCACTATCACAAGAACAGCATAGGGGAAATCTACCTCCATGATCCAATCACCTCCCTCCAGGTCCCTCCCCTGACAAGTGGGGATTACAGTTCAACATGAGATTTGGGTGGGGACACAGAGCCAAACCATATCAAATGTGTAGTCCTTATGTAGCCCCTGTGTTAAGGGGGTAGATGGGGCTCCCGATTTACTGACCTTCTTAGTGAGGGACACATATCCGCTAGGTGAAGGAGGCCCTGTTCACAGGATGATGTATGGAGTATGACAGAGTAGGTGAGTCATGGCTCCTTGGCTAGACCCCAAGGGTGGGATGATCTGGAACCACCTGAGTTAATGACACTCCTGAAGCCTTGCAGGTATCCCTGCATAGACAAGCTGGATAGCCTACTTCCAACATCAAAAGCATAACAGAATGGGAGACTCCTTAGTGTAGTTCAGGGGATGCCATGTGCCTGGCTTGGGACTCATGGCCCTTGGACTTAGATCTCTATACTGCCAAGTGTCCCGTCTTCATTCTTGTGTAGATGACCTCTTCACTACTTAATTTTGGTTTGTTGAACTTATAGCCTGTTCCCTTAGCTTTTATTTACTTACCTTTAGCTTTCTTTTAATTCCTTACCACATTGTTTTTCCTATCATGTACTTTAGCTTAATTTCTCTGTTTTTTAAACATAATTTTAAACTTTCTTTCTTTCTTTCTTTTTTTTTTTTTTGAGACAGTCTTGCTCTGTTGCCCAGGCTGCAGTGTAGTGGTGCAATCTCAGCTCACTACATCCTCCACCAGCTGGGTTCAAGCAATCCTCCTTCGTCAGCCTCCCAAGTAGCTGGGATTACAGACGCGCCACCAAGCCTGGCTAATTTTTGTATTTTTAGTAGAGATGGGGTTTCACCATATTGGCCAGACTGGTCTCAAACTCCTGACCTCAGGTGATGTACCCGCCTTGGCCTCCCAAAGTGCTGGGAGTACAGGCATGAGCCACCACCACACCGAGCCTAGTAGTTTTTGTTTTGAGAAAGAATAGTTAGGTGCTTTTCTTTTCCCTTCCCCAGTCATGTCTACAGTGATCTTATTAGCTGTGAACTTAGGTACCTCATTTTTTCTCAGATGAATACCTGCTTCTAAAATCTAAATGCAAAGTAAGAGTGACAGTATTACTATAAAATTCATAGATGTTCATTATCTAGGTATATTCAAAGGACAGAATTTTATGTCTTCTTCCAAAGTGTACCCCTGACCCTCCACCACACCACACACACACACACACATGAAATAATAAACAGAGCAGCCTTAGGAAGAGGGCAGTTCAATTCCTGGACTGCAAAGGACTTCTTCTCTCACACACTTGTTTTTCCTGAGGAATGACATGATCTGGAAATCCTAGGTATCCCCCTTCTCCAACCACTTGACACCAGGTGGACACAGAGCTGTTGTACACCAGGAGAAGATCCAGTCAACTGTGGGAAAGACTGAACCATGAACCATCCAGAAATACTCCGTAACAGGGGCCTGTCATCAGATTATGATGTACCTTTTCTAGCCACCTCTGGCCTCTATGTCAACCTTATTCACACCTCAACAAACCATGACTTCTGAGGATTCTCTTTTTTTTTTTTTTTTTTTTTTTTTGAGACGGAGTCTCATTCTGCTGCCCAGGCTAGAATGCAGTGGTGCAGTCTCAGCTGACTGCAACCCCCGCATCCCGGGTTCAAGCAATTCCCTGCCTCAGCCTCCCAAGTAGCTGGGATTACAGGTGCTCGCTACCACACCCGGATAATTTTTGTATTTTTAGTAGAGATGGAGTTTCACCATCTTGGCCAGGCTAGTCTTGAACTCCTGACCTTGTGATCCACCCACCTCAGCCTCCCAAAGTGCTGGGATTACAGGCGTGACCCATCGCACTTGGCCAGGATTCTCTTAATGTAATACAGACCCTCATTTCTTCCCCGTATCATATGATCCTGGCAGATGGCCCAGCCCCAGTAGATTTTTGGAATGGAGGTATCCATACTTTTCTCAGTCATTATTAAAATCAAGAAATAGAATCACATAGCAACACAAAACTTGGAGCTTGACCCTCATTAAAAGAAACTTACAGGTTCAGAGTCCAGTTGAAGAAATCTTTGTATCTCCAGTATTTTTGTAAAGAGGTCAGGGTGGTATCATGAGTAGGCTTAAGTCCCTACAGTCTTTGTGAACTTTTATAAATGCCTTGGGTATCCAGTTTCTCAACATAGCATCTTCATCACCAACTGTACCTCAGCTGACTGCCCCAAGGGCCCACCCGTGTGTGCACACGTTGCAGGTGTTTACTGTCCCTCTCACCATGTCCTCCTCCACCTCTCCCCTCTGTTTGTAACTGTCCTGTCTTTGATATTTAAAAGCTAGTTGGCCACTTCTGGCCATGCCTTATCTGGTACCTGTTAGCCAACCATGACAGTGATGCCATACCCAGGACTGTCTGCTTCTTGTTCTCAGGCAGGTAGGTGCTCTCAGCACTGATGTCTCTTGCTTTCCAAGTCAGCTTTTACATCTGGCCTGCTAGGAACTGGAGAGCATTTTCAGTCTTCATAGCAGCAGCATAGGATCCTGCAGGCTCTGTATCCACCTAAGTTAAGGTAAGGTGGATACACATCCTGGAAACTCTGTATCTACCTCCACAACAGCTGCAGAGGATGCCTGCAGGATCACACTGAGCAGACACACTAGTTTCATCACACTAGTTTCATCTTCTGCACCAGAAAGGAAGAATCTATTTTGCCTGGCCAGGCATGGTGGTTCACACCTGTAATCCTATAGCACTTTGAGAGGCAGAGGCAAGAGGATTGCCTGAGGCCAGGAGTCCAGGACCAGCCTGGGTGACATAGCAAGATCCTATGTCCAAAAAAACAAAATTCAAAAACATAAGCCAGGCAGGGTGGTGTGCACCTGCAGTCCCAGATACTTGGGAGCCTGAGGTGGGAGGTTCACTTGAGCCCATGAGGTTGAGGTTGCAATGAGCCGTGATTGCACTACTGCAGTCCAGCCTCAGTGACAGAACAAGACCCTGTCTCTAAAATAAAAAGTAAAATAAATAAATATTTTGCTTGGAAACCGAGTTCACCATGAGTTTCTTAACAAAAATATGAACTTAACTAATGAGCTGACCACATCGCTATTAGATGAAATGAGGGTGGCATTATTTACTCAGCACTCCCAGGAGTCAAGGCAGAATGTAATTGCTTCCAGACATATTCAGGGGATATTCCACCCAATTATCTAATTTTATTCTTCAAAGGCGGCTGTATTTGGAAACTCCCATTGGTCCAGAGAGACAGAACAATGAGAAGAAATCCCCTGTCCAGTTGCCTGCAGGAGTATTCCAACACTTCATGGGCTAGAGGATTCCATTGAGATGGGGTTTACGTCTTGATTTTGAACACCTGTCAGCACTGTTCTCTGTTTGCATGGCAATTCTGACCCTTTTATGGCAACAACACCCCTGGGACAACCCAGATTTGTAGATTGAGATCCAAAGGTAGAATTTCCAGACAGTCCAACCAAGGTATCAAGTGATGTTTCCAGAGTGGAAGGCTCTCACCGTGTCCCAGGATTTCTGGGGTTTGTAAGCAGTACTGGCCATTTGTGACCCTGTTTTTTACCTAATCATTCTGTCTTTTTAGGACATGGTTTTACCCGATCCCTGGCAAAGGATCCAGAATTCCAATAGCTGAAAACCCTGTTATAGCTTTTCTCCTATTCTGCCTTACCCAAGACACACTTGAACCCCTCAGTAAGGCTATAGAGAGGGCCATGAGCAGGGGCAGCCTCTCCCTTGTTTCTACAGCTCCATGATGAGGGGTTGACTGAGGCCAGCAATCCTTGTAGGTGTGACAGTTGCAATATAATTAACAGTTTCAAGATCTAGAGGTACCTTTTGAAAGAACCCCTTCAGGGATATCTATCCACAGTAGCCTGGAGCAGCCAAGGTGAACCTGAGATTTTGACCCACACAATAAGGGGGGGCCATTCTTTTTCAAATATTTTGGCTTCAGAATACACTTCATTACACATGCAAATATTGAGAGATTAACAGAAATTCCAGCTCTTATGCCTAACTGAGAAGAGCCACTGCAAGTTGCAGTTAGGTACCCATGTGCAGCAGAGGCCAGCTGAATCCCAGAGCTTCCCAAAGTGGACACCAGCGGGGACTATTCCTGATGTCCCACCCAAGAGAGGAAGATGAGCTGAGGCGCTGTTGCTCTGCCCAAATGCATCCCATGTGCATTCACGTGTCACCCATTCAAAATAACATGGCATTCTTGGAACCTTGTATCTGACATGTAAGACCAGCCTACACATTGGGGTGGGTGCAGGGGCTCACACTTGTAATCCTAGCACTTTGGAAGGCTGAGGTGGGCAGATTGCTTGAGCACAGGAGTTCCAGACCAGCCTGAGCAACATGGCGAAATCCTGTCTCTTCAAGAAATAATAATAATAATAATAATTGGCTGGGTGTGGTGGTACATGCCTGTAGTCCCAGCTACTCAGGAGGCTGAGGTGGGAGGATTGCCTGTGCCCAGGAGGTCGAGGCTGCAGTGAGTTGTAATAAGGCCACTGCACTCCAGCCTGGGCAACAGAGTGAGACCCAGTCTCAAAAAAAAAAAAGTCTACACCGTCATTGGTCATTGTCTCCTTGGGTCATCTGGCCTGTATTGTATTTAGGATCATTTGTATTAGGAGATAGAAATCACAGAGTAATTTGAATAACTTATACCTTTAATTAGAGAAGTGAGGGATCAGCAAATAAAGATAACTATAAAGAAATAGGCAGGTCAAGAAAGGGGCTGGAGTAAACTGGTGACATTTTGGGCTAGCCATTGTGGGAGTGAGAGAGAGGAAACTGCATGAGGACAAACAGAGTAACTGCCAAGCAGCACTGAGGACCTGGATGAAGTGAGAAAACCAGCTCTGATGAGTTGTAGTAACTCAGATCAGATCAGCTTTTCATTTGTCTCACAAGGCTCAGCGATCAGCATGAGAGAGCGAGAAAGCCAGATAGCTGGGGGGTCCTGGCAAGATGACGAGTAGAGGCAGTGCTCAAGCAGTGAGCATCAAAGGATGGGGCTAACCTGCAGGAGTGTGGTTGGAATGATGGGACCTGGATGAAGTAAAGAAGAAATAAGACGGGCCAGTTTCTGGACTCAGCAACTGGGAAAGGTGTACAGGTCCAAAGCCTGATAGGGTCTGAAAGCAAGCTTATGACACAAGGGTGTTGAGGGAGTGAGATGATGGTCATCAGATGCGGATTCTACAAGACTGGATTTTGGATGGGATCAACTCTATCTAACTCTATGAGGGGAGGTGGCAGTTAGAACCCAGAAGGTGAGAATATCAAATGGGCCATTGTTAGCTGGGCGTGATGGTGTGTACCTGTAATCCCAGCTACTTAGGAGACTGAGGCAGGAGAATTGCTTGAACCCAGGGGGTGGAGGTTGCAGTGAGCCGAGATCACGCCACTGCACTCTAACCTGGGCAACAGAGCTAGACTTTGTCTCAAAAAACAAACAAAACAAAACAAAACAAAATCAAATGGGCCATTGTCATGGATGTCCAGCATGGAGACCCACTATGTGCCAAGTGCCCACAAACTATTGGATTTGAGGAGCAACCTGGAGGTCAGTGGGTGACCAAAATGAGGAAGGGAATGGCTGGACCACACCACTGTTGGCTAGAAATGGCCGAGGAGTAATTGTGAACTTTATAGTGAACTTGAGTCCAAGCTGCTATTTAACTGTCCAAAAAATGAACAAGCATCATGAGCTGAAATAGAATGTAAAGAAAAATAAGAGGCAGAAATCAGACTTTTATTTCTTCTAGTTTAGGCTCCAAAGCTTGAGAGAAGTAATACAGAGGGCTTGATTTTTAGAAAACCTTAGAAATGATTAAATAGGTCAGGCGCGGTGGCTCCGGCCTGTAATCCCAGCACTTTGGGAGGCTGAGGTGGGCGGATCAAGAGGTCAGGAGTTCAAGAGCAGCCTGGCCAACATGGTGAAACTCCATCTTTACTAAAAATACAAAAATTAGCCGGGCATGGTGGCACATGCCTGTAATCCCAGCTACTCGGGAGGCTGACGCAGGAGAATCGCTTGAACCCAGGAGGCAGAGCCTGCACAACTGCATTCCAGCCTGGTGATACAGCAAGACTCCATCTCCAAAAAAAAAAAATAATAATAATAATAATAATGCTTAAATAGATATGATCATATTCAGAGCTAAATTTAACCAGAATCTAACATTGTTTTCCAGATGAAGAGTTTGAGAAAGCCGACTAACTAGCCCAGTTGAGTCCCTAGGCTAGTGGGTAGCAGAGTGGGGACGTGTCTGTGTCCCGAGCCTCGGCATGTCCCTGTGCTGAAGCCCAGGGCCTGGTTCTGCACTGTCAGGTTACCCAGATCCAGTTACAGAAAAGAAGCCAAAACAACTTGCGGAAAATAAGTCTACAGAAAAGATAAATAATAGTACTCTAATGAATGAACAGACTTGTGACATCTCTTCCCTGGGGACAGAACAGGAGGATACAGGTTTATATCCCAGCAATAGGGATTCTACATTACAAGGAAAGTTTCTAACTGGGAGATATGAGATGAGCTACACAAGAAGAAGCCAAAACATTTGCACTCGTGCTGCCTTTTTATTTTTTTGAGATGGGAGTTTCACTCTTGTCACCCAGGCTGGAGTGCAATGGCGCAATCTCAGCTCACCGCAACCTCTGCCTCCCGTGTTCAAGCGATTCTCCTCTCTCAGCCTCCTGAATAGCTGGGATTACAGGTGTGCACTACCATGCCCAGCTAATTTTTGTATTTTTAGTAGAGATGGGGTTTCACCATTTGGCCAGAGCTGGTCTCGAACTCCTGACCTCAGGTGATCCATCCACCTCGGCCTCCCAAAGTGCTGGGATTACAGGCATGAGCCACCCGCCCTGGTGCTGGATTTTTGCTTAGTCCTATCATTTTCTGAGTCCCGAGAGTTTTCATATTTGGATGAGTGACCAGTCTCAAAGTCATTTAAGTCCTGCCTAACCTCCAGGACTGTCTGGCATCTTCCTTCTCTTCTTCCTTCCCAGGTGGCTTCACCCTCACAGTCCCTTATGGTGTCAACTTGGTGCCATCTTACCAGGTTCTCCCTAGGCTCCCAAACCCTCGCTCCTGCCTGCTTATTCTATATCACCATGTTATTTATTTTTTAAGTAACTATGATTATGTTATAGGCTTAATTGTGATCCCCACCAAATTTATATGTTGAAGTCCTAACTCCAATACCTCAGAATGTGACTGTATTTAGGAATAGGGTCTCTAAAGAGGTGAGTTAAGATGATGCCATTAGGGTGGGCCCTAGTCCAATTCGACTGGTGACTTTATAAAAAGAGGAAATTTGGACACACACACAGACACCAAGAATGCATGTTCACAGAGAAAAGGCCATGTGAGGACACAGTGAAAAGGTGACCATTTATAAGCCAAGGAGAGAGGCCTCAGGAGAAACCAAACCTGCCAATTCTGTGATCTGATTTTGGATTTCTTTTGGTTTTTCATGCCTGAGTTTTGTATTTTTTGTAGAGACGGGGTTTTGCCATGTTGGCCAGGCCAGTCTGGAACTCCTGACCTCAGGTGATCCATCTGCCTTGGCCTTCCAAGGTGCTGAGATTACGGGTGTGAGCCACTGCGCCCAGCCCTTAACTTGGATTTCTAGACTCCATAACCAAGAGAAATAAATTTCTGTTGTTTAAGCACCACCCCCCCACCCAAAAAAAAAGAGAAGAAGAATATAGGCCATGAGCGGTGGCATGTGCCTGCAGTCCAAGCTACTCAGGCAGTTGAGGTGGTAGGATCACCTGAGCCCAGGAGAGATTGGTAGAATGATTTAATGAAAAGGTGGATGACAGAGCCTTGGGAAATGTAAAAAAAATAAGTAAAATAAAATACAACATGATCCATCCATATACTGTCTATAAGAGACTCACTTTAGATACAAAGAAACAAAGAGATTGAAAACAAAAGAATGAAAAAATAAATTCCATGCAAAAAGTAACCAAATGAGGCTGGGCTTGGTGGCTCATGCCTGGGATGCTGAGACAGGTGGATCACCTGAGGTCAGGAGTTTGAGACCAGCCTGACAACATGGAGGAACCCCGTCTGTACTAAAAATACAAAATTGGCGGGGCGCAGTGGCTCACGCCTGTAATCCCACCACTTTGGGAGGCCGAGGCGGGCGGATCACAAGGTCAGGAGATCGAGACCATCCTGGCTAACACGGTGAAACCCCGTCTCTACTAAAAATACAAAAATTAGCCAGGCGTGGTGGCGGGCACCTGTAATCCTAACACTTTGGGACGCCAAGGGGGGCGGATCAGTTGAGGTCAGAATTCGAAACCAGCCTGGCCATCACGGTGAAACCCTGTCTCGATTAAAAATACAAGAAAATTAGCTGGGCGTGGTGGTGGGCGCCTGCAATTCCAGCTACTTGGGAGGCTGAGGTGGGAGAATCCCTTCAACCTAGGAGGCAATGATCCGAGATCGCACCACTGCACTCTAGTATGGGCCACAAAGCGAGACTCCCCCACCAAAAAAAGACAAAAATTAGGCAACCTGTCCAAAAACACAGCAGCGATAATTAGCAAAGCTGGGATTCCAACCCAGGCCTATCTCACAGCCACAGCATAGTATTTTCTTTTTTTTCTTGCTGTGACTGCACCTTACGCCATAGATGGCATCCAGGACGCAGAGCAGTCAGTATTTAGGTACTGTTTTTCACATTCCTTACATGGGAATCACGTCAACAGGATTCAATTTGTGACTCAACCATTAATACTTTGTGACACTGGCTAATTTATTGCACTTCTGGGTCTCGGTTATGCTTTTTGTGGGGGGAGGGGAGGGCAGGGTCTCGCTCTGCTCTGTCACCGGAGCTGGAGTTTAGTGGAGGGATCTCTGCAGCCTCAACTTCCTGGGCTATCAAGCGATCCTTCCACCGCAGCCTCCCCAGTAGCTGGGACCACAGGTGCGCGCCATCATGCCTGGGTGATTTGTAAAATTTGTTTGTTTATTTTAAACAGAGTCTCGCTCTGTCGCCCAGGCTGGAGTGCAGTGGTGCGATCTGGGCTCACTGCAAGCTCCGCGTCCCAGGTTCACGCCATTCTCCTGCTTCAGCCTCCCGAGTAGCTGGGACTACCGGCGCCCGCCACCACGCCCAGCTAATTTTTTGTATTTTTTAGAAAAGACGGGGTCCCTGTGTTAGCCAGGATGGTCTCGATTTCCTGACCTCGTGATCCGCCCGCCTCGGCCTTCCAGAGTGCTGAGATTACAGGCGTGAGCCACCGCGCCCAGCAAGTAAAATTTCTTTTGTAGAGACAGTGATCTTGCTTTGTGGCCCAGGCTGGTCTCGAACTCCTGGCCTCAAGGAATCCTCCTGCGTGGGTCTTCTAAAGATTCAGCTGCTTTTGGATCAACCGATCGCCTTAAGACCCTTTAACTCGAACAACTGTCACATCCTCGGATCCGCGAAGGGCTGAAACTCAAAGAGTTTTTGAAGCGTCCCTCGGCGCAGTGGCTCCGCTCCACCTCCCATTCGCGCTACCACCGCGGTCGCAGCGCCAGGATCGCCAGGGGGCCAGCGTCGCTCTCCCGCTGCTGCGCGCCGGAAGCCGGAAGCAGGGACTGAGCCACAGACTAGGAAAGGCAGGCTTCTCCGGGGCTCCCCAGTGCCCTAGCTTTAGCCTGGAGGCCGCCCTCTTCTATTTGCTCTTAGACGTCACGGGGGCACCCCAGTCCCCTCGACCCTTTGGATCCGGCTCACATTTCCTCCGGTGAAGAGCCAAAGGCCCCGGAAGTGACGTTTGCACGGCTTGCGTATCGTGCGTGCGCAGGCCGCGCCGGGGGCGGGGCTAGCAGGAGGGTGTGTGTGGGGCGGGAGCGGACAACGGAGACCAGACCTACTGCAGCCACGCGGGCGAGCGGCTGTGTGGATGTCGGCGAAGCCGCGGGCGAGGTACGGAACGGACGGACTGGTGTAAGAGCGTCGCGGCTCTCAGCTACGGGAGCGGGGCGGCCGGGCGTCTCGGGCCGTGGGCGGCGGGGCGGTCGGTCCGTGCCCTCCGCGCGGCTGGGGCAGTTGCGCGTCGGTGCCTCCCGCTGTCCTTCGTCCCACATTCCAGCCCCGTCAGCTCCGCCTTCCCAGTTCCAGGCCGCCCTCGGCTCCCTTAATCCTCACAGTGCGCGGCTTCTCCGTCTAACGTGCTCGTTGCCGGCATCTCCAGCGCCCGGACAAGCCCTTGAAGGCCTGACGCGGAGCATTTCCCGGCCGCCTCCCTCTTCGGCGGCTCCCCTCGTCCCGGCTCTCACTTCCCCGTCCAGGACGCTGGCTCCGAAGCAACATTTGTGGTCGCGCGGGGCCCCTCCCATGACCTCTCTGGAACGCGCCTAGCTGGGACGCTCGGACCCAGACCACAGCTCTTGGCCGCGACAGGGGCGCCGGGACTTGATCCCCCGTCGCCCTGGGGGGACAGAAGCGTCCCGGAGTTGGGAGGGGATTTGAAGCCTGTGGTCCTGACTTCCACCCCGTGGCTGAGGGCGAGGCTGCAGGGCTGGGGTTAGGAGCAGAAGTCCCTACTTCCGAACCGTCTGGGAGGAGAGCCGAGAGATGTCCATCACGGCAGTTTAGGGAGAGAGAGGGAGGGACTCTGCCGCTTTGGAGGCTAGGTCATAGGCAGCTGGCGGTGTCTCAGCGCGGGTGACCAGTCCTTGCGGTTGGGAAATGTGTCGTGGGCGCCCGTGGACTCGTTTTGCCTTTGAGATTAAATAGGAAATTTTCCCAGGACGAGTTTACCGGAGCACCTTGGGAGTTGGTTTTTGGCTTGGAGAGCTACTTTCCCCCCCTAAACCTAGAACTGCTTTGTTTTTCTTTATTATATTTTTTGAGATGGGATCTCACAATGTTACCCATGCAGGTGTCAAACTCCTGGCCTTAAGCGATCCTCCCGCCTCGGCCTCCCAGAGTGCTGGGATTATAGGCGTCAGCTATCGCGCAGCTTTAACTGCTGTTAAAGAGTCCGTTCCTTAAAATTGTTGTACCAAGAAACTTGCCAGAGATGCAAGAAAATGTGATTATATTGTTAATATTTAATGATAAATAACATTTTGCTTTTAAGAGTTACTGATTCATATCTGCAGGATTAAGAAATGTTCAGGATTTGAATTTTTAATGACCTTCCAAGCAGTCATGTTTCTACTCTCTAGAAGTTAGCCAGTTGAGGAGAAGGGACAGTCAAGATACTTTCAAAACAGTGTGGTAAGGAGTGTGAGCTAAGATGGAGCACCGAGGAGGGAGTCGGGCATTTAGGCCGTGCTGTCGGGCGTGGAGCCTGGAAGGGATCGGGGAATACTTTCTGCATGTGTCTTGAAGAATGAGTAACATTCAGACTAACAGGGTGGAATGAGGGGAATCAAAGGAGAGGAGGCCAGTAACTACAAGGAGGTGCTTATTTATTTATTTATTGAGAGAGAGGGTCTCACTTTGTCACCCAGGCTGGAGTACAGTGACACGATCACGAGTCACTGAAGTCTCAACTGCCTGTGCTCAAGGGATCCTCCCACCTCAGCCTCCCAAGTTGCTGAGACTGCAGATGCGTGCCACCACACCCAGCTGATTTTTAAATATTTTGTAAAGATGGAGTCTTGGTGTGTTGCCCAGGCTGGTCTCAAACTCCTGGACTCAAGCAATCCTCCCGCCTCAAGTCTCCCAATGTGCTGAAATTACAGGCATCAGCTACTGAGCCTGGAGGGTCGTTATTAAAGTGAAAAAGTGCAGGACAGAGATCTAGAAGCTTAGGCTTTAATCTGATGGTGACAGAACCAGGGAAGGGTTTTTAGCTGGGTCCCTGTGTGGTTAAAATGGGTCTCTCTGGCTGGGCGTGGTGGCTCATGCCTGTAATCCCAGCACTTTGGGAGGCCGAGGCGGTCGGATCATGTGGTCAGGAGTTTGAGACCAGCCTGAGCAACATGGTGAAACCGTGTCTCTACTAAAAACAGAAAAATTAGCCGGCTGTGATGGCACCTGCTTGTAATCCCAGTTACTCAGGAGGCTGAGGCAGGAGAATTGCTTGAACCCGAGAGACAGAGGTTGTGGGGAGTCAAGATCACGCCATTGCACTCCAGCCTGGGCAACAAGAGTGAAACTGCATCTCAAAAAAAAAAAAAAAAAAAAAGTAACCAAATGAGACCAGGAGTGGCCACATGTTAGGCACAATAGGTTTTAAGCCAAGAATGGTTATGAGAGACAAGGGAATTCTATACTGATAAAAAGTTTAATCCAACAAGAAAATATAATAATTTAAAACATATGTGCCTAACAACAGAGCATCAAAACATATGAAGTAAAAAAGGATAGAATTAAAGGGAGAAATAGAGTTTCAGGATGATCATTGGAGACCTCACTACCTCAATGTTAATAATACAGAGACCAGATCAATAGGAAAGAGAGCACTTGAACAACATGATAATCCAATTAGATCTAATGGTCATATGCAGACACCAACCCAACAACAGCAAAATACACATTCTTTTCAAGAGCGTGTGGGATATTGTCCAGAGTATACAGTGTATTAGGCTGCAAAACAAATATTAATGTTTTAAAAGTTTGAAAGTATGCAAAATACTAAGTATTTTCTAATCACGATGGAATGAAACTAGAAATCAGTAACAAGGAAAACTTGAAAACTCACAAATATATGGAAAATAAACACACTCTTGATCACTGGTTGGAGATGAAATCATACAGGAAATTAGAAAACACTTTGAGATGAATGAAAATGAAAACACAACATACCAGAACTTATGGGATGAAGTTAAAGCAGCGTTCAGAGGGAAATGTTTAGCTGTAAGCATCTACCTTTAAAAATAAGAAAGCCAGCAGTGGTGGCTCATGCCAACATCCCAGTATTTTGGGAGGCTGAAGCGGGAGGATCCCCTGAGGTCAGGAGTTCAAGACCAGTCTAACCAACATGGCAAAAGCCCATCGCTACTAAAAATACAAAAATTAGCCAGGCATGGTGATGCAGGCCTGTAATCCCAGCTACTTGGGAGGCTGGGGCAGGAGAATCGCTTGAACCTGGGAGAGGGAGGTTGCAGTGAGCCGAGATAGCACCACTGCATTCCAGCCTGGGTGACAGAGTGAGACTCTATCTCAAAAAAAATCAATAAAAATAAAAAATAAAAGTAAGAAAGATCTCAAATTAGTCACCTCACTATACCCTCTAAAGGATCTAGAAAAAGAAGAGCTAACCCCAACCTAGCAGAATACCAGAAACAAAGATTAGAGTGGAAATAAATAAAGGAAATTAAGAGAATAGATAAAATTAAAAGTTTTTTTTACAGTTCAGCAAAATTGACAAATTTTTAGCTAGATTGACTAAGAAACACAAGAAGACTCAAATATCCAAAATCAGAAATGAAAATGAGGCCGTTACTGTGACTTTACAACAATTAAGGTTATCGTAAGAGAATACTATAAACATATGTACACCAGCAAATTGAATAACCAAATGAAATGGCAAATCTCTAGAAACACAAACCTACCAAGACTGAATCACAAAGAAATAAAAAATATGGGTAAACCAACCAGGTGCAGTGGCTCGTGCCTGTAATCCCAGCACTTTGGGAGGCCAAGGTAGGCGGATCACCTGAGATCAGGAGTTCAAGACCAGCCTGGCCAACATGGTGAAACCCCTTCTCTACTAAAAATACAAAAATGAGCTGGGTGTGGTGGCAGGCGCCTGTAATCACAGCAACTCAGGAGGCTGAGGCAGGAGAATCACTTGAACTGGGAGGCGGAAGTTGCAGTGAGCTGAGATCGCACCATTGTGCTCCAGCCTGGGGGACAAGAGTGAGACTTCGTCTCCAAAAAAAAAAAAAAAAAAGAAAAAGAAAATATGGGTAAACGTATAACTAGTAAGAAGATTAAATTACCAATAAAATCTTCCCAACACAGAAATACCCTTGACTGGATGGCTCCACCAGTGAATTCTACCAGACATTTAAAGGAAAAATTAGTGCCAATCCTTTGCAAACTCTTTCAAAAACTTGAAGAGGAGGAAATACTTTCTTTTTTTTGTTTGTTTTGAGACAGAGTCTCGCTCTGTCGCCCACGCTAGAGTGCAGTGGCGCGATCTTGGCTCACTGCAAGCTCTGGCTCCCGGGTTCACGCCATTCTCCTGCCTCAGCCTCCCGAGTAGCTGGGACTACAGGCGCCCACCACAACGCCCGGCTAATTTTTTGTATTTTTAGCGGAGACGGGGTTTCACTGTGTTAGCCAGGATGATCTCTATCTCCTGACCTCATGATCCGCCTGCCTTGGCCTTCCAAAATGCTGGGATTACAGGCATGAGCCACCCGGTGCCCGGCCGAGAAGGAAACACTAACTCATTCTATGAGGACAGCATTGCCTTGTTACTAGGGCCAGACAAAGACAGTACAAGAAAACAACTGACCAATATTGCTTATGAACATTGATTAAAAAATTCTCAAGAAGACACTGCCTGCTGGGTGTGGTGGCTCACGCCTGTAATCCCAGCACTTTGGGAGGCCAAGGTGGGTGGATCACAAGGTCAGGAGTTTGAGACCAGCCTGGTCAAGATGGTGAAACTCTGTCTCTACTAAAAATAAAGAAAATTAGCTAGGCATGGTGGTGGGTGCCTGTAACCCCAGCTGCTTGGGAGGCTGTGGCAGGGGAATCGCTTGAACACGGGAGGCGGAGGTGGCTGTGAGCCGACATTGCGCCACTGCGCTCCAGCCTGGGCAACAGAGTGAGACTCCATCTCAAAAAAAAAAAAAGAAAAAAGAAAAAAAAGAAAACACTGCCCAACTGGCTGGCCGCAGTGGCTCAGGCGGGTAATCCCAGCACTTTGGGAGGCCAAGGCAGGTGGATCACTTGAGTTCAAGAGTTCAAGACCAGCCTGGGGAACGTAGTGAAACCCCACCTCTACCTAAAATACAAAAATCAGCTGGTTGTGGTGTTACCCTCCTGTGGTTCCAGCTACTTGGGAGGCTGAGGTGGGAGGATCACTGGAACCAGGAAGTTGAGGCTGCAGTGAGCCGAGATTGCACCACTGCATACCAGCCTGCACGACAGAGTGAGACTCCATCTCAAAAAAAATAAATAAATAAAAATAAAAAATAAAAGAAAGATCTCAAATCAGTCACCTAACTATACACTTTAAAGGACCTACAAAAAGAAGAACTAAACCCAAGCTAGCAGAATAGGGGAAACAAAGATTAGAGTGGAAATAAATAAAGAAAAGGAAAAGAAGAGAATAGATAAAATTAAAAGTTTTTTTACAGGTCAGCAAAATTGACAAATTTTTAGCTAGATTGACTAAGAAAAAAAAAAAGAAGACTCAAATATCCAAAATCAGAAATGAAAATGAGGGCATTAAGCTGGGCACAGTGGCTCACGCCTGTAATCCCAGCACTTTGGGAGGCCAAGGCCGGCGGATCACGAGGTCAGGAGATCGAGACCATCCTGGCTAACACGGTGAAACCCCATCTCTACTAAAAATAGAAAAAAATCAGCCGGGTGTGGTGGCGGGCGCCTGTAGTCCTAGCTACTCAGGAGGCTGAGGCAGGAGAATGGTGTAAACCCGTGAGGCTGAGCTTGCAGTCAGCCAAGATTGTGCCACTACACTCCAGCCTGGGTGACAAAGCGAGACTCCATCTCAAAAAAAAAAAAAAGAAAGAAAAAAGAAAATGAGCACATTACTGTGATTTTACAGCAATTAAAGTGATTATAAGATAATACCACAAACATAGGTACACCAGCAAATTGAATAACCAAATGAAATGGCAAATCTCTAGAAACACAAAGCCTACCAAGACTGAATCACAAACAAAGAAAAAATATGGGTAAACCAGCTGGGCATGGTGGCTCCCGCCTGTAATCCCAGCACTTTCGGAGTGCACTCCATTGCACTCCAGCCTGGGGGACAAGAGCGAGACTTCTCAAAAAAATAGAAAGTAGGGGTAAACCTATAACTAGTAAGAACATTAAATTACTAATTAAAATCCTTTCAACAAAGAAATACCCCTGACTGGATGGTTTTACCAGTCAGTTCTACCAGACATTTAACGAAAATTAATGCCAATCCTTTGCAAACTCTTTCAAAAACTTGAAGAGGAGGAAATACTTTCTAACTCATTCTATGAGGCCAGCATTGCCTTGATGCTAGGGTCAGACAAAGACACTACAAGAAAACAACTGACCAATATTGCTTATGAACATTGGTTAAAAAATTCTTAGGAAAACAGTGCCAAACTGGTTGGGCACAGTGGCTCATGCTGGTAATCCCAGCACTTTGGGAGATTAAGGCAGGTGGATCACTTGAGCTCAAGTTCAAGACCAGCTGGGCGTGGTGGCCCATGCCTGTAACCCCAGCACTTTGGGAGGCCAAGGCGGGTGGATCATGAGGTCAGGAGATCGAGACCACAGTGAAACCCCGTCTCTACTAAAAAATACAAAAAAATTAGCCAGGCGCAGTGGCGGGCACCTGTAGTCCCAGCTACTCAGGAGGCTGAGGCAGGAGAATGGCGTAAACCCAGGAGGCTGAGCTTGCAGTCAGCCGAGATCGTGCCACTGCACTCCAGCCTGGGTGACAAAGTGAGACTCCATCTCAAAAAAAAAAAAAAAAAAATGAGGGCGTTACTGTGACTTTACAGCAATTAAAGTGATTATAAGATAATACTATAAACATAGGTACACTAGCAAATTGAATAACCAAATGAAATGGCAAATCTCTAGAAACACAAAGCCTACCAAGACTGAATCACAAATAAAGAAAAAATATCGGCAAACCAGCTGGGCATGGTGGCTCCCAGCTGTAATCCCAGCACTTTTGGAGTGCACTGCATTGCACTCCAGCCTGGGGGCCAAGAGCGAGTCTTCTCAAAAAAAAAGAAAGTAGGGGTAAACCTATAACTAGTAAGAACATTAAATTACTAATTAAAATCCTTTCAACAAAGAAATACCCCTGACTGGATGGTTTTACCAGTCAATTCTACCAGACATTTAACGAAAATTAATGCCAGTCCTTTGCAAACTCTTTCAAAAACTTGAAGAGGAGGAAATACTTTCTAACTCATTCTATGAGGCCAGCATTGCCTTGATGCTAGGGCCAGACAAAGGCACTACATGAAAACAACTGACCAATATTACTTATGAACATTGGTTAAAAAATTCTTAAGAAAACACTGCCAAACTGACTGGGCACAGTGGCTCATGCTGGTAATCCCAGCACTTTGGGAGGTTAAGGCAGGTGGATCACTTGAGCTCAAGTTCAAGACCAGCTGGGCGTGGTGGCCCACGCCTGTAATCTCAGCACTTTGGGAGGCCGAGGCGGGTGGATCACGAGGTCAGGAGATTGAGACCACGGTGAAACCCCGTCTCTACTAAAAAGTATAAAAAAATTAGCCGGGCACGGTGGCAGACACCTGTAGTCCCAGCTACTCAGGAGGCTGAGGCAGGAGAATGGCATGAACCCGGGAGGGGCAGTTTGCAGTGAGCCAAGATCGTACCACTGCACTCCTGCCTGGGTGACAGAGCGAGACTCCGTCTCAAAAAAAAAAAAAAAAAATTGAGTTCAAGACCAGCCTGTGCAACATAGCGAAACCCCATCTCTACCTAAAATACAAAAATTAGCTGGGTGTGGTGTTACACACCTGTGGTTCCAGCTACTTGGGAGGCTGAGGTGAAAGGATCTGGGAAGTTGAGGCTGCAGTGAGACTGGGGTGATCAGGCTGGATAATCCTCTCTCCCTGTTCCCCTCATTTGGCTGCTCCAGACCCTGAGAAACTTCTACCTGTCCCATGCCAGCTGAGGGTGTCTGAGGAGCTGACATCAACCCCATGGATCTCCTGAACTGTGCTGGAAGGTAGAGACAGGCAGGGAGGCTTCCCAATGGGTCAGGAGAACCTGACCCCACAAATCAACTGATCTTCAAGAGACAGGATGGAGGGAGGGATCATTCTAGAGAACCCTGCTCCTTGTTCCTCCCTGTGGCAAAATCTGGCGCCAGGAAGAGTTTGAGTGTGTAGGCGTGTGTGTGCAGGTGTAAGTGTGCAGGCACGTGTGTGCAGGTGTGTATGTACAGCCGTGTGTGCACGCATGTGTGTGCAGGTGTATGTGTGTAGGTGTGCGTGTGCAGGCATGTGTGTGTAGGTGTGCATCTGCAGGTGTGTATGTACAGACGTGTGTACAGGCATGTGTGTGCAGGTGTGCATGTGCAAGGTGTGTGTTTGCAGGCATGCATGTGCAGGTGTGCGTGTGCAGGCATGTGTGTGCAGGTGTGTATGTTCATAATGGCCCTAACGCCCAAGCTGGAAAGTTGTGGATTTACGGGAATGAGGGCAAGAAACACCTGGCCCGCCCAGGGCGGAAAACCGCTTAAAGGCATTCTTAAGCCACAAATAATAACATGAGCGCTCTGTGTCTTAAGGGCGTGTTCCTGCTGCAGTTAACTAACCCAACCTATTCCTTTAATTCAGCCCATCCCTTCGTTTCCCATAAGGGATACTTTTAGTTAGTTGAATATCTCTAGAAACAATGCTAATGACTGGTTTGCTGTTAATAAATATGTGGGTAAATCTCTGTTTGGGGCTCTCAGCTCTGAAGGCTGTGAGATCCCTGATTTCCCACTTCACGCCTCTATATTTTTGTGTGTGTGTCTTTAATTCCTATAGTGCCGCTGGGTTAGGGTCTCCCCAACCATGCTGGTCTC
Organism: Homo sapiens; assembly: GCF_000001405.40. Lineage (NCBI taxonomy): Eukaryota > Metazoa > Chordata > Mammalia > Primates > Hominidae > Homo > Homo sapiens. The sequence goes on from NC_000007.14 coordinate 66,663,400, forward strand.
AGCACTGGTCTCTACTGAAAATACCATAATTGGCTGGGCGTGGTGGTGGGCGCCTGTAATCCCAGCCACTTGGGAGGCTGAGGCAGGAGAATCACTTGAACCTGGGAGGTGGAGGTTGAAGTGAGCTGAGATCACGCCACTGCACTCCAGCCTGGCGACAGAGCAAAACTCCTTCTCACAAAAAAATAAAACTAGTGTGGGGGAGGGGGGAGGGATAGCATTGGGAGATATACCTAATGCTAGATGACAAGTTAGTGGGTGCAGCGCACCAGCATGGCACATGTATACATATGTAACTAACCTGCACATTGTGCACATATACCCTAAAACTTAAAGTATAATAATAAATAAATAAAAATAAAAAAATAAAAATAAATAAAACTAGTGTGAATCGCTGGGCATGGTGGCTCACGCCTGTAATCCCAGCACTTTGGGAGGCCAAGGTGAGTGGATCACCTAAGGGCAGGACTTCAAAACCAGCCTGGGCAACAATGTGAAACCTCATCTCTACTAAAACTACAAAAATTAGCCAGGCATGGTGGTGTGCACCTGTAGTCCCAGCTACTTGGGAAGCTGAGGTGGGAGAATTGCTTGAACCCGGGAGGTGGAGGTTGCAGTGAGCCAAGATTGTGCTACTGCACTCGAGCCTGGGTGACAGTGAGACTTCGTCTCAAAAAGAAAAAAAAAAAAAAAAAAGCTAACATGAAATGCTGCAGCAGTTTTGAGTAAAATAAGGAGTGAAAAGAGTTCACAAGATTGATCCACAGAAAGGTCATCGGTGAACCTGAAGAGTTTTGGTGGAATGGGGTGACAGAAACCAGGTTGGAGGACATGAAGGAGGAAAGTAGTAAGTGAAATGTGTAAACAGTGAACACAGGCAACTCTTAAAATTACTTTGGGCCAGGCGCAGTGACTGACACCTGTAATCCCAGCACTTTGGGAGGCCGAGGCGGGCAGATTACTTGAGGTCAGGAGTTCAAGACCAGCCTGGACAATATAGCAAGACCTCATCTCTACAGAAGTTTTTTGTTTTTTTTTTTTTAATTAGTCAAGGGTAGTGGAGTGCCCCTGTAGTCCCAGCTACTCAGGAGGCTGAGGTGGGAGGATTAGCCTCAAACTCCTTGAGCCCAGGAGGTTGAGGCTGCAGTGAGCCATGATTGTGCCACTACACTGCAGCCCGGGCAACAGAACGAGACCGTGTCTCTTAAATTTAAATTAAAATAGAGAGTGGCTCCCTACAGATGGCAACTGCAGCCCCCGCCTCCCCCTGAGCCAGGGCTTTGGGCCCATCTGGCTCCCCTCTGGAGGCCGGCCCATCACGCAGCCAGTGCTGACAGATTGGGTGTCTCCGGTGCGCCGGCGGCTGCCGCTTAAGTAGCTTCCTGTCAGGGAGTCAGGGGTCACCTCATCCCCGCTCTGTTCAAAACAGTACTGACCTCTTCGGGGTGCCTCCCACGCCTGTCTACTGCACGAGCATGTGTTTAGTGTCAACTCTGCGATCCAGACCCTGCCTGGTGACTCTTGGGGGAGCAGCTTCAGGAGCCCGTGGCCCCCACGGCAGGTGGCTTCTAGGCCAGAGGGGCAGGGTTCCTGCGCTCATGAGCTGGCGAGTCTCGCCATGTGCATCCACTGTATGCCACACAGACAGGGACCATGTATGTCCCGAGTGCCGGCTTCTTGGTTCCACTGTCTAGAGTCAGGCCCCTGGCTCTGGGCCTCGGCTCTGGGCAAGTCCTTGTTCTCAGAATTCTTGTTTTTTTTTTTAACTAGAATCTCACTGTGTCACCCAGACTGGAGTGTAGTGGTGCAATCTCGGCTAACTGCAACCTCAACCTCCCAGGCTCAAGCAATCCTCTCACCTCAGCCTCCCTAGTAGCTGGGACTACAGGTGCACACCACTATGCCGTGCTAATTTTTTTTTTTTTGTAGAGGTGGGGTCTCCCTATGTTGCCCAAGCTGATTTCAAACTCCTGTACTCAAGCGATCTTCTCACCTTGGCTTCCCAAAGTACTGGGATGACAGACGTGAGCCACTGCACCTGGCCTAGAATTTTTCTTAACTTCAAGCAGTGTGTCCTGCTGGGGGATGGGATGAGCTAGAAACTGTGGTCCCATGGGGTCAGCAAGGTTTGGAAATGATCACAGGGGTTCCCAGGCCAACCTCACCACCTCTGAGCTGAGTGACCCTGGGCGAGTCAGTTCCCTTCCCTGGGACTCAGTCTTCTCCTTTGAAGAAAGGGTACAAGAGAATCTAGAACATCGTAGGACTTCGGCAAATGTCGGTCCCTTTCCCCCACACTCCAAAGGTGACGTTCCCTGAGACATCTTAGTCTGGGCAAGTGTGTTGTTGTAGCTTGGGGGGTGGCCTGGTCCCTTGGCCTGTCCTGCTCAGCCAGCAGCCCTTGGCTGGCTCAGTATGGGAGGTTCAGACACGGTCTCAGTTCTTGACAAGCTCCTAGCCAGAGGAAAGGCGATTTCATTCCGGTGTGATGAGCACTAGTAGAAGAGATGTTAGAACGGAGGGACTGCACGGACCAGGTGGAGGTCAAGGAAGGCTTCTTGGAGGTGACATAGGAGCTGGCCTGCGAGGCTGAGTGGGAATATTTTGGGTGGAAAGACCACGGAACAAGCATTTCCGACAGAGGAAGCAGCTATTGAAGAGGGAAGGTGGTTGTGTGCTGGGGAAACCTATGTGGTTCTCCATGGTCATAACAGGATGCCTGGGGCGTGGGGGGCAGAATGTCAGCCGGCAAAGTGGGGACCGGAGTACCCGGGAAGCTGGGATGAAGGAGCCTCCTCTGCAGGTAGGGACAGGGCCCTCTGAAGCCGGGGAGGGGACGGGGAAATGGGGAAGGGACCACAGTGGAGTCTCTCCAGTTGTGCTTAGAGACCACCTGCCTTCATATCACCCGAGGAGTCCCAAAATGCAGATTCCAGGGCCTGGGGCTCCACCATCCCAGCTCTGTTGGTTGCAAAAAACCTGGGAGGGAAGAGAGACAGCCCCCTCTTAGCCTAGTCAGGGCCTGGTGCAGTTTGGGGACTGTTTGCTGAGGGCAACTGAGGCCGAAGTGAGCCAGGCGGGCCCTAGGGTGCCCACCGCACACCCCCTCTGTGCCAGGCTCCCAGCTCAGGGTATTGGTGGGCACTCCAGTGATGTTTCCTGGCAGGGAGAGGGCTCGTTTCTTGCCTCCTTCTGAGGCAAGTAGGGGCAGATGTTGAGCCTCTGGGGTCCCTGGCCCAAGGCTGCAGGTCCTGGCTGCTCACAGCCGGCGGGTGGAGCCCTGTCTGGCCAACACCCTTGCTCTTTATCTATGTCTCAGCAAGGGAAGGTACCCAGGTTAGTGTCCAGCTGGGTGGGCGTCCAGGCTTTGGCAGCAGTGCCAGCCTCCCATCCGGCCCTGGAGATGGTCCCCTGAGTTCCAGGGCTCCTTGGAGAGGTCAGGATGGGCAGAAATTTGCAGGGGCAGGGAGCTGGCACTGGGGTTGGGGAAGCCTTGGGCAGACACAGCCTCTCCACCACAGTAGGGAGCTGGCCTCAGGCAGCAAGGCACTGCAGGTGCCCCAGAGACACAGGCTGAACCCCAGACCAGTTGAGCCAGGGTGGGAAATCATATGTCCACTCCAGACAGCCCTGGGGCTCTGAATTTGCATTTGGGAGCATGCAATTGTCTCCTCCAAGGCTCTGGTGGAGGGGATTTGAAATAATCCCAGCCCAGGGAGGGTGGAGCATAGGGACAGGGCCCAGAGAGGGTCCAAGGGCACCACAGGAGGTTTGCCACCTGAGCCCGGGGATCAGGAAGGGCTTGGCCAGTGCTGAGCACCCTTAGTGCCTGGCACGGGCTGAGACTCAGGGGCCGGCCATGCCTCTCCTGAAGCAGTCCCTGTTGGTGGGCAGGCAGGTGGGGTGGGCTGGGGGCTGTGCACAGCCACTCATATCTTCCCCGTTACTTCATCCATTTTGTTCCCGCTGATCCCTTGTTTATCTCACTGGGAATGCAGCCTCGGTGGAAGATGGGGCCAAGGGAAAGTCCAGAGCCTGGGCCATCTCCAGCCTCACTCACCCTCCTCCCTCACCTGGTCCCTGGGCTGAGGATCATGGCCCGGCCTGAGAACCCCCAAGGCAGCATGCAGAGGCCGGGTCTGCACCGAGCCCTGACACTGACAGGCTGTGTGACGACGACTGACAACTAACCCTCTCTGGTTTTACTTTCTGTAAGTGACTTGGGAGGTTGTTCTGAATGACCTTTGAAAGGGATGAAAAATTGGTATTAATAAGCCTGTCATTTCATAAGCATCTACTCTGTGTCCAGCCCTGTGCAGGTCCCTGGAGTCTCCTCTCACCGAATGCTCCCACGTCCCCAAGAAGTTCCATTATCCCATTTTACTTATTTATTTATTTGTTTATTTATTTATGTTTGAGATGGAGTCTTGCTCTGTCGCCCAGGCTGGAGTGCAATGGTGCAATCTCGGCTCACTGCAACCTCTACCTCCCGGGTTCAAGTGATTCTCCTGCATCAGCCTCCCTAGTAGCTGGAATTATAGGCACATGCCACCACGCCTGGCTGATTTTTGTATTTTTAGTAGAGACAGGGTTTCACCATGTTGGGAAGGCTGGTCTCGAACTTCTGACCTCAGGTGATCTACCGGCCTTGGCCTCCCAAATTGCTAGGATTACAGGTGTCAGCCACCGCGCCTGGCCCCATTTTACTTATTTTTAGAGACAGGGTTTTGCTCTGTCACCCAAGCTGGAGTACAGTGGTGCAAATATAGCTCACTGCAACCTTGAACTCCTGGACTCAAGTAATCCTCCTGCCTCAGCCTACCGAGTAGCTGGGACCATACACCACCATGCCCGGCTAATTGTTTAATTTTTTTGTTTTTAGAAATGGGGTCTGGCTATGTTGCCCAGGCTGATCTCGAACTCCTGGCCTCTAGCCATCCTTCTACCTCAGCCTCCGAAAGCGTTGGGATTACAGCCGTGAGCCACCATGCCCAGCCCCACTATCCTATTTTAGACATGAGACTGAGAGAATGGCCGGGAGTCCCTCCAGCTGGCATCTTGCAACTTGAATTGCTGAGGTTTCAGGTGCAGGGGTGTCCCCAGATGGTTGTGGAGATGGAGACCAGGTTGGAGAAGACCCTCTGGAGAGGGGGGGATTGGCATAGGAAGTGAGGGCTATTGTGGGCCGGGGGTGAAAGCCCAGCAGGGCCAGTGTGGGAGAACGTCACTTAGGAAGCTACCAGAAAGATATGCCAGACTCCTGCCAGGCCTTGTCACTGCAGAGCCCCTGGCAAGAGAGGGACATTTGTGGACCCTGGAGGCTTGCGTGGGATGGGCCTTAATCCCCACTTTCTTCCCTGGAAGATCACCTCTTAGGCAGAGCAGTGGGCGCAGATGCCATGGCGGGAAGCAGGCCTTTCTGAATTCTTAGCAGCGATCTCCAGGGGCACTCTAACCTTGCAAGAAAGAGGCTGCCAGTCTTGCATCAGATGCAGAAACCAGGGCGCAGAGTAGGTGAGTAATCTGCTTAGAGCCACACAGCTGTGAGTAGCAGATCCAAGTGCAACCTGCCTGTCCCAGGAGCTTGCGGGCTAGCTAGACCTTTGCTGCCTAGAAGACCCTCTTGTGAGTCCCCTCCCTGGGCTCAGCAACCCGGGAGGGCATGACTTCTGGCTGGGTCTTAGGGCTGGAGCCTTGGTGTCCTCTTGTCTTCTTTCCTTGTGTGACTTGGTTTTCCAGTCTGTGAAATGCGGTGGGTGCATCCAACTCCAAGCCTGTCTCTGCCCTGGGTCCTGGAGCCTGGAGGACGAATGAGGTCATGTTTTTCTAGGAGCTAGAGCATCTTGGATGGAGAAACCTCGGCAAAGACAAAGGCCCATTGTCCCCCTTCCCCGGCCTTCTGCCAGCTCCCTCCCCAGTCACCAGAGGAGGCCAGCCCTGCCCACCCCACAGCCCCCAGAGGCTGCCAGGCGCCAATATGGGGTAACTCAGCGCCCCCTCCCTTGCCATTGGTTGACGATGCCTGGAATCCCACCATCAGAGCTTTGTTAAGGTTGCTGTGGGATGGGTGGCAGGGAGGCAGCAAAAGACAAGAAGGTGGTGGGGACCTCTGGCTTGTGGATTTCATAATCAGACCTTTATGGTGGGCTTGGGTAGGAGATCAGGCAATACTAAATAATAATAAAAACAAATTTCACACTTGCTTTTCAGTAGCTTTGGCATGAAACCTTTATAAGCATTATCTCAATGAGGCCCACAGAGCTCTGTCAGTCATTAGCCAGGCAGGACAAATAACAGCTTGAACATAATGCGTCCAAAAGTCAACTCTTGGTTCCTTCCCCAGCCTGCCCCTCCTGTGACTTCCCCGTCTCGGGAAATGGCACCATCATCATCTACCTGGTGGCTCCGGCCAGAAAACAGGGAGGCATCTTTGGATCATCTCACCCTCACCACCCACACCCGGGCCACCACCAAGACTCTTCAATTCTACCTCCAAAATAAATCCCTACCCCACTTCCCTCTGTTCTCGTTGCCACCCCTGTGTCAAGCCATCACCAGCTTGGCCCTGGAGGCCAGCACAGCCTCCTTCCCGCCTCCCTGCCTCCTCTCTACCCCCAACAGCCAGAATAACTTGCAGAAAATGTAAATCAGGCCCCATCTCATTCTCCTTCTTAAACCGCCCCTTTCCCCAAGGGCTTCCTATTGCATTTGCACCAAAATCGACACCCCCCAAATAGCTCTGAGGTTCACCATGACCTGGTGCTGCCTCACCTCCTCCAATTTCACTGTCCCCTAGTTCTTTTCCCCTGGAATCTGTGTGTTTGCATAAGCTGTTCCCTTTGCCTGGATGCTCTTCCCTGCAATTCTTTCCCCACTGGTCCCTTCTCATACTTTAGGTCTCAGCTGGGAGCTTACTTAAACTTTTTTGTTTGAGATGGAGTCTCATGCTGTCACCCAGGCTGGGTGACATAGTACCTAGAAGAGGAGATGACATATTGATGGAATTTAATAAATGGGCTTATTGAATGAGATGATTTTTTTTTTTTTTTTTTTTTTTTTTTTTTTGGCTAGAGGACACAAAGACAGCCAGAGAAATTCCAAATAACACACACTGGCTGGATGAAATTGCTTCAGTGATAGATATTTAAACAATTTTTATTTTTAGCTGGGCGCGGTGGCTCACACCTGTAATCCAAGCACTTTGGGAGGCCAAGGCGGGTGGATCTCTTGAGGCCAGGGGTTCAAGACCAGCTCACTACAGCATGATGAAACCCCATCTCTACTAAAAATACAAAAGTTAGCTGGGTGTGGTGGCTCGCGCCTGTAATCCCAGCTACTCAGGAAGCTGAGATAGGAGAATCGCTTGAACCCGGGAAGCAGAGGTTGCAGTGAGCCGAGATGGCGCCACTACACTCCAGCCTGGGTGATAGAGCAAGATTCCGTCTCAAAAAACAAAACAAAATTTTATTTTTATTTATTTAATACACATACGTATACACACACACACACACACACACACACACACATATGTGCTCTGATGCACTGGAGCTTCCACTGGTCTTACTTAATGTGTGTGATACTCTCATTATTTATGTATCTATATATATCTATATCTATATTTATATATATATATAGAGAGAGAGATAGAGAGATGGGATCTTGCTGTGTTGCCCAGACTGTCTCAAGCTCCTGGCCTTGGGCAATCTTCCCACCTTGGCCTCCCAAAATGCTGGTATTACAGTATTTAATTTTTAGGTGTTTTTTGTTTTTTCGGGGGCTGCATTTTTGGAGATAGGGTCTTGCTATGTTGCCCCGGGTGGAATGTAGTGGCTGTTCACCAGTGCCATCATAGCTCACTGCATCCTTAAACTCCTGGCTCAAGCAGTCTTCTCCCCTCAGCCTCCTGAATAGCTGGGACTACAGGCATGTGCCACCACACCTGGCTATCCTACGCAATATGAGACCAGGAAGTTGTCATCTGTGTGGAGAGGAATAAGTGTAATCCCACATAGGGGGGTAGTCTAAAACAACATGGAGAGTACCTTTAGACCTGGATTTCGGGGCTCAGCCTTGCCATGGGAAGGAGGCATGGTGTGTAGCAGTGGTTACCAGACTTCTTTCAGTAGTTTAAAGCAATAAAAAAAAGATGAAAGACTGATATAGTGTTGTTCTCCTTTAATTTTGCCAAGGAAAGTCTTTTTTAAAAAACCTCTGTTGTTCCTGTCACTTAACACTAAAACGTGGAAAAACACAATGTCAACAACAGGAAAATAGCAGCCAGGCGTGGTGGCACTTATCTATAGTCACAGCTACTTGTGAGGCTGAGGTGGGAGGATTGGTTGAGCCCAGGAGTTGGAGTCTGCAGTGAGCCATGATCCTACCACTGTGCTCCAGCCAGGGCAACAGAGTGAGACTGTCTTTTTTTTTTTTTTTTTTGAGTCAGCATCTTGCTGCACTGCCCAAGCTGAGTGCAGTGGCATGAGCACAACTCACTACAGCCTTGACCTCCGAGGTGCAAGCAATCCTCCTGCCTCAGCTTCCCAAGTAGCTGGGAATAGAGGTGCACACCACCACGCCTGGCTAATTTTTGATTTTTTGTAGGAATGAGGTTTCAGTATGTTGGCCAGGATGTTCTTGAACTCCTGGACTCAAGTGATCCTCCTGCCTCAGACTCCCAAAGTGCTGGGATTATAGGCTGTGTCCGGCTGAGACTCTGTCTGTTAAAAAATAAAAAAAAACCTGGCCGGGCACGGTGGCTCACGCCTGTAATCCCAGCACTTTGGGAGGCCGAGGCAGGCGGATCACAAGGTCAAGAGATTGAGACCATCCTGGCTAACGTGGTGAAACCCCATCTCTACTAAAAATACAAAAAAAAAAAAAAAATTAGCCGGGCGCGGTGGCGGGCACCTGTAGTCCCAGCTACTCAGGAGGCTGAGGCAGGAGAATGGTGTGAACCTGGGAGGCGGAGCTTGCAGTGAGCCGAGATCGTGCCACTGCACTCCAGCCTGGGAGACAGAGCGAGACTCCATCTCAAACAAACAAACAAAAAAACAAAACAAAACCTTTCCCAAGAAAGGACTTCTGACAGTCTTACATGTAAACAATTTAAAGACTTTATGTCTCAGGTTCCATGTTTGTGAAATGAGAAATAATTATAGCTGCTGCACAGGCTTGTCAAAGAGGATTATATAAAGAGCCTTGGTGTGACCCCTAGCCATGTCCTTTTCAGAGTACGTGGCTGGAACTCTTAGCTCCTTCAGTCTGACATTGGAGATGACTAGAGACCTTGAACCAAGTGCCCAGGAGGCAGAAACTCTCCAACCACTACATCTCTGTGCTGGCCTCCAAGAAGGATTGCCCACATTGTGGGAAAGATCATTTTTATTCTCAGAAAGGAGCCCCTGGTCAGATAACTTGCTTGGAAGCATCTGGGTTTCCCCAGTGGGCTATCAGCTGCCTCCAATGCTGAGAAAACAAAGTGTCACATCGCTCTGCAGAACTATAAAAAGATGTTTGTTTGCGGGCTGTTTGGGGAAGGAAAGTGCCGGCCCCAGCTAGCAGCTCCCACAGCACCCTTAGCTGGGCCTTGCCCCAGGGTTTTGTTTTTCAGAGCTCACCAAGGTGTGCTGAAGATCTAGAAGGGATTTTGGGGAGGGGCTCTGGGTTTGACTTGAGGTGGATGTGCCCATGCTCAGGTGGCCACAGCTAGAGAGTGACAGCGCCAGGCAAGGGCATGGCAGAAAGCAGGAGATGGCGACATTCTTACTTTGGCTGATGAGCTCCTGTGACCTATGATTCATCAGCAGCAGATGAAGTTGTTGAATGACTCAGATAAAATAGGTGGTTCAGGGCATTTCGTAGGGTGCATTTCTTACTATACAGCTTATGTATCCCTAGCATCCACCGTGAAGGCTGCTTGGGCCTCAATCTGGGGTCGTTCCCCATTGTCATTAGCTTGCTGCACTCTGGTCTAAATGCTTCTGCTGAAGCTGGACCATCGTGGATGTGGGTGTAGAGTCAGTCATGGCTGGATCTGAGCCTCTGGCAGCGGTGGCTACTTGAGCAAGCATGTTCCTGAACCTGTCTGGGCCCCACTTGAGCCTCATTTATGACATAGAGATAAGATAGCACACACCCCCAATGTCATTGAGAGGATTACATGGGATAACCCATGAATAGTGGCTGGCATGGAGTAATACTTAGCGAGTGTTAGCTGGTGTTGTATTAGGTCATAGACTAAGCTGTTATTGAGGTAGCAGCATTATCTTGGGGTTTACTCACTGTCTTCCGCACGTACGGGTGATGTATCTGATTACTCTGAGCACTAAATAATCTAAAAAGCTGGTGGCTTGCACCTATGGTCCCAGTTATTCGGGAGGCTGAGGCAAGAGGACACTTGAGCCCAGGAGTTAGAGGCTGCAGTGAGCTATGATTGCACCACTGCCCTCCAGCCTGGGTGACAGAACGAGATCCTATCTCTTAAAAAAGAAGAAAAAAAATCTGAAAAGTGAATTAGAAGGACTGAATTTTTATTTTAAGAAAATGCAATATGTGATTTTATTCAGCCCTGGAACGAGTTCGTTCAGATATTATGGTTAGGCATTTTACCTGCTCTGCATAGCTACAGAATAATACTAGTGGCAAGGATGGGGAACACCTAGAACTCTTCTGCATTGCTGTTGGGAATGTAAAATGCTGCAACCACTTTGTTAACCACGCGCTTACCCTATGACTGAACTATTCTACGCCTAGTACTTACTCGGAAGAAATTTGTGCTTGTGTCCACTAAAGGCTTTTTTTTTTTTTTTGTGATGGAGTCTCACACTGTCACCCAGACTGGAGTGTAGTGGTATGATCTCAGCTCACTGCAACTTCCACTTCCCAGGTTGAAGCAGTTCCCCTGCCTCAGCCTCCTGAGTAGATGGGATTACAGGCACCCACCACCACACCTGGCTGATTTTTTTTTTAAGTAGAGATGGAGTTTCACCGTTTTGGCTAGGCTGGTCTTGAACTCCTGAGCTCAGGTGATCCACCCACTTCGGCCTCCGAAAGAGCTGGGATCACAGGTGTGAGCCACTGCGCCCGTCCTAAAGGTCTTACATAGGAATGTTCATCCCAGCTTTACTCATAATAGCCCAAAACTGGAAACAACCCGAATGTCCATCAACAAGACAACAGGTATTCATGCAAGGGTATACTTACATAATAAATAATAATAAATAATAAAAACAAACTACTGGTACACACAATATGGTGGATAAATTTCAAAAACATGTTGAAGGAAAGAAGCCAAGTACAAAAGAGAACATACTATATAATTCTATTTATATAAATTTCAAGAAAAGGCAAAACTCATCTTTACTGATCTAGGAGAAGTTAGAGTGGTTGCTTCCGTAGGGATTAACTGGGAAGTGACATGAGGAACCTTAAGGAATGGAAAAGTTTCATCTTGATCTAGGTGGTGGTTGGACGGGAATATTCATACTTATAAAAATTGAACTGTACAGTTAATATGTGTATATTTGTTGACTATTTCACCTCAATTATAAAACTATATATATATATATATAAAGGGCTAGATGTCATATTTTTCCATTACACTTACATATACCTAATATTATACCTAATAATAGTAATTATAGTTGCCTACTGATAACAACTAATAACACTTATTGAAGCCCTACTCTGTGCCAGCGATTTTCTAATCACTTAATTCCCTAATACATTATGAGGTTTTATTATTTTCTCCAATTTTACAGACAGGGAAATTGAGGCATGGAGAGGTTAAGTTTATTTACCCAGTGTAACACAGCTGGCAGTCTGGTTTCGAGACCAGCCTGGCCAAGATGGTGAAACTCTGTCTCTGCTAAAAATACAAAAATTAGCCAGGCGTGGTGGCAGGAGCCTGTCATCCCAGCTATTCGGGGGGCCGAGGCAGGAGAATCGCTTGAACCTGGGAGGCGGAGGTTGCAGTGAGCCAAGATCACACCATCGCACTCCAGCCTGGGGGACAGGAGTGAGACTTTGTCTCAAAAAAAAGAAACAAACAAAAAAAACCCCAAAAAACTCCCCACAGCTAATATACTCAGTGGTGAAAGACTGGAAGCTTTTCCATTAAAATCATGAACAAGACAAGGATACCAATTTGTGCCAATTTTATTCAACATAGCATTGGAAGTTCTAGTCAGGACAATTCAGCAAGACAAATTTAAAAGATTCAGATCGGAAAGGAAGAAATAAAATTTTTCATGAACGATGTGGTCTTATGTGTAGAAAACCGTAAGGATCCAGCATAGACGAAAACTGTTAGAACTAATAAATTCAGCAATGTAATAGGATGCAAAATCAACACACACAAAAATTAGTTGCATTTTTGCACACAAACAGTGAACATCCCAAAAGGGAAATTAAGAACATTTCATGTATGACAGCATGAAAAAGTATAAAATACTTTAGGGTAAATTTAACCAAGGAGGTCAAAGACTTCTACACTGAAAACTGCAAACCATTGCTGAAAGTAATCAAAGAAGACAAATAAATGGAAAGACATGTCATGTAACTTGGGTTGTTAATTAGTTAAGTTTTAAGAGCTCTCGATATATCCTGGATAACAATCCCTTATCAAATATGTGATTTTCAGGCCAGGCATGGTGGCTCAAGCCTCTAATCCCAGCACTTTGGGAGGCCGTGGCAGACAGATCATTGAGGTCACGAGTTTGAGACCAGCCTGGCCAACATGGCAAAACCTCATCTCCACTAAAAATACAAAAATTAGCCAGGAGTGGTGGCCCGTGAATTGCTTGAACCCAGGAGGCAGAGGTTGCAGTGAGCCAAGATTGTGCCACATCACTCCAGCCTGGGTGACAGAGCGAGACTTCGTTTCAAAAAATATATATATATATACTTGATTTGCAAATAGAATCATCTGTCGGTATACACAGAGGATTTGTTCCAGGATGCCCACATATACCAAAATCCTCACATACTCAAGCATATTCAAGTCCTGCAGTCAGCCCTGCAGAACCCCTGCTTATAAAAAGTTAGCCCTCCACATATGTGGGTTTCACATTGGGCAAATAATGTATTTTCAATCCGTATTTGGTTAAATAAATCCATGTATGAGTGGACCTACGCAGTTCGGACCTGTGTTGTTCAAGGGTGAACTGTATTCTCTCTCCCCCATTCTGGGGATTGCCTTTTTATTCTGAGACAGGGTCTCATTCTGTCGCCCAGGCTGGAGTGCAGTGGTGTAATCCTAGCTCACTGCAACCTGGAACTGCTGGGCTCAAGCGATTCTGCCACCTCAGCCTCCCAAGTAGCTGGCAAGCTCCACCATGCCCAGCTAAGTTTTTAAAAAATTGTTTGCATGGAGGGGGTTCTCACTATGTTGCCCAGGCTGGTTTCAAACTCCTGGCTTCAAGCCTAGCTCCCACCTCCGCCTGTCAAAGTGCTGGGATTAGCGGCATAAGCCATCACACCTGGTCCGTGAATAGTGTCCCTTGATGCACAAAAGTTAAAAAACTACTGATGAAGTCCAACTTGTCTATTTTCTTTTATTGCCTGTCCGTTTGGTTTCATAGCCAAGAAATCATTGCCAAATCCAAAGTCATGAAGCTTTACCTCCAGGTTTTCTTCTAAGAGTTTTGTATTTTTCATGCTTACATTTAGGTTTTTGATTTATTTTTGAATTAAGTTTTGTAGATGGTGATAGGTAAGGATCTAACTTCATTCTTTTACATTAAATTTTATGTCATGTACATTTTACCACAATACAAATCTAATTTAAAAATTTAATACTCTTGTGATAAAAAGAAATCTAACAAACTAGGAATAGCATGTAACTTCCTCAACATGATAAAGGCCACGCCTGAAAAATCTACAGTTAACATCATACTCAATGGTGAAAAACTAGAAGCTTTTCCACTAAGGCCGGAAACAAAGGTAGGAGGATAACTTGAGGCCATAAGTTTGAGACCAGCTTAGACAACAAAGTGAGACCCCTATCTCTATAAAAAATAAGAAATCAGAAACAAGACAAGTACCAACCTGATGGTACTTTTCTCTGTTTATAGAAATCTACAGGCTGGGCATGGTGGCTCAAGCCTGTAATCCCAGCACTTTGGGAGGCCGAGGCGGGCGGATCACAAGGTCAGGAGATCGAGACCATCCTGGCTAACATGGTGAAACCCTGTCTCTACTAAAAATACAAAAAATTAGCTGGGCTTGGTGGCGGGTGCCTGTAGTCCCAGCTACTCGGGAGGCTGAGGCAGGAGAATGGCGTGAACCCGGGAGGGGGAGAATGCAGTGAGCTGAGATCACGCCACTGCACTCCAGCCTGGGTGACAAAGCAAGACTCCGTCTCAAAAAAAAAAAAAAAAAAAGAAATCTACAAAGGAATGCCGGGTTTGGTGGCTCAAGCACTTTGGGAGGCTGAAGCTGGTGGATTGTTTGAGTCCAGGAGTTTGAGACCAGCCTGGCAACATGGCAAAACCTTGTCTCTATGAAAAATACAAAAATTAGCCAGGCGTGGTGGCGTGCACCTGTAGTCCCAGCTACTTGGGGGGCTGAGGCAAGACATCTCTTGAACCTGGGAGGTTGAAGCTGTAGTGAGCCAAGATTGTGACACTGCACTCCAGTCTGGGTGACAAAGACCCTGTCTCGAAAAAAAAAAGAAACCTACAAAGGAAAATCCATGCTACTAAGCAAGTTCATAAAATTTAGTCTCAACATCTAATAGCCCACAGAAAAAGGTATGGCCCTTGCATTCTCCATCTACCCATGAGATGCCTTCTTCCTCAAGGCAATTCTCTTTCCCCTGCCCCTCCCATCCTGCTGGTATTTTTAGACCAAAATATTTGGGGAGAAGAGAAAAGGTAATCCAGTAGGCCGGGCGCGGTGGCTCACGCCTGTAATTCCAGCACTTTGGGAGGCCGAGGTGGGCGGATCACGAGGTCAGGAGATTGAGACCATCCTGGCTAACACGGTGAAACCCTGTTTCTACTAAAAATACAAAAAATTAGCCGGGCGTGGTGGCAGGCGCCTGTAGTCCCAGCTACTCTGGAGGCTGAGGCAGGAGAATGGCGAGAACCCAGGAAGCGGAGCTTGCAGTGAGCCGAGATGGCGCCACTGCACTCTAGCCTGGGTGACAGAGTGAGAGTCCGTCTCAAAAAAAAAAAAAAAAAAAAGAAAAGGTAATCCAGTGGACCCAGGGAGGGAGAGGGATGAAGAGACAAGACAATGTGGCAATGTGGAAACTCAGACATTTTATTTATTTTATTTTTATTTGCTGTAGAGATGAGGTCTCACCATGTTGCCCGGGCTGGTTTCAAACTCCTGGCCCCAGGCAGTCCTCCCACAGGGAAACTCAGACATTGTAATAACTGCTGGCAAGCATGGACAAAGGAAATTCATAAACACACCTAGATTAACAGTCATTTTAATACTGAGGTAGTCAGTGTTTTCACAGAATTACAGGTAAAGATGGTAACCACGTTTTCATTCCTGAGTTAAACAAGAAAGTACTCACGTGGCATGATAAAGAATCCCTCCTCTAAACCAATAACCAACATCAAAATTAGCAGTGGAATCATAAAGTCATGTGTGATAGATGTTTCCATTAATGTCCCAGTAAGTCAGACTTTCCAGCATCCGTGCTCTTGCTAGTTCCCTCCCATATTGACGTTGGTTTGGCTTTTGCTTTGCCTTTTGACCTCTTCTACATCCCCTCATTCACTCTGCTACTGCTAAACAGGTTAGCGGTGTCAGAAGGGTCTTCCCTCTATCTGTTCGGTGCCTGGAACATTCTTGCCCAGATATTTGCATAGGAGCACAGCTGGCTCCCTCATCTTTTATTCAGGTCACCTCACGAGGCCACTCCTGTCTATTTTAAAGCTGCAAGCTTCTTGGTTGCAGTTTTTTTTTCTTTTTGAGACAGGGTCTTGCTCTGTCACCCAGGCTGGAGTGCAGTGGCATGATCACGGCTCACTGCAGCCTCAACCCCCCAGGCTCATGTGATCCTACCACTTTGGCCTCCAGAGTAGCTGGGACTACAGGTATAGGCCACCACGCCTGGCTAATGTTTGTATTTTTAGTAGAGGTGGGGTTTCACCACCAGAGGTGGGGTTGCCCAGGCTGGTCTCAAACTCCTGACCTCAGGTGATCAGCCCGCCTCGGCCTCCCAAAGTGCTGGGATTACAGGTGTGAGCCACCACACCCAGCCAGTCCTCTTTGTCTTAACCTTCACAAGGAAACTTTGAAATGATACCCACTTTTTGTTACTGCTTTCCTCAGGCCTTTTCTGTCTTTAAAACCAACCTCTTCTGCTCAGCTTATTGAACGCTCATTGTGGGGCCAGGGGCCTAAACTCATGCCTGTAATCCCAGCACTTTGGGAGGCCAGGGTTGGCAGATTGCTTGAGTCCAGGACTTCGAGACCAGCCAGGGCGACATGGCAAAACCTTGTCTCTACAAAAAAAACTAGCTCTACCCCAAAAACTAGCTGAGTGTGGTGGCACACACCTACCATCCCAGCTACTGGGGAGGCTGAGGCAAAAGGATCACTTTAGCCAGGGAGTTGGAGGCAGGAGTGTGCTGAGATTGCAATACTGTGCTCCAGCCTGGGCAACAGTGAGACCATATCTCAAAAAAAGAGGAAACACTCATTCTGTTTCACAGAATGGTTTAGAGAATGGTGTGTTGCCTGATTCTATGATCACAAGTCAGTTAAGATCTTTAAAGTAAATATTATTGTCTTTTGGTAATAGCAATTATCACCATGTAATGTACTACTTTAAATTTATTGTTTATTGGCTCCTCCACCTCCTCAGCACAGGTACTTTGTGTTTGTTTTCTCATTTTTTTTTTTTGAGACAGAGTTTCGCTCTTGTTGCCCAAGCTGGAGTGCAATGTCGTGATCTCGGCTCACTGCAACCTGTTTCCTGGGTTCAAGTGATTCTCCTGCCTCAACCTCCCAAGTAGCTGGGATTACAGGCATGTGCCACCACGCCCAGCTAATTTTGTATTTTTAGTAGAGACAGGGTTTCTCTCTGTTGGTTCTGCTGGTCTCTAACTACTGACCTCAGGTGATCCGCCCGCCTCTGCCTCCCAAAGTGCTGGGATTACAGGCGTGAGCCACCGCACCCAGCCATACTTTTGTTTTATACTCTGTTGTACCCTCAGCCTAGCACACATTAGGCACCTAGGAAGAATTTGAGAAACGAATCAATTAATCTCCACTTTACCAATAATGAGCAAGAACAGAAATTAGGGCCGGGCGCGGTGGCTCACGCCTGTAATCCCAGCATTTTGGGAGACCAAGGCAGGTGGATGATTTGAGGTCAGGAGTACTAGACTAGACTGGCCAATATGATGAAACCCTGTCTCTAGTAAAAATACAAAAATTAGCCGGGTGCGGAGGCTCACACCTGTAATCCTAGCACTTTGGAAGGCCAAGGCGGGCGGATCACTTGAGGTCACGATTCCAAACCAGCCTGGCCAACATGGTGAAACCCCGTCTCGACTAAAAATACGAAAAAATTAGCTGGGCATGGTGGCGGGCGCCTATAATTCCGGCTACTCGAGAGGCTGAGGTGGGAGAATCGCTTGAACCTAGGAGGCGGAGTTTGCAGTGAGCCGAGATCACACCACTGCACTCCACTCTGGGTGACAGAGCGCGACTGTCTCAAAAAAGAAAAAAAGAAGACTGAAAAATTGGGCAACCTGTCCAAGAACACCACAGCGACAATTAGCAAAGCTGGGATTCCAACCCAGGTCTATCTAAGAGCCACAGCATTGTATTTTCTTTTCTTTCTTTCTGTGACTGCACCTTTCACCATAGATGGCATCCAGGACTCAGAGCAATCAGCATGTAGCTACTGTTTTTAATATTCCTTACATGGGAATCACATAAAGAAAGTAAACAGTATCCAATTTGTGACTCAACCATTCATACTTTGTGACACTGGTTAATTATTTCACTTCTGGGTCTCAGTTACGCTTTTTTTTTTTTTTTTTCTTTTTGAGACAGGGTCTCGCTCTGCTCTGTCACCCGGGCTGGAGTTCAGTGGAGGGATCTCTGCACCCTCAACTTCCTGGGCTATCAAGCGATCCTCCCACCTCAGCCTCCCCAGTAGTTGGGACCACAGGTGCCCGCCATCATGCCCGGCTGATTTGTAAAATTTCTTTTGTAGAGATGGGGGCTCTCCCTCTGTGGCCCAGGGTGGTCTCGAACTCCTGGCCTCAAGCGATCCTCCTGCCTGGGCCTCCTAAAGATTCAGCTGCTTTTGGATCAAACGATTGGCTTAAGACCCTTTAACTCGAACACCTGTCACATCCTAGGATCCGCGAAGGACTGAAACAGAGTTTCTGAAGCGTCCCTCGGCGCAGTGGCTCCGCTCCACCTCCCATTCGCGCTTCCACCGTGGCCTCGGCTCCAGGAGTCGCCGCGGTGCCGGCGTCGCCCTCCCGCTGCTGCGCATCGGGAGCCGGAAGTAGGGACTGAGCCACAGACTAGGAAACGTTGGTTTCTCCGGGGCTCCCCAGCGCCCCAGCTTTAGCGCGGAGGCTACCCTCTTCTATTTGCTCTTGGGCGTCAGAGCGGCACCCTACTCTGTGTAAGCCTTTGGATCCCGCTCGCACTTCCTCCCGTCATCAGCCAAAGGCCCCGGAAGTGATGTTTGCGCGCCGTGCGTTACGGGCGTGCGCTGGCGGTGCCGGGGGGGCGGGGCAAGCAGGGGGTGTGTGTGAGGCTGGAGCGGACTGGGGAACCCAGACCTGCCGAGCGACGTGGGCGAGCGGTGACCTGGACCACGGCGCAGACGCGGGCGAGCTGCGGCTCGGACGCCAGCGGACACGCGGGCGAGGTACGGAGTGGACGGACTGGGGCTAAGAGCTGCGCGGCGGGGCATCTTGGGCCGGGGGTGGCGGGGCTGTTGGTCCGTGACGTCCGCGCGGCCGGGACAGTTGCGCGTCGGTGCCTCCCGCTGTCCTTCTTCCCATATTCTGGCCCCGTCAGCGCCGCCTGCCCCGTTTCAGGCCGCCCTCGGTTCCCTTAATCCTCACAGTGCGCGGCCTCTCCGTCCAACGTGCTCGTTGCCGGCATCTCCAGCGCCCGGCCGTGCCCCGACGGCCTGACCTGGATCACTTCCTGGCCGCCTCCCTGTCCGGCGGCTCCCCTCGGTCCGGCTCCCACTTCCCCGTCCAGGATGCTGGCTCCGAAGCAACATCTGTGGTCGCGCGGGACCCATCCCAGGACCTCCCCGGAACGCGCCGGGATGGGACGCTCGGACCCAGACCACAGCCCCCGGCCGCGGCAGGGCGCCGGGATTTGATCCCGCGTCGCCCTGGGGGGACAGAAGCGTCCCGGAGTTGGGAGGGGATTTGAAGCCTATGGTCCTGACTTCCACCCCGTGGCTGAGGGCGAGGCTGCGGGGCCGGGGTTAGGAGCAGAAGTCCCTATTTCCGAACCGTCTGGGAGGAGAGCCGGGGGATGCCCATCACGGCAGTTTAGGGAGAGAGAGGGAAGGACTCTGCCGCTTTGGAGGCTAGGTCATAGGCAGCTGGCGGTGTCTCAGCGCGAGTGACCAATCCTTGTGGTTGGGAAATGTGTCGTGGGCGTCCGTGGGCTCGTTTTGCCTTTGAGATTAAATAGGAAATTTTCCCAGGACGAGTTTACCGGAGCACCTTGGGAGTTGGTTTTTGGCTTGGAGAGCTACTTTCCCCTCTCTAAATCTAAAACTGCTTTGTTTTTCCTTATTATTTTTTTCGAGATGGGATCTCACAATGTTACCCAGGCAGGTGTCAAACTCCTGGCCTTAAGCGATCCTCCCGCCTCGGCCTCCCAGAGTGCTGGGATTAGAGACGTGAGCCATTGCGCGGCTTTAACTGCTGTTAGTCTGTTCCTTAAAATTGTTGTACCAGGAAACTTGCCAGAGATGCAAGAAGATGTGATTATATTGTTAACATTTAATGATAAATAACATTTTGCTTTTAAGAGTTACTGATTCATATCCTCAAGATTAAGAAATGTTCAGGATATGAATATTTAATGACCTTTCCAATCAGTCAGTTTCTGCTCTCTAGAAGTTAGCCAGTTGAGGAGAAGGGACAGTCAAGATACTTTCAGAACAGTGTGGTAAGGAGTGTGAGCTAAGATGGAGCACCGAGGAAGGAGCCGGGCATTTAGGCCATGCTGTTGGGTGTGGAGCCTGGAAGGGATCGGGGAATACTTTCTGCATGTGTCTTGAAGAATGAGTAACATTCAGACTAACAGGGTGGAGTGAGGGAGAGGGGGGAACCAAAGGAGGGGAGGCCAGTAACTACAAGGAGGTGCTTATTTATTTATTTATTTATTTATTTATTGAGAGAGAGGGTCTCACTTTGTCACCCAGGCTGGAGTACAGTGACACGATCACGAGTCACTGAAGTCTCAACTGCCTGGGCTCAAGTGAACCTCCCACCTCAACCTCCCGAGTAGCTGAGACTGCAAATGGGTGCCGCCACACCCAGCTGATTTTTAAAGATTTTGTAAAGATGTTGTCTTGCTGCGTTGCCCACGCTGGTCTTGAATTCCTGGACTCAAGCCATTCTCCCGCCTCAAGTGTCCCAATGTGCTGAAATTACAGGCATCGGCTCCCGAGCCTGGAGGGTGGTTATTAAAGAGAAAAAGTACAGGACAGAGATACAGGAGCTTAGGCTTTAATCTGATGGTGACAGAACCAGGGAAGGGTTTTTAGCTGGGTCCTTATGTGGTTAAAATGGGTCTCCCTGGCTAGCTGCGGTGGCTTATGCCTGTAATCCCAGCACTTTGGGAGGCCGAGGCGGTTGGATCACGAGGTCAGGAGTTCAAGACCAGCCTGACCAACATGGTGAAACCCCGTCTCTACTAAAAACACAAAAATTAGATGGGCATGATGGCGCCTACCTGTAATCCTAGCTACTCAGGAGGCTGAGGCAGGAGAATTACTTGAACCCAGGAGGCGGAGGTTGTCTGAACCGAGGTTGCACCAGTGCACTCCAGCCTGGGCAACAGTGCAAGACTTCGTCTCAAACAAAACAAAACAAAACAAAACAAAAACAAGAAAAGGTCTCTATCTGTCGTCCAGGTTGGAATGCAATGGCAGGAACACAGCTAACTGCAACCTCTACCACCCAGGCTTAAGTGATTCTCTTGTCTCAGCCTCCCAAGTAGCTGGGAACACAGGCTTCCCACCTAGTAATTTAGCCTGATTGGCTAAATTTTTTGTTTGTTTGTTTTTGATACTGAGTCTCACTCTGTCAGCCAGGCTGGAGTGCAGTGGCCTGATCTTGGCTCACTGCAAGCTCCGCCTCCAGGGTTCATGCCATTCTCCTGCTTCAGTCTCCCGAGTAGCTGGGACTGCAGGCACCCGCCACCATGCCTGGCTAATTTTTTGTATTTTTAGTAGGGACGGGGGTTTCACCATGTTAGCCAGGATGGTCTCGATCTCCTGACCTCGTGGTCTGCCCGCTTCGGCCTTCCAAAGTGTTGGGATTACAGGCGTGAGCCACTGTATCTGGCCTAAATTTTTTTGTAGAGATGGAATCCCTATATGTTTCCCAGGGTGGTCTCCAACCCCTGGCCTCAAGTGATTCTCTAGCCTTGGACTCCCAAAGTGTTGGGATTACAAACATGAGCCACTGCACCCGGCCTTAAAATGGAATTTTATGTAGCTCTTACGTACAGGCTGCTATATAGCTGATAAGGACAAATGTTTTCAGTATAGTGCTGGATTATTTGCTTTTTTTTTTTTTTTTTTTTGAGATGGAGTCTTGCTCTGTCGCTGGGCTAGAGTGCAGTGGTTTGATCTTGGCCACTACAACCTCCACCTCCTGGGTTCAAGTGATTCGCCTGCCTCAGCCTTCTGAGTACCTGGGAATATAGGCACTCGCCACCATGCCCAGCTAATTACTTCTGTCTTGTATTTTAATCTTCTCTGCTCTTTAGATGTTTGAAGTGAGGCCAGGCATGTTGGCTCACGCCTGTAATCCCAGCACTTTCGGAGGCCAAGGTGGGAGAATCACTTGAGGCTAGGAGTTGGAGACCAGCCTGGGCAACATAGCAAGACTGCATCTCTACAAAAAAAAAGAAAAGATTCTTGAAGTGAATGTATACTCATTTCCTGGTTGTTTCTTTCTGTAAGGATGTCTGACCCAGCTAATTTGTAAACAGGAATTCTGCACTCATTTCTGTTTTTGCATTCTCAACCCCAGTTGGGCACACAAGTGTTTAATGAGTATTTAACTGATTTGATAAGAATAAATTCATTGATTTCTTTGATTTTTGTTGCTGGTTTTCAGTGAACAAAATGTTACCAGTACTTACTCATTGTGATGTCTACATATACAACTAAGATTCTGTTTACCTATGTCAGTCTCTGGCTAGAGACATAGAATTTCAGTCTTGACTGTGTGAGTTTAATTTCTGGCACGTGGGGTTTTATTGGCTGCAGAGCAAACATCTCTAGCAGAGATGACCTATCCCTCAAATGTAGGAAATACCTGTGTAAACCTAACACCTGTGACTCAGAATAGAAATGGTACCAAGTGGCTTCTTAGCCCATCAGTGAAGTTACCGCATTATAGGCCAGGTGCGGTGGCTCACGCCTGTAATCCCAACACTTTGGGAAGCTGAGGTGGGCAGATCACTTAAGGCCAGGAGTTAGAGACCAGCCTGGATCAAGACTGCGAAACCCCGTCTCTACTAAAATACAGAAAACTTAGCCAGGCATGGTGGTGTGTGCCTGTGATCTCAGCTACTCGGGAGTCTGAGGCACAAGAATCTCTTGAACCCAGTAGGTGGAGGTTGCAATGAGCCGAGATTGTGCCACTGCACTCCATCCTGGGCAACAAAGTGAGACTCTGTCTCAAAAAAAAAAAAAAAAAAGTGATCACACTAAAACCAAAAGTTTCAGGCTGGTGCAGTGGCTTATGCCTATAATACCAGTGCTTTCGGAGGCCAAAGTGGGAGGATCGCTTGAGTCCGGAAGTTCCAGGCTGCAGTGAGCTGTGATCAAGCCACTGCACTACAGCCTGCGTGACAGAGTGATACCCTGTCTCCATAAAAAGAAGTTTCATAGTACAGGCCGAACATTTTGAAAATCTTATTAAATATACACTTTTATCATAGAGCACTGTAGAAACGTGTGTTATTTCACATGGCTGAAGTGAGTTTAAATAATCTAGACTGTTGTTATAATACGTAAACATGTGAAACAACAGCTATCCTATTTAATACTATTTAACTTATGTTTATTTGTTTGATGTTGGATAAAGCTCCTAAAATGCTGTAGGAAAACATTATAGTTTTTGGTGCTGTTTTCAAGTTTCCTGTGAAATTCCTGTTTTCAATGAAGTGACTGTCAGTGGGATAGGAAGTCTAATTTTTATTTATAGTAGAACTTTTTTTTCTTTTTCTTTTTTTTTTTGAGATGGAGTCTTCCCCTGTTGCCCAGGCTATAGTGCAGTGGCGCGATCTCGGCTCACTGCAAGCTCCGCCTCCCGGGTTCAAGCCATTCTCCTGCCTCAGCCTCCCGAGTAGCTGGGAGTACAGGCACCCACCACCACGCCTGGCAAATTTTTTATATTTTTAGTAGAGACGGGGTTTCACTGTGTTAGCCAGGATGGTCTCGATCTCCTGACCTCGTGATCTGCCAGCCTCAGCCTCCCAAAGTGCTGAGATTACGAGCCACCACGCCCGGCTTTTTTTTTTTTTTTTTTTTTTCTTTTTTTGAGACGGAGTCTTGCTCTGTTGCTCAGGCTGGAGTGCAGTTGCTCGATCTTGGCTCACTGCAACCTCTGCCTCCCAAGTTCAAGCAGTCCTCCTGCCTCGGCCCCCCAGTAGGTGGGATTACAGGCATGCACCACCATGCCTTGCTAAGTTTTTGTATTTTTAGTAGAGATGGGGTTTTGCCTTGTTGGCCAGGTCAGTCTCAAACTCCTGAACTGAGGTGATCCATCCTCCTCGGCCTCCCAGAGTGCTGAGATTGCAGGCATGAGCCACCGCGCCCAGCCCTTATCTTGGATTTCCAGACTCCATAACCAAGAGAAGTAAATTTCTGTTGTTTAAGCCAAAAAAAAAAAAAAAAGAAAGAAAAAAGAAAAGAAGAAGAAGAATATAGGCTATGAGTGGTGGCATGTTCCTGCAGTCCAAGCTACTCAGGCAGTTGAGGTGGGAGGATCTCTTGAGCCCAGGAGAGATTGGTAGAATGTATTAAATGAATAGGTGGATGACAGAGCCTTGGGAAATGTAAAAAAATTAGTTAAATAAAATAAAACATGATCCATCTATATACTGTCTATAAATACAGACTTACTTTAGATACAAAGACACAATGAGATTGAAAACAAAAGAATGAAGAAATGAATTCCATGCAAAAAGTAACCAAATGAGGCCAGGCTTAGTGACTCATGCCTGTAATCCCAGCACTCTGGGAGGCTGAGGCGGGCAGATCCCTTGAGGTCGGGAGTTCAAGACCAGCCTGACCAACATGGAGAAACCCTGTCTGTACTAAAAATACAAAATTAGCCAGGCGTGGTGGTGCATGCCTGTAATCCCAGCTACACGGTAGGCTGAGGCAGGAGAATCGCTTGAACCCAGGAGGCAGAGGTTGCAGTGAGCTGAGATCGTGTTATTGCACTCCAGCCTGGGCAACAAGAGTGAAACTCTGTGTCAAAAAAAAAAAAAAAAAAAAAAGTAACCAAATGACATCAGGAGTGGCCATATGTTAGGCAAAATAGGTTTTAAGCCAACAATGGTTATGAGAGACAAGGGAATTCTATACTGATGAAAAGTTTAATCCAACAAGAAGATATAACAATTTAAACATATATGCACCTAACAACAGAGCACCAAAACATATGAAGCAAGAAAGGGTAGAATTGAAGGGAAAAGAAGAGTTTCACAGTGATCATTGGTGACCTCACTACCTCAACTTTATAACAATCAGAGACCAGATCAATAGGAAAGAGAGCACTTGAACAACATGATAATCCAACTAGATCTAATGGACATTTACAGATACCCACCCAACAACAGCAAAATACACATTCTTTTCAAGAGCATGTGGGACATTGTCCAGAGTATATAGTGTATTAGGCTGCAAAACAAGTATTAATGTTTTAAAAGATTGAAAGTATCCAAAGTGCTAAGTATTTTATAATCGTCATGGAATGAAACTAGACATCAGTAACCAGCAAAACTCGAAAACTCACAAATATATGGAAAGTAAACACACTCTTAAACAATCACTGGTTGAAGATGAAATCATACAGGAAATTAGAAAACACTTTGAGATGAATAAAAATGAAAACACAACATACCAGAATTTATGGGATGCAGTTAAAGCAGTGCTCAGAGGGAAATGTATAGCTGTAAGCATCTACCTTTAAAAATAAGAAAGCCAGGAGTGGTGGCTCATGTCAACATCCCAGCATTTTGGGAGGCCGAAGCGGGAGGATCACCTGAGGTCAGGAGTTCAAGACCAGTCTAACCAACATGGCAAAAGCCCATTGCTACTAAAAATACAAAAATTAGCCAGGCATGGTGGTGCAGGCCTGTAATCCCAGCTACTTGGGAGGCTGGGGCAGGAGAATTCCTTGAACCTGGGAGAGGGAGGTTGCAGTGAGCCGAGATTGCACCACTGCATTCCAGCCTGGGTGACAGAGTGAGACTCCATCTCAAAAAATAAATAAAAATAAAAATTAAAAGAAAGCTCTCAAATCAGTCACCTAACTATACACTTTAAAGGATCTAGAAAAGAAGAGCTAAACCCAAGCTAGCAGAATACGGGAAACAAAGATTACAGTGAAAATAAATAAAGAATAGGAAAAGAAGAGAATAGGTAGAATTAAAACTTTTTTACAGGTCAGCAAAATCGACAAGTTTTTAGCTAGATTTACTAAGAAAAAAAAAAGAAAACTCAAATAGCCAAAATCAGAATGAAAATGAGGACATTACTGTAACTTTACAGTAATTAAAGTGATTATAAGAGAATACTATAAACATAGGTACAGCAGCAAATTGAATAACCAAATGAAATGGCAAATCTCTAGAAACACAAAACCTACCAAGACTAAATCACAAATAAATAAAAAATATGGGTAAACTGGCCGGGCAAGGTGGCTCACGCCTATAATCCCAGCACTTTGGGAGGCCGAGGTGGGCAGATCACCTGAGGTCAGGAGTTAGAGACCAGCCTGGCCAACATGGTGAAATCCTGTCTCTACTAAAAATGTAAAAAATAGTTGGGCATGGTGGTAGGCACCTGCAATCCCAGCAACTCGGAGGCTGAGGCAGGAGAATCACTTGAACCCGGGAGGCGGAGGTTGCAGTGAACCGAGATTGCACCATTGCACTCCAGCCTGGGGGATGAGAGCAAGACTTCGTCTCAAAAAAAAAAAAAAGAAAATAGGGGTAAACCTATAACTAGTAAGAAGATTAAATTGCTAATTAAAATCCTCCCAACAAAGAAATACCCCTCACTGGGTGGCTTTACCAGTGACTTCTACCAGACATTTAAAGGAAAATTAATGCCAGTTTTTTGCAAACTCTTTCAAAAACTTGAAGAGGAGGAAATACTTTCTAACTCATTCTATGAGGCCAGCATTGCATTGATAACTAGAGCCAGACAAAGGCACTACAAGAAAACAACTGATCAATATTGTTTATAAACATTGATAAAAAATTCTTTTTTTTTTTTTTTTTTTGAGACGGAGTCTCGCTGTGTCGCCCAGGCTGGAGTGCAGTGGTGCGATCTTGGCTCACTGCAACCTCTGCCTCCCAGGTTCAACCAGTTCTCTGCCTCAGCCTCCCAAGTAGCTGGGATTATAGGCAAGTGCCACCACACCCGGCTAATTTTTGTATTTTTAGTAGAGATGGGGTTTCACCGTCTTGGCCAGGCTGGTCTTGAACTCCTGACCTCGTGATCCACCTGCCTTGGCCTCCCAAAGTGCTGGGATTACAGGCGTGAGCCATCGCGCCCGGCCTGATAAAAAATTCTTAAGTAAACACTGCCAAACTGGCTGGTCACAGTGGCTCATGCTGGTAATCCCAGCACTTTGGGAGGCCAAGGCAGGTGGATCACTTGAGCTCAAGAGTTCAAGACCAGCCTGGGCAACATAGTGAAACCCCATCTCTACCTAAAATACAAAAATTAGCTGGGTGTGGTGTTACATGCCTGTGGTTCCAGCTACTTGGGAGGCTGAGGTGAAAGGATCTGGGAAGTTGAGGCTGCAGTGGGCCATGATTGCATCTCTGCACTGCAGCCTGGGTGACAGAGCAAGACATCATCTTATAAAATAAATAAATAAATATTTTAAAAAATTAAATTTACAAAAAGAGAAAACACTGCCAAATTGAACTTAGAATGTTATTAAAAGGATTGTATAAGGCCAGGTGCGGTGCCTCACCCCTAAAATTCCAGCACTTTGGGAGGCTGAGGAAGGTGGGTCACTTGAGATCAGGGGTTGGAGACCAGCCTGGCCAACATGGTGAAACTCTGTCTCTACTAAAAATACAAAAAAAAAAAATTAGCCGAGTGTGGTGGGGAGCGCCTATAATCCCAGCTGCTTCGGAGGCTGGGGCATGAGAATCGCCGGAACCGGGGAGGCAGGGGTTGCAGTGAGCCGTGATCGTGCCACTGCACTCCAGCCTGGACGACAAAGCGAGCCTCCATCTCAAAAAAACAAAAAGAAAATGACAACACCAAATGTTGCAGAGGATATGGATTAGTGAAAAGTCTCATATATTGTTGGTGGAACTGTAAACTAGTAGCAACCACACTGACAGACAGTTTGACAGTTTCTTAAAGAGTTAGTTGTACACCTCCCATACCGTACATAATTCTATATATTCCTAGGCATTTACTCAAGAGAAATTAAAAATATACATCTACACAAAGACTTGAACACAAGTATTCAAAGCAGCTTTATTCCTAAAAGTACAAAACTGTACACAGCCCAGATGTCTGTACCCAGAAGAGTGGAAAATAAATGATGGTATATCCATATAGTGGGATAGTACTCAGAACAAAATATATGTAGAATCATGAATGAGTGTCAAAAAATATGCTGAGTGAAAAAAATTGGACCCAAAAAACATATACACATGGTCTGTGACTTACAATGGTTTGACTTGGGATTTTTTCAACTTTATGATAGAACAAAAGCAATATGCATTCAGTAGAAACTGTACTTCAAGTACCCATAAAACCCTCCTGTTTTTCAATTTCAGTAGCGTATCCAATAAATTACATGAGAAATTCAACATTTTATTACAAAATAGGGTTTGTGTTCAATAATTTTGCCAAACTGAAGGCTAATGTAAGTGTTCTGAGCATGTTTAAGACAGGCTAAGCTAAGGCTTGGCACCGTGGCTCACACCTGTAATCCCAACACTTTGGGAGACTGAGGCGGGAGGATCACTTGAGCCCAGGAGATCAAGACCAGCCTGAGCAATGTAGCAAGATCCCATTTCTACAAAATTAAAAAAAAAAATTAGTAAAGTGTGCTGGCACGCATCTGTAGTCCCAGCTACTGTGGAGGCTGAGGTGAGAGGATCACTTGAGGCCAGGAGGTTGAGACTGCAGTGAGCCATGATGGTGCCACTGCACTCCAGCTTGAGCGACAAAGCAAGACCCTGTTTTCTTAAAAAACAAACAAACAAACAAATAAATAAATAAATAAAAGTGTATAAATTTGTTTCATTTCTGCAGTTGCACTAGTTACATTTCTAGCACTCGGTAGCTCTACCGGCTGCCATACTGAACAATCTGCATTGGCAGATTAAGAAGTTTCATCATCACAGAAAGTTCAACTGGGCAGTGCTGTTTCGGAAGGTCCCTTGGGCACTGGGCCTCTGCTGCTCATTAGCGGACCCTTTCTTTGTTGGCTTTTTTTCCTTTCCCTGCCTCCCTCTCTTACCCATGCTTCCTGGCATCTCCTCCCATGTAAAAGTTCTGCACCTACAGCATTGTCTTAAGGTAAGAAGAACCTCAGCGAGTGCATTGAGTGATATTGGTGTGAGGTGGGGGCAGCTGGGGTGGCTCCAAGGCACAGTGGCCCTGCCAGCTGTTCCCACCCAAAACCATCACCATGAAGGAGCTGAGGGACTGTGTTCCTGCCGTCACCTCTCCAAAAGTGACAGGTAAAGGGATGGGCAGAGATTGCACAGGAAGGTCAACAATCCTGAGATCTGGGGCCGAGCAGTCCAGCCCCTCCAGTTCTAAGTGGTGGGACTGGGGAGTCAGAGGCCCTGGTCATCCCTTCCCCACCCGCCTCCCACCTAAAGCTCCCACCCACCCCTCTCTGCAGCCAAGCACTGATGTCCTACATCCCCCTGAGCCTAGGATGGGAACTCCCTCCTAAGGAACCTCCACATTCCCAAGGAGGACATGGAGACTCCAAAAAAGGAAGTGATTCCACAGAGTCCACACAGCTGCTGAGAAGTCAGCTGGCTCCTGGCACCTACATCCTGGCTGGACCCTACCCCCCAGGCTTGAGGGCTGAGGCAAGGATCATGGGAGTTTCAGGTAATACCAGGCTCAAGGCCCCCCATGCCGGAAGGGGCTGGCACCTCCCTGCTGGGGATCTTTTCTAGAGGCCCAGGCCCTCCTAGCGGGGGAAAAAAGCAGTGAGCCGGCTGGTCCCGTGGCCTTCACTCAGCTGAAAGGCACGTCGTTCTAGAAGCCCTGAGCGGGCTTCTTCATGGACAGAGCATTTGGCACAGTGACAGGGTGTAAGGGGGAGATTCGGGGACAGGGTATTTGGAACATCTCACCCTTCACCCTCACATTCCCTCCCTCCCTTGAGTGTCCAGAGCCGGGCTGAATGGGTGGCAATTGGAGACTTCACAGTCATGTATGTTTCCACCCCCCAGGGCACCATCAAAAGTAAATTAACATTTTTTCCATTTCCCCTTTATTGCAAACACGTTGAATACTGTTGCACAAACTCCGTCTCTCCCCTGGCTTCCTTACTCCCTGGTTTCCTGGCCTGGGCTTCCAGGGCAGGCCTGGCTCAGGGTGAGAAGGTAGGTCTCATGCCCCTCCCTGGGCTCCAAGACCCTGCTGCCCCCAGAGACACAGCCAAGTGTCTGGTCCCCTGACTACTCCTCCTCCCCTCCCTCGGCTGCCAGCCCTCCTGGCTCCCAGGCCCTCACCCACCCTGCCCTCTCCCATGGAGTTAAGAATCCTGGAGGAGCAAAAGTTTTCCACACTTACCAGTGCTCAGAAACATTGAGAACTTGGACCTGCTAGGGCCCAGGGCTGGGAGTGCAGCCTGGACTCAGATGGCACCATTTCAGGAGGGTCCCGAGAGAGAGGACTACGACCCTCAGGGAATCATTCATTCATTATTCATGCATTCTTTCATTTGTTCAGTAAACTCTTTCCTTTTTTTTCTTTTTTTTTTTTTTGAGACAGGGTCTCACTCTGTCACCCAGGCTGGAGTGCAGTGGCGAGATCTCGGCTCACCGTAACCTCCGCCTCTGGGGCTCAAGCGATTCTCCTGCCTCATCCACCAGAGTAGTTGGGATTACAAGAACGTTCCACTACGTTTGGTTAATTTTTTGTATTTTTAGTAGAGACGGGGTTTCACCATGTTGGCCAGGCTGGTCTCGAACTCCTGGCCTCAAGTGATCCACCCATCTGGGCCTCCCACAGTGCTGGGATTACAGGCGTGAGCCACTGCACCCAGCCTTGTTCGGTAAATTCTTGCTCTCCCTCTGCTCCAAGCCTGCAGAGAGAGCAGAAGGATCAGGCACATCCTTGCTCTCAAAGAGGTCCCAATGCAGCGGGGGACACCGTGGGGCAGCGGTGGCATCTGGCATGGTAAGTAAAGGGTGCCACGGGAATGGGAAAGATCCTGGGGAGCTTCACCAAGGAGGAGTCTTTTGACTTGGCAAGGTGGTTTGTGGAATAGTGAAGGAAGGTTCATTACAGGCAGCAGTGATGGTCGGGAGAAGATGGAGCGAGGATCAGTGAGGCACCGTTAGGAGTGATGAACCCGGGGAGTTGGACGGAACATAAGGTCTGGCTGGAAAGGTGGGAAAGGACCAGGCCACAGAGGGCCCGGCGGGGCCTGGAGGGCAGTGGGAAGCCAGCAAAGGGCATTGAGCTAAAGAGGGGCACGGTCAGGTTTGCATGAGAAGGAGTTCATGCAAGCCTTTGGCTCCCTATGGAGAACCAGCTGGAGGGGCAGGGCCCAGGAGCTAGTGACGTGGATGTCACGATACCCCGGCCAAATAGTGTGAGTTTAGGGTGAAGCCAGTGGCAGTAGGGAGAGAATGAAGTCGGAATCTCGTGGATTGGCCTTGGTCTACCAATGGGACAGAGGGTGGAGGGGAGGGGGAGGGCGGAGCCTCCGATGATGCCAGCATCACTCTCTGGGTGCTTTGGTAGGCGTCAGGGCCCTTCTCTCAATGAGGGGAACAACGGGGCTGGGGGATCAGTTAGCCCTGGACTTAGGGGTGTGTGGGCCTGTGGGTCCCCAGGTGGAGGTATCAGCCTGGTTCCGGACATGCTGGCCTGGAGCCCTGTTGAGGACGAGGCTGGTGACCCAGGGAGAGTATGGTGTCAAGCCACAGGGTGGAGGAATGGCTCAGAAAGAGGACCTTGAGGCCCTGGGTGCGGCAGCTCATGCCTGTAATCCCAGCACTTTGGGAGGCCGAGGCGGGCGGATCACTTGAGATCAGAAGGTCAAGACCAGCCTGGCCAACATGGTGAAACCTTGTCTCTACTAAAAAGACAAAGATAAGCCGGGCACGGTGGCGTGCACCAGTAATCCCAGCTACCCAGGAGGCTGAGGTAGGTCAATCACTTGAACCTGGGAGGCGGAGGTTACAGTGAGCTGAAATTGTGCCACAGCACTCCAGCCTGAGCAGCAGAGCGAGACCCTGTCTCAAAAAAAAAAGGACCTCGAGAAAGGGTCTGAGATGAGATCTGAGGGCCACTCACATGAAAGGGATGGGCAAGAGGAGCTCAGAGGAAGGCTCTGGAAGAGAGGCAGGAAGAGAGACCGTCATGGGCAGGGGCTTTGACGCAAGAGGTTCCACAGTGGCTTGGCCCACATGTCAGGGAGGAGGAGCGACCATTCAGTGACAAGAGTTGCTGCAGCCCCTGTCTGTCCATCCATCTGGGGAGGACTGGGGACAAAAGCCAGGCTGGAGAGAGTTTTGGAGAGAGTGGGTCGTGAGAAAGTGAGGGATTAGAAGTGTAGATGACTGGCTGGGCACGGTGGCTCACGCCTATAATCCCAGCACTTTGTAGACAACTGGCCAGGCGCAGTGGCTCACATCTGTAATCCTAGCACTTTGGGAGGCTGAGGCAGGAGGATCACCTGAGGTCAGGAGTTTGAGACCAGCCTGGGCAACATGGTGAAACCCTGTCTTTACTAAAAATACAAAAATTACAGGGGTGTGGTAGCGAACGCCTGTAATTTCAGCTACTCAGGAGGCTGACGCAGGAGTATCACTTACATCTGGGAGTCGGAGGTTGCAGTGAGCTGAGATCGCACCACCGTACTTCAGCGTGGGTAACAAAGCGAGACTGTCTCAAAAAAAAAAAAATAAAGTGTAGATGACTCTTTGAAGCACCTTGGCTGGGGAGAGACAGAGCTGGGTGGGGCTGGACGTGGGCCTTACAAGGGACTTTAAAATATATATATATTTTTTTCTTGAGTCAGGGTCTCACTGTTGCCCAGGTTGGAGTGCAGTGGCACAATCATAGCTCATTGCAGCCTCAAACTCCTGGGCTCAAGCTATCCTCTCGCTTCTGGCCCCCAAGTAGCTGGGATTACAAGTGCCTAACACCATGCCTGGCTAATTTTTATATTTTTGTAGAGACTGGGTTTTACCATGTTGCCCAGGCTAGTCTCAAACTCTAATCTCAAGCAATCTGCCTGCTTCAGCCTCCCAAAGTGCTGGGATTACAGGTGTGAGTCATCCAGTGTGGCCAAGGGACTTTTAAAACTTTTTAAATGAGAGAAAGTGGACCGTGGGGCTGGGCGTGGTGGCTCACGCCTGTAATCCTAGCACTTTGAGAGGCCAAGGGAGGTGGATCACTCGAGGTCAGGAGTTTGAGACCAGCCTGGCCAACATGGTCAAACCCTGTCTCTACTAAAAATACAAAAATTAGCCAGGCATGATGGCGGGTACCTGAATTCCCAGCTATTTGGGAGGCTGAGGCAGGAGGATCACTTGAACCCAGGAGGTGGAGGTTGCGGTGAGTCCAGGTCATGCCATTGCACTCCAGCCTGGGTGACAGGGCGAGACTCCGTCTCAAAAAAAAAAAAAAAAAAAAAAAGAAAAATGGAGCGTGGTCATGTGCTGAGGGCTGGGAAACACTGGCAGGCATGGGAGAGCAAAAGGAAGTCCCTGGGTGAGGTCCCTGTGTTCAGAGCACATCTGGCCCCCCATCTGGTGGATGGTTTCTGAATAAGCAAGTTATTGGGCACAGATGACAGGAGCAGGCCCAGACATGGTGCAGGTTCCCTTGGTGATGGTGGATGCAGGAAGGGGAAGAACAGCTGGCCATGGGGGATGGGGAGCAAGATACATGGGAGTCTCCATGGTGCAGCCAATGTGCGTGGAGCAGAGAGAGGACTGCAGAAGGAGGCACCCCTGACCCCATGCCCCAGGGGACCCTACTGCTGGGCACAGGTCCATCTTCCCTCTGTGTCAACCAGGAAGCACAGTCATGGTGGTGAGGGTGGAGGGGGTGCAGAGCAGGAGTGAGAGGGGCTGGGAAGAACCTCCGTCCAGAAGGCAAGAGGAGGCCTGGGCTCCAGCCCAGCCCTACCTTGGATTCAATAAGAGACCCAGAGCCGACCTCTCTGCCCCAAGAGCCTCTACTTCCCCACCTGGAGAATGGGGCCTCAGCCTCCATGTGCTGTAGGGGGCTTGCAGCGTGGCGTCTCACAAGTCTTGCATTTCAGGCCTGCAGAACACAGAAAAGTCCATACTTGGGGATTCCAGGATCCTGACATTCTATAACATAATTTCTGTGTTGCCACCAGGGATGGGTCAAACCGACGTCTCTCCCTTCACAGTGGCTCTGTCTGCCCATCCCAGCCGCCAGCTCCCCTCCCTTCCCTTCTCCCTGTCAACTCTGGGCACGGCCAGCCTCGAACACATCCCAAGTGAGCACTTGGCAGGCGGGGACCATGATTCATGCCCTTCCAGCAGGCTTCGTGGCTTGCCTGCCTGCCAGAGTAGGCAGGATATTCTTGGCCTCACCATTCACTGAGGATTAGCAGGGCGGGGGTAGCTGGGGCTGGGGGAGGCGCAGACTGTGTTCTCCGGCCTCAGCGAGGTGGGGGGTGTTCATGTTTGAAGTGGCCGCTAGGCTGGCCAGGGAGGGAACATCACCCCATAAACTGAGGTCACGTCTGGGACTCAGCAGAACTGCGGTGGGGCCATCGGAGGAAGGCTGCCACCTGCTTCATGTCCAGGGAAAAAAGGTCCAGGAGTCCGAGAGCAAGTGAGGCTGCTCACCTCAAACCCCTGATCCTATTTCCCTCCATGAGCCTCTTCCTTATTGGGAAGCCCGGCCCTCTCCATCCCCACTACCTAGGCTGGGCCAGGAGTTTGAAGCCAGCTCCCAAACAGCCAAGGAACAGAGAAGTCAGCAGCCTCCAGCCACTCCCTCCCGCTGCCCACCCCAGCTCCCCAAATTCCCCATCACAGCCACGCACCCCCCCCACCCTCAGACCAGTACTTCAGGATAAACCTGGAGCTCCCAGGATAAGGCTGTGCCTCCCGCATTAGACCATCATTTCAGAGCAAGACTATGTCTCCCTAAAACCAAGTGTCCTGAGCCTCACCAGTGCATGCACAGCAAGGCCAGCGTCCCAGGCTAGGGCCATGCCCCTTAGACCATGGTTCCCAGCCAGAGCTCTACCTCCTCCCTCTGATCAGAACCCCCAGGGCAAGGCCTGTCTCCCCATCAGGGGTGACAAGAGAGGACTGGATCATCAAAGTGGGCAGCCCACGAAAGAGAGTCAGAGGAGAGTGCAAGGTCCCCACCCACCATGGGCTCACCTGGGCCCAGAGGAATCCGTTATTTCTAGGTCAGGCGCAAACAGTTCCTTGGTTTGGAGCAGGAGCCCGGGTCTGGACGATGGGTGAGGGGAGGTGATTTTGGAGCAGGGTCTCTGGGCAGGGAGGGGCCAGGTTTGCTCAGGGCAGAGGCAGCAGTTTAGCCTCTGCTGGTGGCAGCTCTCCCCACTCCCTGCAAGGCTGCGGTGATCCCCTGTGAAAATGCATTGTCCCCCTCCTCCAGGGCTCCAAGGTGCTGTCCCCAAGCAGTCATCACCCCAGACCTGGGTCTCTGAGTCTCAGTGTGGGTGGGTCTGACTCTGCCACCCAGGGCTCCAGCTTTGTGTCAGACCCACGGGAGTTTCACTCCTGACTCCACCCTGGTACTCCTCCACCTTTCTAACCTCGGTTTTCCTCATCTGGAAAATGGGGACAGGGACACCTACAGCAGGGGGTTCCATGGTGTGCTCTTTCCCCTTGGCTGGTCACAAGTAACTCCGGTGACTGCAGGGCCAAGGTGCAGGAAGCAACAAAGCTGAGTCCAGCCCGTCCTTCAGTCCCACATGCAGCGCTGGGACCTCTGGGAAGTCACTGAGACAGAGCCGCATGGAGGAGCGGGGAGATATCTGGCTGGCCTTGGGAGGGTTGGCCTTGGTAACCTGTGGGGAGGCGAATTCCAGGCCCCTCTGGGTTTCCTCGTGGGTCCATTCTCTCCCCCGAGCTCTGGCTTGAGCACCTGGCTAGAGCCCCTCTCCAGGGAGAGCTAGGGACCCATGTCCAGCCCAGGAGGAATGGGGGGCACGGGGCATACATTCTTCTTTTTCTGCCTCATTCTCTGTTCCCCTAGACCGGGAGACAAAGGACTGGATTTGAATCCTGTCTTTGCCTTTCACCAGATATAAGGCATTGGGCAAGGTATTGAATCTCTCCAAGCCTCAGTTTTCTCATCTGTAAAATGGGAGTGGCTGGGTGCAGTGGCTCACACCTGTAATCCCAGCACTTTGGGAGGTCGAGGCGGATGGACCACCTGAGGTCGGGAGTTCGAGACCAGCCTGGCCAACGTGGTGAAACCCCGTCTCTACTAAAAATACAAAAAATTAGCCGAGCGTCGTGGCAGGCACCTGTAATCTTAGCTACTCGGGAGGCTGAGGCAGAAGAATCACTTGAACCTGGGAAGAGGAGGTTTTGGTGAGCTGGGATCGTGCCACTGCACTCCAACCTTGGTGACAGAGCAAAATTCCATCTCAAAAAAAAAAAACAAAACTGGTGTGGTAGTGTGCACTTGTAGTCCCAGCTACTCGGGAGGCTGAGGCAGGAGGATCACTTGAACCCAGGAGGTTGAGGCTGCAGTGAGCCAAAGTCATGCCACTCCACTTCAACCTGAGTGACAGAGAGAGACCCTGTCTCAAAAATAAAATAAAAATAAAATGGGAATGATAGCAAACCCAGGGCCATTGGAGAATGACATGGGCTAAGGCAGGAAAGAGCCTGTCCCTGTCAGATGGGAACAGCAAATGTGGGCACAGTTATCTTCATCCTCTCCGGGCTCCTCTGAGGAGCACCCAGAGACCCCAACTCAGGGGAGGCAGTGCAAACCAGGGACCCCCAAGTTCCTGGCCCAGAGCCCCTGCTGGAGAGGGACAAGAGTCCTCAGCCCTGAGCATCACTGAGGCTTGGGTGAAGGGAGGGACGGAGGCCCAGCCAGACCCTGCACATTCCAGCCCTGGTTCATTCTGGATCCAAGCACTGAGATCTCTCCCTACCAGGGCACCCAGCCAAGCCCCACTGCGATGGGGCCAGATCCAGAGGACAGCCCTACTGGGCCGGAGCTTGCTCTCTGCTCAGTCCTTAAAAGTCCATCGGCCTGAGCTCCTCTTTCGCCTTGAAGGGGTCCTGCCTGTGTAGGGTTGCGTTCCTGACATGCCATGGATGAGGGAGTGACTAGAGGTCTCCCCGGAAAGTGTTTGACTCCAGGTCAGATCCTGGGAAAAGGCCACAGCCCCAGGACCTGGAGCCAAGGGACTGAGGGCCAAGCGGGCCCCGGAGGGGGAGGTAGGGGAGGGGAAAGGGGAGTTGGGGGAGGGGACTTAGTAAGAGGGTACAGCTCAATTAGCTGGGACAGTGAGGAGGAGTAAAGGGGCTTAGGGGTGTGGAAGGGAGCTCAATGGAGAAAAGGGGTTCGTGCGTAGCAGGGGGCCCAGGCTTTCCCTCCCTGGTCACACTTCTGCCACTCAGCTCTCTTCACACCACCCACCCTAAGCCGTGCCCTCTGACCTCCCACCTGCCTGGGGCTGACCACTCTGCCTTGTCTCTTTCCATCCAGGGCCTTGGGAACTCCAAGACAGAATGGCCCGAGGCCTGGACACTCTCTGAGGACATCTCTGCAAAGGCCCCAGCGGCCCAGGCCAGTGGGATGCGGGCTGCTGGCCCTGTCCAGACTCTCATACTGTGGGGCAGGGTTGCAGAGGCCCCTCCCTGGGTTTGCTCTGGGGTGGCAGAGAGCCATTGTGAGTCAGTTCAGTGTGGTGGGCAGCGCTGTCTTGCAGCCCAAGGAAGCCGTCCTGGAGGAGGGAGCCTGACCCTCCAGCTGGGCTTGAATGAGGAAGAGGCTAGATAGAGGCCTGGCAGTGGGGCAGGGGTGGGGACTGTTTGTGAGCAGCCGTGTGGCAGGTATGATAGGAAGAAGGACTGGAGGGGTAGACAGGCACTGCCATCCATAGCCTGGAAAGTGTCACCAACAGGGCAGGATTTCATCCGAGAAGTAACAGGGAGGCTGGGCACAGTAGCTCAGGCCTGTAATCTCCACGCTTTCAGAGGCTGAGGCAAGAAGATGGCTTGAGCCCAGGCGCTTGAGACTAGCCTAGGCAACATAGCGAGACCTCCACCTCTGCAAAAAAATTTAAAAAATTAGCCAGGCATGGTGGCGCACACCAGTAGCCCCAGCTACTAGGGAGGCTGAGATGGGAGGATCTGAGCCCAGGAGGTTGAGGCTGCAGGGAGCTGTGATTGTACCAGCACACTCCAGCCTGGAGGACAGAGCGAGACTCTGACTCTTTTTTTTTTTTTTTTTTTAATTTTTTGAGACAGAGTTTCGCCCTTCTTGCCCAGGCTGGAGTGCAATGGTGTAGTCTCAGCTCACTGTAACCTCCACCTCCTGGGTTCAAGCAATTCTCCTGCCTCAGCCACCCAAGTAGCTGGGATTACAGGTGCCTGCCACCACCCCCAGCTAATTTTTGTATTTTTAGTAAATACAAGGTTTCACCATGTTGGCCAGGCTGGTCTTGAACTCACGACCTCAGGGATCCACCCACCTCAGCCTCATTTATATTGATTTGTAGGAGCTATTTATAGATTCTGGATACAAGTTCTTTATCAGATATATGGTTTGTGACTATTTTCTTATAAGTCTGTGGTTTGTTTATTAATTTTTTTATTGATGACTGTTTTTAAAAATTGTGGTTAAGTATACATGACATAAAACGGATCATCTTAACCATTTTCAAATGTAAAATTCAGTGGCATTAAGTACATCCACAATATTGTGCAAATATCATCACTACCATCAACTCAAAAAGGGCAGGGCATCCAATACCCATTAAGCTGTCACTCCCCAATCTCCCATTTTCCCAGCCCTGACAATCACTAATCCACTTTCTGTCTATATGGATTTGCCTATTTGGATATTCATATTAATAGAATCAACAGTAGGTCACTTTTTGTGTTTAGCTTTTTTCACTTGGCATAATGTTTTCAAGGTTCATGCACTTTGCAGAATGTATCAAAATTTCATTCCTCTTTAGGGTTGGATAATATTTCATTGTATGGATAGACCACAATTTGTTTATCCATTCATCCATTGGTGGATATTTGGGTGGCTTCCACCTTCTGGCTATTGTTTTGTTTGTGTGTGTGTGTGTGTGTGTGTGTGTGTGTGTGTGTGTGTGTCAGCTCCTTTAGGGTCTGACTTTTGGGTATTTTGAATAGTACCTCTGTGAACCTTCATCTACAAGTTTTTGTGTGAACTCATGTTTTCAGTTCTCTTGGGTATATATCTAGGAGTGGAAATACTGGGTCACAGGGCAATTCTATGCTTTTTGAGGAGCTGCCACACTGTTTTTCACGGAGGCTGCACCATTTTGGATTCCCACCAGCAACATATGAGAACTCCGATTTCTCCAGACCCTCAACAAAATTTATCTTTCATTTTTTGATTATAGTCATCTTCATGGGTATGAAGTGGTGTCTTATTGTGGTTTTCACTTACATTTCACTAATGATTAATGATGTTGAACAGATTTTCATGTGCTTTTTGCCAATTTGTATTTTTTCCTTATAGAAATGTCTATTCAAGTCTTTTGTCAATATTTTCATTGGGTTGTTTGTCTTTTTGTTGTTCAGTTTTGAGAGTTTTTTATATATTCTGGAAACTAGATCCTTATTAGCAATATGACTTGCAAATATTTTCTGTCATTCTGTAGGGTTTATTTTCACTTTTTTGATAGTGTCTTTTAATGTATCTAAGTTTTTTTGTTTGTTTGTTTTTGAGAAGGAGTCTCGCTCTGTCGCCGCCCAGGCTGGAGGGCAGTGGTGCTATCTCAACTTACTGCAAGCTCTGCCTCCTGGGTTCACTCCATTCTCCTGCCTCAGCCTCCCAAGTAGTTGGGACTATAGGCGCCCGCTACCATGCCTGGCTAATTTTTTTTGTAGTTTTTAGTAGAAATGGGGTTTCACCGTGTTACAGAATGGTCTCATCTCCTGACCTCGTGCCCGCCCGCCTTGGCCTCCCAAAGTGCTGGGATTACAGGTATGAGCCACCGTGCCTGGCCTGTATGTAAGTTTTTTATTTGGATGAAGTTCAACCTATCTATTTTTTCTTTTGTTGCTTGTACTTTTGGTATCATATCTAGAAAATCATTGCCAAATCCCAGGTCTTGGAGATTTACCTCTGTTTTCTTCTAAGAATTCTACAATTTTAGCTCTCACAGTTAGGTCTTTTATCCATTTTGAATTATGATGTCAGGTAAAGATACATGAGGTGGGGTAAAGGTCTAACTTTATTTTTTGGCATGTGGACATCCAGTTGTCTCAGCACCATTTGTTGAAGAGACTATTCTTTCCCCCATTGAATGATCTTGACACCTTTTTCGGAAATCAGTTGACAATAGATGTATTGGCTTTTTTTTTCTGGAACTCTATTTCATTGGTCTATATGTCTGTCCTTATGGCAGTATCATGAGGTCTTAATTACTGTAGCTTTGTAAGTAAGTTTTGAAATTGGGAAATTTGAGTCCTCCAACTTTGTTCTTTTTCAAGACTGTTTTTGGCTGAGATTCATTGCATTTGCATTTGAACTTTAGGATAAACTTGTCCATTTCTGTGAAAAATGGCAGTAGGAATTTTGATAGGGATTGCACTGAATCTGTAGATCATTTTGATGGGTATTGCCATCTTAACAATACTGTTTTCCAGTCTATGAACATGGGACGCTTTCCCATTTATTTAGGCTTTCTTTAATCTCTTTCAACAATGTTGTGTACTTTTCAGCACACAAGTCTTGCACCTCCTTTGTTCAATTTATTCCTAAGTGTTTTATTGATTTTGAAGCTATTGCACATAGAATGGCTTTCTTAATTTTATTTTTGAATTGTTATTGCAAGTGTATAGAACAGAGTTCTTTATTATCCCCATCTGGCACTAGCAAGCCACACTGGGGGCACAAACTGTCACCACCACAGCCACCTCTAAGGTTGACAGTGGGAGACTGTAGGCACTAAGTGAAAAGTTGCAACATTCTCCTAACCAAAATTTAACAGGTTATTTCTTAATTAACCACTCTTTTAGTTGTTGCAGGTTTTTAAAAAAATTTCAGAGTTCCAGAAAACTTGAATCTGACACTTTTTGCCAGCTTAATTATTGCTTTAATGGACTGATGGATTTCTGGAGGTCCTTACTCTGCTATTTTCAGTGACATCACTCTGTATGCCTTATTTTAAAACTGCCTATCTATTTTCCCAAGTGGTTGTATCATTTTACATTCCCACCAGCTACATATGAGGGGTTACAATTAAAATGTTTAAATAGTCGGCCAGGTGCGGTGGCTCACACCTGTAATCCCAGCACTTTGGGAGGCCGAGGCGGGTGGATCACGAGGTCAGGAGATCGAGACCATCCTGGCTAACACTGTGAAACCCCATCTCTACTAAAAATACAAACAAATTAGCCGGGCGTGGTGGTGGGCGCCTGTAGTCCCATCTACTCAGGAGGCTGAAGCAGGAGAATGGTGTGAACCCAGGAGGCGGAGTTTGCAGTGAGCCGAGATTGTGCCACTGCACTCCAGCCTGGGTGACAAAGTGAGACTCCGTCTCAAAAAAAAAAAAAAAAGTTTAAATAACCAACGTGTATCTTCAAGTAATATGCTACTTCATGTGCAGAGAAAACTTTTCACTAGGCCTTGCAGCTGGCCTATATTTAGTTTTTTAAGAAACCACCAAACTGTCTTCCAAAATGGCTATACCAATTTGCATTCCCACCAGCAATAGATGAGGATTCTTGTACATGTTTTGTTACATGTATACCTAAGTATTTCATTTTTGGGAGAGCTGATGTAAATGGGAATGTATTTTTCACTTCAAATTCTATTTGTTCCTTGCTGATATATGGAAAAGCAATAGATGGCCGGGCGCGGTGGCTCATGCCTGTAAACCCAACACTTTGGGAGGCCGAGGCAGGCATATCATTTGAGGTCAGGAGTTCGAAACAAGCTTGGCCAACATGGTAAAACCCCGTCTGTACTAAAAATGCAAAAAATTAGCTGGGTGTGGCAGTGCATGCCTGTCCCAAAAATGAACATTTTAGCTCTCCCAAAAATGAAATCCCACCTACTAGGGAGGCTGAGGCAGGAGAATCACTTGAACCCAGGAGGCAAAGGTTGCAGTGAGCTGAGATTGCACCACTGCACTCCAGCCTGGGCAACAGAGCGAAACTCCATCTCGAAAGAAAGAGAGAGAGAGAGAGAGAGAGAGAGAGAGAGAGAGAGAGAGAGGAGGGGGGAGGGGGAGGAAGCAGAGGAGGAGGAGGAAGAGGAGGAAGAAAAATGGAGAAAAGCAGTAGACTTCTATATATAGCTTTATGTCCTGCAACCTTGCTATAATTGCTTCAATTATCTTTTAGAGCCATCAAAATTAAGAAAGAAAATTATATCTACCTTTTTTATGTTACTTCAAGCACTTTCAGTTTGATAGATACAAGTGTTTTTTTTTTTGTTTTTTTTTGTTTTGTTTTTGAGACGGAGTCTTGCTCTGTTGCCCATGCTGGAGTGCAATGGTGTGATCTCAGCTCACTGCAACCTCCACCTCCTGGGTTCAAACAATTCTCCTGTCTCAGCCTCCTGAGTAACTGAGATTATGGGCACACACCACCACACCCAGCTAATTTTTTTTTTTTTTTTTTTTTTTTTTTTTTTTTTTTTGAGACGGAGTCTCGCTTTGTCGCCCAGGCCGGACTGCGGGCTGCAGTGGCGCAATCTCGGCTCACTGCAAGCTCCGCTTCCCGGGTTCACGCCATTCTCCTGCCTCAGCCTCCCGAGTAGCTGGGACTACAGGCGCCCGCCACCGCGCCCGGCTAATTTTTTGTATTTTTAGTAGAGACGGGGTTTCACCTTGTTAGCCAGGATGGTCTCGATCTCCTGACCTCATGATCCACCCGCCTCGGCCTCGCAAAGTCCTGGGATTATAGACATGAGCCACCGTGCCCGGCCTGTTTATTCATTCATTCTTTTGATGGACGCTTGGGTTGTTTCCATCTTTGGATATTATAAATAAAACTGATATGAACATTTTTATACATGTCTTAGTATGAACATATACTTTCATTTCTCTTATGCGATACCTAGGAATGAAGTGACTAGGTCGTACGATAGGTATGTATTTTAGTTTTTAAAAACCCGCCAAACTGTTTTCCAAAGTGGCTGTACTATTTTGTTTTTAGACGGAGTCTCGCTCCGTCCCCAGGCTGGAGTGCAGTGGTGTGATCTCTGCTTACTGCACCCTTTGCCTCCCGGGTTCAAGCGATTCTCCTGCCTCAGCCTTCTGAGTAGCTGGGACTACAGGTGTGTGCCACCACGCCCGGCTAATTTTTTGTATTTTTAGTAGAGACGGGATTTCACCATGTTAGCCAGGATGGTCTCGATCTCCTGACCTGACCTCATGATCCGCCCGCCTCGGCCTCCCAAAGTGCTAGGATTACAGGTGTGAGCCACCGCGCCTAGCTGACTCAAAATATTTTCTAATTTACCTTATGATTTTTCTAATTTACCTTCTTCTTTGACATACTGGTTTTTTTTTTTTTTTTTTTTTGAGAGGGAGTCTTGCTCTGTCGCCCAGGCTGGACTGCAGTTTCGCGATCTCAGCTCACTGCAAGCTCTGCCTCCCGGGTTCACGCCATTCTCCTGCCTCAGCCTCCCGAGTAGCTGGGACTACAGGCGCCCACGACCACGCCTGGCTAATTTTTTTTTGGTATTTTTAGTAGAGACGGGGTTTCACCATGTTAGCCAGGATGGTCTCGATCTCCTGGCCTCGTGATCCACCCGCCTCGGCCTCCCAAAGTGCTGGGATTATAGGCGTGAGCCACCGCGCCCGGCCCGTACTGGTTATTTTTGAAGTATGTTGATTAGTTTCCACTTATTTGTGAGTTTTCCAAATATCTTTGTTATTAATTTCTGATTTCATTCCATTGTGGTCAGAAAACGTATTTTGAATTACTTCAGATTTTAACAATTTATTAAGACATATTTTATGGCCTAGCATATAATTTATAGTGGAGAATGTTTCATGTGTACTTCAGAAGAATGTGTATCATATTGTTGTTGGGTAGGATGTTCTATAGATGTTCGTTAGGTCTGGTTGGCATACATTCTGTTTTTTTTCTGATCTGATATCTAGTTGTTCTCTTTATTATTAAAAATGAAGGCCAGGCATGATGGCTCACACCTGCAATCCCAGCACTTTGAGAGGCCAAGGCAGGCAGATCACCTCAGGAGTTCGAGACCAGCCTGGCCAATATGGGGAAACCCTGTCTCTACTAAAAATGCAAAAACCAGCCAGTCGTGGTGGCACACACCTGTAATCCCAGCTACTCGGGAGGCTGAG
Organism: Homo sapiens; assembly: GCF_000001405.40. NCBI lineage: Eukaryota > Metazoa > Chordata > Mammalia > Primates > Hominidae > Homo > Homo sapiens. The sequence continues at coordinate 66,707,592 of NC_000007.14, forward strand.
GCAGGAAAATTGCTTGAACCTGGGAGGTGGAAGTTGCAGTGAGCCGAGACTGCACCACTGCACTCCAGACTGGGCAAAAGAGCAAGACTCCATCTCAACAACAACAAAAAGAGTATTGAAGTGGCTAAATATTATTGGTGTATTGTTTATCTTCCCTCCAATTACTGCAGTTTTTACTTCATGTACTTTGAGGCTCTGTTTTTCGGTGCATATAGGCTTACAAATGTTATATCTTCTTGAAGGATTGACCCTTTTATCATTCTATAATGTCCTTCTTTGTCTCTAGTAACATTTTTTTTGTCTTAAAGCCAATTTTTTTCTGACATTAATATAGCCACTCTAGCTCTCTTTTGGTTACTTTCTGCATGGAATATTTTTGCATCCTTTTACTTTCAACCTATTTGTGTTTTTTAATCCATTCTGCCAATCTGTGCCTTTTAGTTAGAGACTTTAACCCATTTAATTTAATGTAATTAATCATAAGGATTTACTTCTCCCAGTCTATATGCCATTTGCCTTTTTATTCCTTGGTTCTTCCATTATAGCCCTCCTTTTATGTTCTGTAGATACTCTCTAGTACACCATTTTAATTCCTTGTTGTTACTTTTACTATATATTTTTTAGTTCTTTGTGTTTGCCCTGGGATAACAATTAACATCTTTGTTTATAGCCATGTAGTTTGGGTTTTTTTTTTTTCCTAATTTTTTCTTTTGAGACAGGGTCTCACTCCAATTTGCCCAAGCTGGAGTGCAGTGGCGCAATCTTGGCTCACTGCAACCTTCGCTTCCTGGGTTCAAGTGATTCTCCTGCCCCAGCCTCCCAAGTAGCTGGGATTCTAGGCTTGCACCACCATGCCTGGCTAATTTTTGTATTTTTAGTAGAGACGGGGTTTCACCATGTTGGGTCAGGCTGGCTTCGAACTCCTGACCTCAAGTGATCCGTCCACCTCTACCTCCCAAAGTGCTAGGATTACAGGCGTGAGCCACCGCCCCTGGCCAGCCCAGGAGTTTGAGACCAGCTTGGGCAACATAGGGAGACTCCATCTCTACAAAAATAAAATAATTTTAAAAAGTATCCAGGCATGATGGCACACGCCTGTGTTCCCAGCTACTCAGGAGGCTGAGGTGGGAGGATCTCCTGGGCCCAGGAGGTTGAGGTTGCAGTGAGGTATGATTGTACCACTGTACTCTAGCCTGGGTGACAGAGCAAGACCCTGTCTCGAAAAAAAATTTACAACAACAGAAAAATAGGTTTTGTTTTGTTTTGCTCTAATACAGCCAAATTGTTATTTATCATGAAATTTGTGATGGGAGGGGGATAGGGAAAAAAAGAAATATGCAATATGCCTTCTTTCAGTCTTTTTTTTCTTTCCTGTTATGCCTCTCTACTTGATTCTGCATCAGTAGTATGACCTTATTTTAATTTTTTTTTTTTGTTTTGGTGAGACAAGAGTTTCACTCATGTCGCCCAGGCTAGAGCGCAATGGCACAATCTCGGCTCACTACAACCTCTGCCTTCTGGGTTCAAGCAATTCTCCTGCCCAAGTAGCTGGGATTACAGGCACCCACCACCATGCCCGGCTAATTTTTGTATTTTTAGTAGAAATGGAGTTTCACCATGTTGTTCAGGCTGGTCTCGAAATCCTGACCTCAGGTGATCTGCCTTCCCAGAGTGCTGGGATTATAGGTGTGAGCCATCGTGCTCTGCCTGTTTTAAATTTTAAAATGCATCTGTAATTGTTTTTTAAACTGCAAAAATGAATTAATTAAATCATAATGGAAATAAGAGTATTGTAATTTTCCTACCCATTACAGTGTACATAAGCATCACTATAACTAGTGCTATCTACATAAAATATTCAAATCAGTATACATATTACAGTATTACAGTGGTACCATAGAAAATATTCAAATTGAGGCTGGGCGCAGGGCTCACACCTGTAATCCCAGCACTTTGTGAGTCCGAGGTGGGCAGATCAGGAGTTCAGGAGTTAGAGACCAGCCTGACCAACATGGTGAAACCCTGTCTCTACTAAAAATACGAAATTAGCCAGGCATCTTGTAATCCCACCTACTCAGGAGCCTGAGGCAGGAGAATCGCTTGAACCTGGGAGGTGGAGGTTGCAGTGAACCAAGATCAAGCCACTGCACTCCAGCCTGGGTGACAAGAGCAAAACTCCATGTCAAAGAAAAGAAAAAAGAAAGAAAGCAAATATTCCAGTTAAATCAGGTCATTGATTTTGACTAGATGTCTAAGTGTCATGTACACCTAGGAGGTAATACTAGAAACAATTGGGTATACCCAACCCTCACACCACAATGCAAAAGTAACATTAATTAACACAGTCATGAAATGCAGTTCTACCAAAACAATAAAGTTGTTTAGTGGAGAAAATATTTTATTTTGCTTTCATTTTTAATTTTAAATTAAGTAAAATTTGAAAGTTCTTTTGCACTAGCCCACCTATCAAGTAGTCAGCAGCCACGTGACTGGTACCTTCTACATTGCACCACACAGTTCTAGAATTTCATATAAATGAAATCATTTACTATATACTCTTTTTGGCATCTTTCATTCAGCATAATTGTTCTAAGATTCATGCATGTTATGTGTATCAATAGTTCATTCCTTTTTATTGCTAAGTATTACCCCATTGATTGGATATACCACAATTTTTTAATCCGTTCATCTTGTTGATGGACATTTAGGTTGTTTTTTAGCGTTTAGCTTTTACCAGTAAAGATGCTATAGGCATCCAGATAATAGTGTTTGTATGGACACATGCTTTCATTTTTCTTCAGTAAATAACCCAGCAGTGGAATGCTGTCATCTGGTAGGTATATATTTAATCTTTTAAGAAACTGCTAAACTGTTTTCCAAAGTGGTTGTACCATTTTGCGCTCCCTCTAGCATTGTATGAGAGTTCCAGTCATTTTATATCTTTGTCAGCACTTATATGATCAGCCCTTTTAATTTTAGCCATTCTAAGGAGGTGTTTAGTGGTATCCTCTTATGGTTTTAAGTAGCATTCACTAATGACCAATGATATAAAGCATTTGTTCATATACCATACCTGTTTTGTCTTCTTTGGAGAAATGTCTGTTTAATTTTCCTCCTATTTTGCCTGAGCAAGTTGGGGAAATAGACTGTTGAGTTTTAATAATTCTTTATATATTAGATACAAGTCTTTTGTTGGGTATATGTTCTTTAAAGATTTTCTTTCTTGGGGCTGAGCACAGTGGTTCATACCTGTAATCGCACCATTTTGGGAGGCCAAGACAGGAGGATCACCTGTAATCCCACCATTTTGGGAGGCCAAGACAGGAGGATCACTTGAGGCCAGGAGTTTGAGACCAGCCTGGGCAACATAGCGAGACCCTGTCACTACAAAAAAAAAATAATAAAGGAAATAAAAAAACTTAGCCAGGTATGATGGCGTGTACCTGTAGTCCCAGCTACTCAGGAGGCTGAGGTGGAAGGATCACTTGAGCCCAGGAAGTTGAGGCTGCAGTGAGCTGTGATTGCACCACTGCACTCCAGCCCGGTTGACAGAGTAAGACCATCTTAAAAAAATATTTTTTTCTTTCTGTAGCTTGTCTTTTCATTTTAATAGTAATCTTTCAGAGAACAGATGTTTAACATTTTAATGAAATCCAATTAATCTTTTATTTTGCAAATTGTGGTTTTGATGTTGTATCTAAGAACTCTTTGCCTAACCTAATTATTTGCCTAACCTAATGTCACAATATTTTTTTCGATGTTTTCTTCTTAAAGTTTTAGTCTTACATTTAGATCTGAGATCTTTTTGTGCTAATTTTTTTTTTTTTTTTGCATAAGCTGTGAGGTTAGGTTGAAGTTCACTTATTTTTGCCAAACAATATCCAATATTCCAGCACCATTTGTTATAAAGATTATCCTTACTCCATTGAAATGTCTTTGCAGTTTTGTCAAAAATCTGTTGGCTGTATTTCTGTGGGTCTATTTGTATACTCTATTCTTTTCTTTTTTTTTTTGAGATGGAGTCTTGCTCTGTCACCCAGGCTGGGATGCAGTGGCACAATCTCGGCTCGCTGCAAGCTCCGCCTCCTGGGTTCAAGCCATTGTCCTGCCTCAGCCTCCCGAGTAGCTGGAACTACAGGTGCCTGACACCATGCCCGGCTAATTTTTTGTATTTTTAGTAGAGACGGAGTTTCACCATGTTAGCCAGGATGGTCTTGATCTCCTGACCTCATGATCTGCCCGCCTCGGCCTCCCAGAGTGCTGGGATTACAGGTGTGAGCCACTGCACCCGGACTGTATACTCTATTCTTTTGCATTGATGTATTCTATTTCATTCCATGGTGTTGACCTGTGTCTCATTGCCAATACTACACTGTCTTAATTACTATAGCAATTACTTAATTACTTATAGTAAGTCCTAAATTCAGGTAATGTGAGTCCTCCAACTTTATTCTTATTCAAATTTGCTTTGGCTATTCTAATTCCTTTGCATTTACATATACATTTTACAACCAGCTTGCATATGTCTACAAAAATCCTGCTCAGATTTTGATCTGTGTTTTGTTAAATCTACAGATCACTTTGGGAAGCAGTGACATCCAACCTGTATCAAGTCTTCTAATCTGTGAACATGGTATGCCTCTTCATTTATTTAGGTCTTTCTAGATTCCTTTTAAAAGCATTTTGACATTTCTAGCATAAATATTTTGCACGTTTTGCTAATTTTATACCTATGTACTTCGTTGTTTTGGTGTTTTATAAATAGCAGTTTTAAAATTTCAGTTTCTAATCTTTTGTTGCTAGCACATAAATACACAATTCTATGTTGCAACCTTTACAAACTTATTTATAGTTTTAAATATTTTTCTTTCTGCAGATATCTTTTTTTCTTTTTCTTGAGACTGGCTCTCACTTTGTTCCCCAGGCTGGAGTGCAGTGTCGTGATCACAGCCCACTGCAGCCTCGACCTCCCGGGCTGAAGGGATCCTCGCACCTCAGCCTCCTGAGTAGCTGAGACTATAGGTGTGCACCACCTCACCCAGCCAATTTTTTGTATCGTTGGTAGAGACAGGGTTTCACCATGTTACCCAGATTGGATCTTGAATTCCCAGGCTCAAGGGATCCACCCACCTTGGCCTCCCAAAGTGCTGGGATTATAGGCGTGAGCCACTGCACCCAGCCTCTTTCTGAAGATTTCTTGAGATTTTTCTTTTTCTTTTTCATTTCCTTTCCTTTTTTTTTTTGACAGGGTCTTGCTTAGTCACCCAGGCTGGAGTGCCATAGTGCAAACACAGCTCACTGCAGCCTTGACCTCCCAGGTTCAAGTCATCCTCCCACCTCAGCCTCCCAAATAGCTGGGACTACAGGTGTGCCACTACACTTGGCTAATTTTATTTTATATTTTGTAGAGATGGGGTCTTGCTTTGTTGATAGGGCTGGTCTCGAACTCCTGGGCTCAAGCGATCCTCCTGCCTCAGCTTCCCAAAGTGCTGGGATTATAGGCATGAATCACCACACCCAGCCCTTGGGATTTTCTTTTTTTCTTTTCTTTTCTTTTTTTTTTTTTTTGAGACGTAGTCTCCCTCTGTCGCCCAGGCTGGAGTGCAGTGGTGCGATCTCAGCTCACCGCAAGCTCTGCTTCCCGGGTTCATGCCATTCTTCTGCCTCAGCCTCCCGAGTAGGTGGGACTACAGGTGCCCGCCACCATGCCCAGCTAATTTTTTGTATTTTTAGTAGAGATGGGTTTCGCTGTGGTCTCAATCTCCTGACCTCGTGATCGGCCCGCCTTGGCCCTCCAAAGTGCTGGGATTACAGGCTTGAGCCACTGCGTCTAGCCCAACCTGTGGGATTTTCTATGGAGACAATCAGGAGTTTTGGGTAGGGACAATTTTGATTCTTCCTCTTCTATCTGTATGCTCTTTATTTCTTTTCTTGCCTTATTGCCCTACTTTGGTCTTCCAGTACAATGTTGAACAGGAGCGATGAGAATGAACATCCTTATCTTGTACCTTAACTTGGGTGAACACATTCAGTCTTGAAGTATGACTTTAGCTCTGGATTTTTGGAGATGTCCTTTATCAGGTTGAGGAAGTTCCCCTTTATTCCTATTTTGAAAAGAGTTTTTATTTAGCATGGATGTTGAATCTTCTCAAATGCTTTTTCTGCATATGATACATTGATACGTTGATATGATCATATTGATATATTGATTATTTTAAGAAATGGATACATTGATCAATGTGTTGGTATGTTTTTCTTCTGTTAATAACATACACTGCATTGATTGATTTCAGATATTGAACCAGCCTTGCATTGCTGATATAAAACTGCCTGGTTGTGATTTATTACTGTTTTATATATTGGTGCATTCTGTTTGCTACTTTTTTTGAGTTTTTTTGGTCTATGTTCATAGAGACTATTGGTCTGTGTAGACTTCTGTTTTTGTACTACCATAGTCTAGTTTTGATGTAAAGGTAATGTTGGCTTTATACAACAATTTTGGAAGTGTTCATTTCCCTATTTTCTGGAAACAATTGTGTAGAATTGGTGTTTTTTCTGTTTTAAATCTTTGGTAAGAATTATCTGGAGAAATTATCTAGGCCTTGAGATTTCCTCTTGAAAGGTTTTTTAACAACAAATTCAATTTCGTTAATAGTATGGGACTATTCCCATTCTCTGTTTTACCTTGTGTGAGTTTTGGTAGTTTGTGGTTTTTCAGAAATTGGTTCATTTCATCTACATTGTTAAATTTATGATATAGACTTGTTCATAATATCCCCTTATTATCCTTCTAACATTTGTAGAATTTGTAGTGATATCACGTATTTCATTCCCAATATTGATAATTTATGTCTCGTTTCCTTTCTTTTCTCTCTTTTTTTGTTATTTGGCTAGAGGTTTGGGAATTTTACACATCTTTTCAAAGAATCAGCTTTTGATTTAATTGATTTCTCTATTGTTTTCAGTTTCATTGGTTGCTGCTCTTACCTTTGTTACTTCCTTCTTTGTGCTTACCTTGGGTTGATTTTACTCTTTTTATAGTTTCTTAAAACAGAAATTTAGGGCCAGGCGCAGTGGCTCATGCCTGTAATCCCAGCACTTTGGGAGGCCCAGGCGGGCGGATCATGAGGTCAGGAGATCATGACCATCCTGGCTAACATGGTGAAACCCTGTCTCTACTAAAAATACAAAAAATTAGCCGGGCATGGTGGCTGGCTCCTGTAGTTCCAGCTACTCGAGAGGCTGAGGCAGGAGAATGGTGTGAACCCGGGAGGCGGAGCTTGTAGTGAGCCAAGATCCTGCCACTGCACTCCAGCCTGGGCGACAGAGCGAGACTCCGTCTCAAAAAAACAAAACAAAACAAAAAACAGAAATTTAGGTTATCGATTAGAAAACTTTCGTCGTCCTCCTCCTCCTCCTCTTCTTCTTCCTCCTCTTTCTTCTTCACTACTTCTTCTCCTTCTCTTTCTCTTTTTCCTTCTCTTTCTCTTTCTCCTCCTTCTCCTCTCCTCCTCCTCCAACTCCTCCTCTTCCTTTCTTCTTTCTTCTTCTCCTGAGACAGGGTCTCACTCTATCACCTAGGCTGGAGTACCATGACAGGATCCTAGCTCACTGCATCCTCAAACTCATGGGCTCAAGTGATTCTCCTGCTTTAGTCTCCCGAGTAGCTGGGACTACAGGTATGTGCCACCATACCAGGCTAATTTTTAAAAAAATTTTTGTAGATACCGTGTCTCATTATGTTACCTAGGCTAATCTTGAACTCCTAGCCTCAAGCAATCCTTTCACCTTGGCCTCCCAACATGTTGGGATTATAGGTGTGGGCCTCTGTGCCCGCCTCTTCTTTTCTAATATAATCATTTCATTACATAAATTCCCCTTTAATTTGGCGGCATCGTGTAAGTTTTGACATGTTCTATTTTCATTTTCATTCAAATTAAAATATTTTCTACTTCCCTGGAGACTTCCTGTTTCACCCAGGATTATGTAGAAGTATGTAGTTAATTTCTAGGCATTTGAATATTTTTTAGTGTTCTATTATTGACTTCTAGTTAAATTGTATGATCAGAAAGCATCGTTTATATAATTTTAAATTACAAACAGTTGTTAGGGGTTTATTTTGTGACCAAGGACATAATCTTAGTGAATGTTCTATATGCTTTTTTTTTTAGAGATGGGTCTCGGCTGTGTTACCTAAGCTGGAGTGCAGTGGCTATTCCCAGCACAATCATAGTGCACTACAGTCTCCAACTCCTGGGTTCAGGTGCTCCTTGTGCCTCCGCCTCCTGAATAGCTGGGATTGCAGGCATGTGCCATCATGCCTGGCTATGTGCCTTCAAAAAGACTACAGTTGTGGATGGAGTGTTTTATCAATATTAGTTGGTTTATGATTGTGTTTAGTTCCATATCCTAGCTGATTTTCTATCTGTTCTGTCCATTCTTGAAGAGTCCAACTATAATTTTGAGTTTGTCTATTTCTCCTCAAGTTCTGTCAGTTTTGCTGTATATATTTGAGGTCTGTTTTTAGATGTGTACACATTTTAAATGGTGTTGGGTCTTTACCATTATGTAATGTCCCTCTTAATCTATTGTAAATTTCCTTGCTTTGAGGTATAGTTTGTCTTATGTAAATATAATCAGTTCAGTTTTCCTTTGACCAGCATTTACGTAACATATCTTTTTCCATTTTTAAACTTATAATCTACCTATATTAAAATATATAGTCAGGCCAGGTGCAGCGGCTCATGCGTGTAATCCCAGCACTTTGGGAGGCCGAGGCAAGCAGATCACTTGAGGCCAGGAGTTTGAGACCAGCCTGGGCAACGTGACGAAAACCTGTCTCTACCAAAAATGCAAAAAATTAGCTAGGTGTGGCGGCATGTGCCTGTAGTCCTAGCTACTCAGGAGGCTGAGGCATGAGGATCGCTTGAACCTGGGAGGCAGAGGTTGCAGTGAGCCAAGATGGCACCACTGCACTCCAGGCTGAGTGAAAGAGCAAGACTCTGTCTCAGAATAAATAAATAAATAAATAAAACAGCAGCAACAAAATGTATAGTCATGTCTTTTTTTAAAAAAAACTCTTCTGTCATTGTCTTTTAGTTGGTGTGAATAGACCATTTACATTCATTGTTATTGTTGATGTACTTGGATTTAGGTCTATCATTTTGTTATTTTCTGTTTGCTCTCTTTTGTTTGTTTGAGACAGGAGACAAGGTCTTGCTCTGTTGCCCGGGCTGGAGTGCAGTGGTGCAATCTCGGTTCACCACAAGCTCTGTCTCCCAGGCTCAAGTGATCCTTGTGCCTCAGCCTCCTGAGTAGCTGGCACTACAGGCGACCACTGCCATACCCCACTAAGTTTTGTATTTTTAGTAGAGACGGGGTTTCGCCATGTTGGCCAGGCTAGTCTCAAACTCCTGGCCTCAGGTGATCCGCCCGCCTCAGCCTCCCAAAGTGCTGGGATTACAGGCGTGAGCCACTGCATGTGGCTGCTCTCTGTTTTTTATGCCTCACTGTTTCCTTTCCTGCCTTCTTTTGGGTTATTTGACTATTGCTTAGTATTCAATTTTAATTTATCAATTGATTATTTTATTATATCTCTTTGTGTAGTGTTCTTTAGTGGTGGCTCTAAGAATTACAGTATGTACACCAAACTTTTTACTTTCTGCTTAGAATTAATATTTTACCACTTGTAAAATGTAGGAACCTGGCTATCATGTAGGTTCCTTTCCCCTGTCCTTACTATGTTGTAGTTATCATATGTATTGCATCTATAAACATTGAAATTCCATTAGAATCTGAAACTGTTCTAAAAAATAAAGCTTATTTTTAAAATACTTATTAGACAATATTACATCTTTTGCTTTCAATAATCATATGTATTTTAGGCCAGGGCGTGGTGGCTCACACCTGTAATCCCAGCACTTTGGGAGGCCGAGGCAGTGGATCACCTGAGGACAGGAGTTCAAGACCAGCCTGGCCAGTATGGTGAAACCCCGTCTCTAGTGTCACCCAGGCTGGAGTGCAGTAGTACAATCACAGCTCACTACAGCCTTGACCTCCCCAGGCTCAGGAGATCTTCCCATCTCAGCCTCCCAAGTAGCTGAGACTAAAGGTGCACACCACCATGCCCATCTAATTTTTTTGTATTTTTCAGAGATAGGGTTTTGCTCTGTTGGCCAGGCTGGTCTCAAATTCCTGGGCTTAAGTGATCCACTCGCCTTGGCCTCCCAAAGTGCTGGGATTACAGGCTTGAGCCACCAGATAACATTTTAAAACCTGTTTTCAAGTCTACTAGCTCTTTCTTCGGTCATGCACATTCTGTTACTGAACTCATTGAGTTAATTTTAAAACTCAGTAATTGTATATTATCAGTTCTAAAATATCTATTTGGTTCTTTTTTGTATCTTCTATTTTCCTGCTGAGGGTTTCTATCATTCCATTCATTTAAAAAATATTCTCCCTTAGAAAACTAGTTAAATAGGTAGGCCAGGCATGGTGGCCCAGCACTTTGGGAGGCTGAAGCGGGCAGATCACCTGAGGCCAGGAGTTCGAGACCAGCCTGGCCAACATGGTGAAACCCTGTCTCTCTACAAAAAATACAAAAAAATATTAGGCGTGGTGGTGCACATCTGTAATCCCAGCTACTCAGGAGGCTGAGGTGGGAGGATTGCTTGAACCTGGGAGGCAGAGGTTGCAGTGAGCTGAGAACATGCCACTGCACACTCCAGCCTGGGTGACAGAGCAAGACTCTGTCTAAAAATGAAGAAGAAAAATAGTTAAATAGCTGCTTTAAAATCCTGGTTTGGTAATTCCAACATCTGTGCCATCTTGGGGTTGGCATCTGTTAATTATCTTTTTCCATGTAAGATGTTTAGATTTCCCTAGTTCTTTATATATTGGATAATTTTGAATTGTGTTTTGGATGTCTCAAACATAGTGTTACGTGGTTAAATTCTATGGAGAAGTTTAATTTATAAAAAAAAAATAGGCAATGGATTTGGTTAGGTTCAAGCTGCAACTTCCTACCTGCACTCCGTGAGCTGTGGTTACAATGTCAGTTTAGTTCCCAAATACTTCGCAGTATTCAGATATGTCCTGAGTATGTACCACGCAGTGGCCAGCCTGGAACCTGGGGAGTGGTCCATCCTGTAATTTCTTTCTCAAAGCCTGTGCTGTTTAGGATCAAATGCACACACATGCAGCTCAGGGGTGAGCTGAAGAGTTTATATAAATTGTTAATCAAATTGTCATCTCAAGCTCCCTCTTCTCATCAATTTCACTGACACTTTTCAGCTCCCAAGGGCCCCTCCCTAGTCCTTTAACTCTAAAGCCAGGGCTTCAGTTTCTCTGCTCTGCCACATACTTCTTACGACTGCATCTTTCTTCAGTGCCAAGTGGCAAGAGCATAGAGAGAAAGACAGCAACAGGAATCCCTCCAGCACTCTTGGGGCCACAGACTCTTGAGAGAAGTGTTCCCTCGCAGAGCATTTGGTGGTTACCCAACTGCTTTTGCTTGTCTCACCATGTCATGTGATTGCCTAGAAGCTGGGACAGTAGGGAACGGCAATTAACACCAAAAACCAACCAACCAACAAAAACAACATCACAAAAAACAAACTGGGGCTGTCTCCATTCTTCCTGACCTGTAGGGGCCTCCTTTCGCAGTCTGAACCACAAATGGAGAGCTTCTCTTAGAGCTCCTTCTGTCTGTACCTGGTTTACCATCTTAGCCTCCTGAGTAGTTGGGAACCATAGGTGCACGCCACCAAGCCCAGCTAATTTTTATATATATTTTGTAGAGATGGGGTCTTGCTATGTTGCCTAGGCTAGTTTCAAACTCCTGGCCTCAAGCACCTCGGCCCCCCGCAGTGTGCTGGGATTACAGGCATGAGCCACCATGCCTGGCCAAAATTTTTTTTATGTAAATCTTTCTGATAAAAATTTCAGATCCAGATGGCTTGACTGGTAAATCCTTTCAAATAATTAAGGAGGGAGTAATATGAATCCCACAAAAACTTTTAGAAAACATAGAAGACAATACTTCCCAAGTAATTTTATGAGGCCAGTGTTAACTCTGATACCAAAACCAAACACCTAACAAATAGACCAGGAGTCAGCAAACCATGGCTTGTGGGGCCAAACCAGACTATGATTTGTTTCTGTAGATAAAGTTTTATTGAAACATAGCCACATTTATTAAATTACATACTGTCTTTTCCTGTTTTCCTGTTACAGTAGTAGGGTTGAGTAGTTATAGCAGAAGTTATATGGCCTGCAAAGCCTCACATATTTACTGACTTTACAGAACAAGGTTTGCTGGTCCCTGATGTGGACCAGCAGTCTTCATGGAAAAAGATGCAAAAATGCTTTAGAAAGATTAGCAAATCAAACCCAATAAATAAAAGAGATAAAATATCAAGATCAAGTGAAATGCGTCCCAGAAATACAATGTTGCTTTAACAACAAAAACAAAAATAAGTCAATGTAATGCAATATATTAACAGAAGAAAGGTTTAAAATGGCAGGATCATCTCAATACTTGCAGAAAAGAAGCATTTGACAACATTCAACATCCATTCATTATTATTATTATTATTATTATTATTTTTTTTTTTTTTTCTTTGAGAGGGTGAGTCTTGTTCCATTGCCCGGGTTGGAGTGCAGTGGCGCGATCTCGGCTCACTGTAACCTCTGCCTCCCAGGCTCAAGAAATTCTCGTGCCTCAGCCACCCCAGTAGCTAGGACTACAGGCATGCACCACCACGCCCAACTAATTTTTGTATTTTTAGTAGAGACGGGGTTTCGCCATGTTGGCCAGGCTGGTCTCGAACTCCTAGCCTCAAGCGATCCACTCACCTCAGCCTCCTAAAGTGCTAGGATTACAGGCACGAGCTACTGTGCCCACCCCACTGATAATTAAAAAAAAAAAAAATCAGCAAACTAAATATAAAAGGGAACTATCTCAACCAGAAAAAATACAGCTACAAAAACTTAAAGCTAATATTTTAATGGATAAAGTATGAATTGTTTCTCCCTAAGATTAGAAACAAGGCAAGCATGTCCACTCTTGCTGCTTGCATTTAGCATAGTACTAGAGGTTCAAGCTTGTGCAATAATAAAAGAAGAAAAAGTAAAAGACATACCAACTGGAAAGGAGGAAGTAACACTGTTCTTATTGCAGACAACATGATCATCTGTATAGAAAGTCCCAGGAGATATGAAATAAGCTACTAGAACTAATAAGTTAGCAGAACCAAGTGTCAATTGAATTTCCATATGCTAGCTCAAACAATGGGAACTGAAATTTTAAAAACAAAGCCATTATTATTATTATTGTTGTTATTTGAGACAGAGTCTTACTCTGTCGCCCAAGCTTGAGTGCAGTGGCACAATCTTAGCTCACTGCAACCTCCACTTCCCAGGTTCAAGTGATTCTCCTGCCTGAAACCTCCAGAGTAGCTAGGATCACAGGCGCACGTCACCACGCCCGGCTAATTTTTGTATATTTAGTAGGGATGGGGTTTCACCAGGTTGGCCAGGCTGCTCTCGAACTCCCGAGCTCAAGTGATCTGCCGGCCTCGGCCTCCCAAAGTGCTGGGATTACAGGCATGAGCCACTGTGCCCGGCCAAAAGAAAGCCATTAATAATAGTGTTTAAAAATCAAAATACCTAGGAATAAATTTAATAAGAGACATGTATATTAGTGTCTTACTGCTACTCTAACATATGCCATATAGTGACTTAATACAAATTTATTGCCATACAGTCCTGGAAGTCAGAAGTCCAAAGTCAGTCTGTCTGAAATCAAGATGTCACAGATTCGCCTTCTGGAGGCTCTTGGGGGAGATGCTTGCCTTTTTTCACTTCTAGGTGCTGCCTGAGTTCCTTGGCTCATGGCCTCTTCCTCCATCATTAAATGCAACAGTGCAGCATCATCAAATTCCACCCCCTTTGCTCTGGCACTTATCTCTGCTTCCATTATCACATCTCTTTTTCTGACTCTGACCCTCCTGCCTCCCCCCTTATGAGAAACTTTGCAGTGGGACCTATCCAGATAATCCAGGATAATTTCTCCACCTCAAGATCCTTAATTTAGGCTGGGTCCAGTGGCTCACGACTCTAATCCCAGCACTTTGGGAGGCCAAGGCGGGCAGATCTCTTGAGCTTGGCAGTTTGAGACCAGCTTGGCCAACGTGGTAGAACCCCGTCTCTACTCAAAACACAAATTTAGGTGGTTTGTCTTTTTACTTCCTTGGTGCTTTGAAACAGAAAGTTTTTGGCCAAGTGGGGTGGCTTATGCCTGTAATCCCAGTGCTTTGGTAGGCTGAGGTGGGAGGATCACTTTGAGGTCAGTAGTTCAAGACCAGCCTGGACAATATAGTGAGACCCCCCCTCCGTCTTTTCAAAAAATCAAAAAAATTAGCTGGGCATGGTAGCACATGCCAATATACCTGATGATGTCCCAGCTAGGCAGGAAGATCACTTGAGCCCAGGAGTTCAAGGTTTCAGGGAGCCATGATTGTTTCACTGCACTTCATCCTGGGCAACAGAATAGGACCCTGTCTCAGGGGCTGGGTACGGTGGCTCACGCCTGTAATCCCAGCACTCTGGGGGGCTGTGGTGGGTGGGTCATGAGGTCAAGAGTTCGAGACCAGCCTGGCCAACATGGTGAAACCCCACCTTTACTAAAAATACAAAAATTAGCCAGGCGTGGTGGTGCGCGCCTGTAATCCCAGCTACTCAGGAGGCTGAGGCAGGAGAATCACTTGAACCTAGTAGACGGAGGTTGCAGTGAGCTGAGATTGTGCCATTGCACGCCAGCCTGGATGACAGAGCAAAACTCCGTGTCAAAAACAAAAAGACAAAAAAACCCTGTCCTTACAAAGAAAGAACAAAGGAAAAAAGAAATACAAAGTTTTAAATTTTGATGAACTCCAATTTATGAAGTTTTTCTTTTATTACTTGTGCTTTAGGTGTTGTATCTAAGAAAACCATTGCCTAATTCAAGGTCACAAAGATTTATGCTTACCTTTTCTTCTAAGAGTTTTGTCGCCTTAGCTTTTATATTTGGGTCTATAAAACATCACTACTATGATGTTTTCATTATTACAGGTTTGTAGTAAGTTTTAAAGTCAAGGAGTGTGAGTCTTCCAATTTTTTTCTTTTTCAAGATTGTTTTGTAATTCTGCATTTCCGTATGAATTTTAGAATCAGCGTGTCACTTTCTACAACAGGCAGCTGAGATTTTGATAAGGATTACACTGAATCTGTACATCATTTTAGGGATTATTGGCATTTTAACAATATTAAGTCTTCCAGTCCATAAACACAGCATGTCTTTCCATTTATTTAGGTCTTCTTTAATTACTGTTTCTTTTCTTTTTTTCTTTTTTTTTGAGATGGAGTTTCACTCTGTCACCCAGGCTGGCGTGCAATGGCGTGATCTTGGCTCACTGCAACCTCCACCTCCTGAGTTCAAGCGATTCTCCTACCTCAGCCTCCCTGGTAGCTGGGATTAGAGGCAAGCGCTGCCACGCCCGGCTAGTTTTTGTATTTTTAGTAGAGACGGGGTTTCACCATGTTGGCCAGTCTGGTCTCCAATTCTTGACCTCATGTTATCTGCCTGCCTCAGCCTCCCAAAGTGCTGGGATTACAGGCATGAGCCACCACACTGGGTCTCCTACCTTCCTTTAGATTGAAGTTTCTTGTTTGTTTTGGTTTTTGTTTGCCATTTTGTCACCTTTGACCCATTAGCTATTTGTGTGTGCGATTATCCTGGAGTTTATAATGTGAATCTTTAACTTTTCACAATCTACCCTTACGTTGCGTTTAACACTTCATGAATAATATAAGAACTTTACAACACCATACTTTCATTTCAATCTTCCATTTTTTATGCTATTGTAGTCATGCATTTTACACCTATGAAGTTATAAACCCCACAATACACTGCTATTTTTTCTTTAAACAATTACTGTTTTTTTTGTTTTTGTTTTTGTTTTTTTTTGAGACGGAGTCTCACTCTTGTTGCCCAGGCTTGAGTGTAGTGGTGTGATCTTGGCTCACCACAACCTCTGCCTCCTGGGTTCAAGTGATTCTCCTGCCTCAGCCTCCTGAGTAGCTGGGATTACAGGGCTGTGACACCACGCCTGGCCACTTTTGTATTTTTAGTAGTGACGGGGTTTCACCATGTTGGTCAGGCTGGTCTCGAACTCCTGACCTCAGGTGATCTGCCCACCTTAGCCTCCCAAAGTGCTGGGATTACAGGTGTGAGCCACCATGCCTGGCCAATTATCTTTTAAAGAAATGAAAATAAGAGAAAATATCTGTTACATTAATCCACATATTTGCCATTTTTAGTGCTTTTCATTGTCTTGTATTTCATGTTTATGTTTATCTTTTTCCTTTAGCCTGAAATTTTAATTTTATAAATTTTTGTGTTGCAGTTTCTGTTGGGCAATAAATTTTCTCACCATTTGTTTCTTAAGAAATTTTTTTTTTGTCTTCGTTTGAGAGAGGCTATTTTAATTGAATAAAGAATTATAGGTTAACAGCTTTTTCCCCCCAGCACTCTAAAGATGTCATGTTATTGTCCTCTAGCTTTCATTGTTTCTGATAATAAGTCAGCAGTAATTCTTATCTTTGTTCCTTCTACATAATGTGTTATTTCCTTCTCTGGCTGCTTTTAAGATTTTTCTCTTTATTTTTGGTATTCAGCAACTTGATTGTGATATGTTTTGGTGTGGTTTTCTTTGAATCAGTATTTATTTATTTTATTTTTTTTTTTTGAGACGGAGTCTCGCTCTGTCACCAGGTTGGAGTGCAGTGGCGCGATCTCGGCTCACTGCACCCACCGCTTCCCAGGTTCAAGCAATTCTCCTGCCTCAGCCTCCCGAGTAGCTGAGATTACAGGCGCATGCCACTGCGCCCAGCTAATTTTTGTATTTTTAGTAGAGACAGGGTTTCACCATGTTGGTCAGGCTGGTCTTGATCTCGTGACCTTGTGATCCACCCACCTCGGCCTCCCAAAGTGCTGGGATTATAGGCGTGAGCCACTGCACCTGGCCTGAATCAATATTTATTCTTCTTGGAGCTCTTTGAGTTTCTTGGATCTTTGGGTTCATGGTTTTCATCAAATTTATAGTTTGAAAAAAATTCAGCAATTATTTCTTCTGCCTCTGGTACTCCAATTATATGTGTGTTGGATGGATTAATATTGTCCTATAGGTCACCAAGGCTCTGTTAAAATTTTTTTTGGCTTGCTTTTTTCCCTTGGTGCTTTAGTTTAGATAGATTCAGGTTCATTGATCTTGTCTTTGTAGTGCCAAATCTGCTGTTAAGCTCATCCCATATGTTTTTTATCTTAGACATTATGTTTTCAGCTCTAGAAGTTCCATTGGTTCTCTTTTAAATCTTCTATTTCTCTCCTTATTATATTTGTTTTCCCTTTAAAATCTTGAACATATTTCTATAGCCGATTTAAAATCTTGGAAACTAATTTGATCATCTTTGTCACTTCTGGGTCTGTTTCGATTATTATTTTTTTAATTACAGGTCATATTTTCCCACTTCCTTACATGTCTGTACATCCTTTTACAGCTTTATCAAGATACACTTTACTTTACCATACAATTCACTAATTTAACATGTACACTTTAATGACCTTTAGTATATTCAGAGAATTGTACATCCATCATCATAATCAATTTTACAATATTTTCCTTATCCCTAAAAGAAGCTTCACTCCCCTTAGCCCTTGTCCCACAGTCCCTCCATTCTGCCCCACCCTCAGCCCTAGGCCACCACCCATCTACTTTTTGTCTTTATAGATTTGTCTATTCATATAACTGGAATAATGCAATCTGTGATTCTTTGTGACTTAGCATCATGTGTTCAGAGTCCATCCATGTTGTGGCATGTATCAGTTCTTGTTTCTTTTTATTGCCAATAACATTACATAGTATGGCTATAGTGAGTTTTGATGAGTTCGTGAATATTGTGATGTTATGCTGTTTTTGTTCCATCCATGGCAATTTTATGAGGCAGATATGACTCCCCCAACTTTATGGATGAGGAAAGTGCAGCTCGGATAGAAGGCCACACTGTGGGTGGAACTCCTAGGAAGCTGGTATGACAGAGAGGACATGGCCTTACCCTAAGGGGAGAAACATAGGCATGCTTTGCAAAAGGTCTGAGGGAAGACACAAGGAGCTCCCCCGAAAAGTAAGTCTGATGAGGGAGTTACACCCATGCTTTGGAAAGTCTAATCTGAGGGGGACGTGGACCCTTCCATGTGAAGACCCAATCAGAGGGGGAAGCTGTGACCCTTTCTTGGGCACTGTGACCTGAGGAGAGATGTGATCCCACTTAGAAAACCCCCATTCATCAGGCCTCCCTTGATCAGTGGAGGTCAGCAGCCATGGGCCTGGGTCCTAAGGCACCTTCAGCTCTCGGGAGGACCTGCCAGCACAGGGCACAAGGCCACATCTGTCTGCAGGAAGCTGCTACTCAGACAGGGCCAGAAGGGATGCCAGGCACAGAGCCAGAATCCCAAAGCACCCAGCCTGGGCTTTGCCCACAGCTGGGACCCAGAGCCATCAAATGACTATGAGAGTGCCTAGTCAGTGGGTGCTTATTCATATCTGCTGGGTGGTAGTGCCTCCAGTTCTGCAGTCCTCTCTTCCTGTAGCTGGGGCCTCTTGTTCTCTCACCTGTGGGTTCAGCTTCACTCCAGGCTCAAAGACCAGGAGGCCTCCCAGAGATTAGGAGGGATTTAAGCATTTTTTTTAAGAGGGACAGGGTCTTGCTCTGTTGTGCAGGCTGGAGTGCAGTGGTGCCATCATAGTTCACTGCAGCTTCCAACTCCTGGGTTCAAGCGATCCTCCCACCTCAGCCTCCAAGTAGCTGAGACTACAGGTATGCACCACCACTCCTGGCTAGTTTTTAAATTTATTAAAGAGATGGGGTCTTGCTATGTTGCCCAGGCTGGTCTGAAACTCCTGTTGGGCTCAAGTAATCCCCCGACCTCAGCCTCCCAAAGTGCTGGGATTACAGGCATGAGCCACTGCACCCAGCCCAAAAAGCAGAGGTTTTGTTTTCAGGATAATGAAATGGTCTAAAATGGACTGCGAGGTCAGGTGCGGTGGCTCACGCCTGTAATCCCAACCCTTTGGGAGGCTGAGGTGGGCTGATCACTTAAGGTCAGGAGTTCAAGACCAGCCTGGCCAATATGGTGAAACCCTGTCTTTACTAAAAATACAAAAATTAGCTGGGTGTGGTGGCATGTGCCTGTAGTCCCAGCTACTTGGGAGACTGAGGCAGGAGAATCGCCTGAACCCAGGAAGCGGAGATTGCAGTGAGCCGAGATTGCGCCATTGCACTCCAGCCTGGGTGTCGCAGCAAGACTCCATCTCAAAAAATAATAAAATAAAATATAATATGGACTGTGGAAATGATTGCACAACTCTGTGAATATACTAAAAACCACTGAATGGTACACTTTAAATGGGTGAATTGTATGGTGTGTGAATTTTATTACAATAAAGCTATTCTTTTAATAAAAGCAATACATTCAAAATTGTGTAAGGATATGGGGTTGGCTGTAGAATCGGGATCTTTGCTGACTAATGGAAGGTGGGGTGGACCTCAAAAATCCAGTTACTCAACTACCTGATTTGCCAGTGGAGCTGGCCCTGGTTCTTGTCCGTGGGACAGGGTGAGTCAGGGGATTGAATTGGGGGTTCTCTGGACTCAGGGCCTAGGGCTTCCTCCAATACCTTCCACGGCCTCCCTGGCCACCCCATCCCATGGCATTGCCTTCCCTTTGAAAGTTTGTCCCATGGGTGACAAATTGGATTCATGACCTTTCAGCATTCTGCTCCTACCCTGCCCTGCCTGGTCAGTTGGTCTGGACCCCCAGGGATCTTCCTCCTGCCAAGCCAGTGACCTGGGTGGACCCAGCTTGGGTGGAGAGATGAGATGTTTGGTTCTCTGAGCAGGAAGGGTCAGGAAATTGAGTCTGACACCTGGCAAGGCCCACAGCCTGTGCAGTGAGTCGGGAAGGCCGGCCCATGCTCCCAGCCAGGCTTCTCCAGGCCAGCCCCTCGCAGGGGTCCTGGCGGTGGCCAGAAGTGGGCACACCTGGGGAACCGTGAGTGGCAGGCTGCCCGTGGATAATGGAAAAGTCCAGGCATCGATTATGGAGGGCCTGACAGGTCTGTGTTCATGTTAACAATAGGAGAGGCATTTGTGAGCCAGAGGTGGTGGGATTCCCAGCGGCTGCCTTGGAACACACGCGTGGCTGCCTCTGGAGCCTTTTGCCACCATGCTGCCAACAAGACCCCCAAACACCCTTGCCTCAGGCGTCTCCACCAACCTCATCCTCCCCTCTCCTGACAGCTCTCCACAGGCCAAACCACTAGACCCAATGTCCCCCTTCCACCTTTCCAGTGTAATTCTTTGCAGACCCTCTGCCTGGCCCTGCCTCCGCTCCTCATCACCCCCAGCAGCTCAGGGCTCCTTTGTGTCTGCTCAGGAAGGCCCTTACAATCCTTCCTGGCTGTGGCCAGGGCCTTGCTTTGTTTCTGAATTGGGAGGGCCTATCCCTAAGCACTGGCTTGGAAACTCCTATCCCATCTGCTGCCTGGGTTCTGCCTGGTTCTTCACTCACATTAGCTAAGCTTGGGGGGGCCACTGGGTCCCCTTCCTGTCTATTGTCTTGTGGAGAGCCAGATGCTCTTCAGGGACCCTGACTGGTTGGGGGAGGCTGCTGGGACTGAAATGAAGGTATCCCCCCTATGGCTGGGTCAGCTTCGAGGTTCATGGAGGGACCTGGGTCAAGAACTATTCTCAGGAAGTTGCCTCTGCTTGTTCCTGTTCCCACCATAACCATGACCTTCGATTTCATGACCCACAATGGCATTCCCATTTCACCATTGCCATCACCAGTGTCTTCACCATTTTTACCATTTCTTCCACCATCACCTCCATCCTTATCTCCACCTCCACCTCTATCCCCAACTTCATTTTCACCTCCATCCTCATCATCCTCGCCTCGACTTTCAGCTCTGTCCTCACCTCCACCTTCACCTCCATCCTCATCATCCTCACCTCAACTTTCAGCTCTGTCCTCACCTCCACCTTCACCTCCATCCTCACCTCGACCCTCACCGCCATCCTCACCTCCACCCTCACCTTCACCTCCATCCTCACCTCCACCTTCACCTCCATCCTCAAGACCACCTTCACCTACACCTACACGTCTATCCTCACCTCCACCTTCAACTCCACTCTCATCTCCAAACTCACCTCCACGCTCACCTGCATCTTCACCTCCATCCAAATCTCCATCTTCACCTCCACTTTTTTTTTTTTTTTTTGAGGCAGAGTCTTGCTCTGTCACCCAGGCTGGAGTGCAGTGGCGCGATCTCGACTCACTGCAACCTCTGCCTCCTGGGTTCAACCGATTCTCCTGCCTCAGCCTCCCGAGTAGCTGGGACTACAGGTGCGTGCGACCATGCCTGGCTAATTTTTTGTATTTTTAGTAGATATGGGGTTTCACTGTGTTAGCCAGGATTGTCTCGATCTCCTGACCTCAGGATCCACCCACCTCGGCCTCCCAAAGTGCTGGGATTACAGGTGTGAGCCACCGCACCCAGCCCTGACCTCCACCATTACCACCATCCTCGCCTTCATCCTCCCCTCCATCCTCCCCTCCATTCTTCGTTCCTCATCTCCATCCTCCCCTCTGTTCTCCCTTCCTCACTTCAATCTTCCCTTCCATTCTCACTCTCTTCTCACTCACTGTCCCTCTTTCACCTCCATCCTCATCTCTGTCCTCCCGTCTATTCTCCTCTCCAACCTCACTTCTGTCCTCCCCTTCCTCCTGCTCTCCATCCTCACCTCCATCCTCACCTTCAACCTCACCTTTATCCTCACCTTCAACCTCACCTTTATCCTCACCTTCATCCTTACTTCTGCCTTCACTTCCATCCTTACTTCCACCTTTACCTTCACCTTCACACCTGTCCTTACCTCCATTCTCACTTCCACTGTCTTCACTAACTCCACCATCATCACTGCCACCATCACCCATCCAGTCTCCAGGTGGGTCTCCTGCCATCACTAAATACTTCTTAATAACCAGGCATGGGTCTGGACGGAGAGGTGACCCTAGATGATGGATGGATGTGGCCAGGTTGCAGGTCCTGGCTGCCTTGTGGAGCACGTCTGCCTGTGAGCTGGGACTCTTTCCTTGCATGGCAATGACAGCAAATGGCAGAGGTCTGTGCTGACTGGCTTGGCACCTGCAGCCAATGCCTGCGGATCTGTGGGTGGCTCATCATCAGGGCCACCTGGCTCATGGAGGCCCAGGAGCCTTGTCCCCCTTACTTCAGATCTCAAAGAAATCAGGAAATTCCAGTAGGAGGGAAGAGCTGAAAGCAAAATCAGTGTTTCAGCTGTGCCATAGACTCAGGGTGGCCTCCAAAAGTCACTGCCTCCTCTTCAGGCCTCCCTTTCTCATCTCTAAGATGAAAAGAGCAGCACTTCCTCACGTCCACGGAGAGTGCAACAGGGTGCAAGGCATGTCCACAGGCTCCTGTCCCCTGAGGGAGGACTTCCCAGCAGGGCTTCCATCTCAGACCACCTGGGAGCATTTCCAGCCTCCACCTCTCAGCAGCCCTGAGACCCTGAGGAAGTCACTCACTGTTTCTGCTGAGCGCCAGCTTCCTCATCTATCGACAGGGGATAAACAATAGGCTCCACCACTTAATCTACCACATAAAGGCATCTTAAACGGTAGGTTATTATTATTATTTTTAGATAGAGTCTTGCTCTGTTGCCCAGGCTAGAGTGCAGTGTTGCAATCATAGCTCACTGCAGCGTCAACCTCCTGGGCTTAAGTTAAGGGGTAGAGTCTATGCAGATTACCTGAGCTCATTCACATATAGCACTTGGTTTCTTTTTCTTTTTTTTTTTTTTTTTTGGTGGCAGGGTCTCACTGTGTCACCCAGGCTGGAGTGCCATGGTACAGTCTCGGCTCACTGCAATGTCCGCCTCCCAGTTCAAGCAATTCTCCTGCCTCAGCCTCCCAAGTAACTGGGATTACAGGCATCCGCCACCACACCTGGCTGATTTTTGTATTTTTGGTAGAGATGGGATTTCACCATGTTGGCCAGGCTGGCCTCGAACTCCTGACCTCAAGTGATCCTCCTGCTTAGCCTCCCAAAGTGCTGGGATTACAGGTGTGAGCCACCGTGCCAGGCCCAGCACTTGGTTTCAATTCTCACTTGTGAGCAGGTAGGCAGGGGTGGTATAGCCCCACTTTTCAGAGGGAGGCACAGAACTGGCAGGGGTGGGGTGGATTCGGGGAGAATTGCCTGAGGTCATCTAGTCTGAAATGACAGCGCAGGGATTCGGGGCCAGGCTGCGGGCCTCCTGGTTCCTTTTTTAACCTCCTGCTGCTTTGGGACTGTGTACCACATTTCAAGGGGGCACACAGGGACACTGAGGCCCAGCCCCTGCCCTGGAGCCATGGCTGGGCCAGGTAAGGGGAAGGTTAGGCTCATGGCAGCAGAGTGGGGCTGGGAGGGAGAGAGTAACTCCAGGCCTGGCAACAGGACTTGGCAGAATGTCCTTGAGGAGTTCAAGGGCAAGAATGTTGGGAAGGGCTGGGCTGAGGTGGGTGTCAGGGAACCAGGAGGCCTTGGAAAACCAGAGAAGAGGAAGAAGGGGGTCACAGGAGAGGGTATCTGATCAGGCAAGTGTTGGAGACCTGAGAAGGCACCGTGTGGGGTTGAGGCTCTAAGAGCATGAACGCCTGGCTGGTAAATAAGGATCTTGGAGGCTGTGCATGATGGCTCACACCTGTAATCTCAGCAGTTTGGGAGGCCACCGCAGGTGGATCACTTAAGCACTAGGAGTTGAGACCAGCCTGGGCAACATGGTGAAACCCTGTCTCTCCAGAAAAAAAAAAAATTAGCTGGGTATGGTGGCACATGCCTGTAGTTCCTACTACTCAGGAGGCTGAAGTGAGAAGATGGCTTGAGCCCAGGAGTTCGAGACTGCAGTGAGCTATGATTGTGCCACTGCACTCCAGCCTGGGTGACAGAGAGCGAGACCTTGTCTAACATCAGGATTCTTGGCATCAGGTCTGCCAGGAGAGCCACCCTCCTGTGCCACAGTCATGCCTGCCTCACCTTCATCTAGAGCTGCCCCAGACACTTTATGTCATAGTGGAGAAACTGAGGCTCAGGTTTGGCAACTGCCCAAGGTGCACAGTGAAAGCAGAGCTGGGAGGATTCAAGGTTCATCCGACGCCCCTGAGATGTGCACAGAAGCCCCCTGTCTCCATCCACTCCCCCCAGGGCCCATGGGGGAAGGCTGGACGATGATCTGGGGAGGAGATGGAAAACAAGATGAGCAGCTGCTCAGCCAGTCAGCCGCCTGCGGGCCAGGGCTGCCAGCCACCCCCAGCCCAGCCTGCTTCTGCCAGGGCCTGGTGCCTGCTGTACCAAGGGTAGCTAGAACGCCCGGCTCACCAGGCCACCGCCCTCTCTTCCTATGGTCCAGGCACAACTCCCACACCAGTGGGCCTCGGTGCCTGGAGCACCGTCCATAAGCGAGCCCTGGGTCCATGCCAGCTGCAGCTAGCCATGGGGCTGAGCAGGCAGCTGGCGTCTGGACACGGAGCCTCATTGAGCAGGGGGTGCGAGGCCTCTGGGGCTGCCTCTGGGGCCAGGGTTGGGCTCAGGCCTGGCATCTGGGCTTGGCTCCCCTGCTGCCCACCACCCACCAAGAGGTGAGGAGAAGCAGATGAGACCTAAGGTAGGAGATGGGAGCTGGCAGTAAGTGGGTGTTTTAGGGGAGACTTTCCAGGTGAGAGGAGGCAAGTGGAGGTCCATATACCCAAGTATCTCCCACTGGGTGTCCCCAGTCACTCACCCTCTGCAAGCCTCCCCCGATCCTCTGGGTGTCTCATCTCAGCAGGTGAAACCGACAGTCTCCCCAGAGTCCAGGCAGCCCTCTATAACCACCCCCTTGACTTTCAGTTCCACTCCATCATGAAATTTGGTTCACAATTTTCCTGACAAGCTGCGCTCTTGTGCTCT
This sequence comes from Homo sapiens, assembly GCF_000001405.40. Classification (NCBI taxonomy): domain Eukaryota; kingdom Metazoa; phylum Chordata; class Mammalia; order Primates; family Hominidae; genus Homo; species Homo sapiens. The sequence goes on from NC_000007.14 coordinate 66,732,701, forward strand.
CTCTCTCTCGCTCACTCTCTCTCGCTCTCTCTCTCTTGCTGTCTCTCTCGCTCTCTTGCTGTCTCTCTTTCTCACTCGCTCTCTCTTGCTGTCTCTCTCGCTTTTGCTCTCGCTCTCACTCTGTAGCCACATGACAGTGTTTAATCACAGACCTCTCCATCCCTTACTGGGATTATTGCACCAGCCTCTGCCAGAATTCCCTGACCCCAGGCTCGCCCTGCTTCTCTAAACTTCTCGGCAGTCAGGGTGAGCTTGCAAAAGTGGCAAGTCCAACCGTATGACTGTGTCCCTTTAGCCTGACGCCCTTCCCCAGCTCCCTATATAATGCAGAGAAAGTTCCAGCTCCTTAGCCGCGTAGTCAAGGTTCCTGGAGTCCTGGCCCCTAAGGCATTGGTGCTCTCTGGTTCCCTCTCCCTGTGCACCTCACCTGCCTTCCAGGTGAGGTGATTCCTGGAAAGTCTTGGCCGTTTGGCAGTGCCCCTGCAGCCCAGGCCTGAATAGCCTTCTCTCAAGATTTGGCCAAAACATCCCCATCTCCATGAAGTGTCCACACTGCCTCCCCACTTTCTCCCAGCCTGGGGGAGTTGACCACCCCCTCGAGGCTGCCCCACTTAGGCTGCTGTGCACCAATGTGACACTGGTGTGACATTGACTGTTACACTGGGGGCACCGATTTGGGTCTTAGCCTGTCTTCTCCACCAATATAAAACCTCCTAGGCCAGGCTCAGTGGTTCACACCTGTAATCCCAGCACTTTGAGAGGCTGAAGTGGGCAGATCAGGAGATCAGGAGTTCAAAACCAGACTGGCCAACATGGTGAAACCCCCATCTCTACTAAAAATACAAAAATTAGCTGGGCATTGCAGCGCATTCCTGTAATCCCAGCTACTCGGGAGGCTGAGGCAGAAGAATTGCGTGAACCCGGGAGGTGGAAGTTGCAGTGAGCCAAGATCGTGCCACTGCACTCCAGACTGGGCTACAGAGTGAGGCTCCATCTCAACAAAACAAAACAAAACAAAAAAACCCTCCTAGGCCAGGTGCGCCTATAATCCCAGCACTTTGGGAGGCTGAGACGGGCAGATCATTTGAGGTCAGGAGTTTGAGACCAGCCCAGTGAACATAGTGAAACCCCGTCTCTACCAAAAATATAAAAAAATTAGCCAGGTGTGGTGGCACACCCTTGTAATCCCAGCTCCTCAGGATGCTGAGGCAGGAGAATCACTTGAACCTGGGAGGTGGAGGTTGCAGTGAGCTGAGATTGTGCCATTGCACTCCAGCCTGGGCGACACAGCGAGACTCCGTCTCAAAAACAAAAAACAAAAAAAACCTCCTAGAGGCAGTCATCAGCCTGGTTTCCTTTTTTCTGTGGCCCCATTGTCCAACATTGGTCTAACGGGGCCCTGGGGACACATTCATTCATTTCTCCACTCCATACTTTTGAGGTATTTTTGAAGATTAGACGCATTGTCAGGCAGGACAGCCATGCCCCAAACCACAGAGTCCGGGGGCAGCTGATGGGACCTGGGAGGCAAGGAGAGGCACGGGTTATCGGTGTCTGATGGAGGCAACCCGGCTCCTGCCCCCAGGGAAGCCTGCTCTGGGGCAGCCTAGAGCATAGGATGGTGTGGGCTGGAATTTAAGCTCTACCACCTCCTAGCTGTGTATTCTGGGTAAGATGCTCACCCTCTTTGAGCCTCTGTTTCCTCGTCTATGAAGCTGGACATCATTCCCTGCCAGGGTAGTGTAAGCAATGATTTGTATTTTTGTATTTTTTTTAGTAGAGATGGGGTTTTGCTATGTTGGCCAGGCTGGTCTTGAATGCCTGACCTCAAGTGATCCGCCCATGTTGGCCTCCCAAAGTGCTGAGATTACAGGCGTGAGCCACCATGCCTGGCTAATTTTTTTTTTTTTTTTTTTTTAGTAGAGATGAGCCATGTTGGCCAGGCTGGTCTCGAACTCCTGACCTCAAGTGATCCATCCACCTTGGCCTCCTAAACTGCTGGGATTACAGGTGTGAGCCACCGTGCCTGGCCCCAAAGGAGCACTCCTGTGGGAGACCAATGGGTGCATGATATTGTTGTCATTTCTCGGTCTTCAAAAATGACGGACACTGCTGGTCGCTGTGGCTTCCTCCTGCTCGGTTGGTCACTCCTGCACATGTCTGCAGTAGTGGTGCTCCTGGGGACCCCCTCGCCACCCCACAAAACTGCTCACCACATGGCCAAACAGGTTTGTCTTTTTCCGTGTGATTTCTTCTTTTGCTAGAACATTTATAAAACTCCTTAGGAAGTTTCAGGAACGTTAAGGAAGTTAAGGAAAATTTATGAATGCTTTTCCAGAGGCTAAAAAGAATTTATTTCCTACTAGCTAGTCTAGAATTGTATTACTTATTTATGTAAGTTTTAACTTTATAATCTGTCTGGAGGTCATTTTAGTGTTAGATATAAAGTGTTAGCTAATTTCCTCCCCCCTCAAATGCCTGCCCCATTTCCCATTGTTGTGTAGTGCTTGTGTTATCATGGCTTGCATTTTTAGGTAGGATTGGTTCTTATACATAATCGCTCCTTTGTAGCCTATTCCAACCGTGTGTATCCCTGATCTCACTCCAGCATCACGCTATTAAATGACTGTTCCCTTAGACTATGTTTTATGGAAGACTTTATAGCATAGTAGTTTAGATTATGGGCTTTGAAGTCAAACTGGCAGAGATCCACATAAGACCTTTGCCTCTTAATAAATGTGTGACCTTGGGTGAGTTACCTCACAGTTCCTCATCTGTAAAATGGACTTCTGGGAGGTTGAAATGGTTTGGTTCTGTGCCCCTGCCCAAATCTCATGTCAAATTGTAATCCCTAAAGTTGGAGGTGAGGCCTGGTGAGAGGTGACAGGATCATTGTGGGGGGGGTTTCCCCTTTGGTGCTGTTCTCGTGATGGTGAGTGAGTTATTGTGAGATCTGGTGGTTTAAAATGTGTAGCACCTCCCCCTCTCTCTCTCTTCCCTTTGCTATGGCCATGTGAAGACGTGCCTGCTTTTCCTTCATCCTTCTGCCATGATTGTAAGTTTCCAGAGGCCCCTCCAGCCATGCTTCCTGTACAGCCTCCAGAAGCGTGAGCCAATTAAACCTCTTTCCTTTATAAATCACCCAGTCTCAGGCATTTCTTTATAGCAGTGCAAGAACAAACGAATACAGAGGCCTGTAGTATCTCCCTCACACATTCAGAACAAATTGAGAACTAGATATAGACATCAGATGGCTGATAATAAGGCTGATAAAACATCAGCCTTATTATTGAGTAGAGGTGGTTGCTGTCCACTGTCACAACTTGTATTTAGCATTGCACTGGAGATCCTAGCCAATGCAGTAAGACAGGAAAAGGAAATGAAAGGGATGATGATGGAAAAAAACAAGACAAAAAACAAAGCCTCAGTGGGCATCCTGACATTCACTCCTGCCTTAGATAGACTCAAGACCCCTAGTCATAGGTAATACCAGACCCCCTAGGTCTTCACCCATGCACACACTTTCTCAGATAAACCCTATCCCCAGAAAATTACTATGGAGCACAGCAGAAAATACTGAGAGAGGAGAAACAAGGATGGAAAGCAAGGACAGGAATGTTCCTTTAGCAAAAGTCCTTTCACATATGAGGTAGAGGTGGTGATGGATAGTCTCAGTGCAGTGAACAACCTATACCACTATATGGGGCCATTTAACTTGCCCTATAGACAGAAGAAGAAGGGGAGTGGTAAGAGCATTTTGGGCAAAGAATACAATGTGAGCAAGAGCACTAAGACAGTAAATTCAGGAAGTGAAAGGACACTGAAGGCTTGAGCTCTAGAGCAGTGATAATGAGGTTGAGGTGGAAAGACCTGATTTAAGAGCTATCAGGGTTAGAATGGGTAGGACTTGGCAGGTGATGAGGGTGAGGCAGGTGGATCACTTGAGGCCACGAGTTTGAGACCAGCTCACTACAACATGGTGAAACCCCATCTCTACTAAAAATACAAAAATTAGCCAGGTGTGGTGGCTTGCGCCTGTAATCCCAGCTACTCAGGAAGCTGAGGTAGGAGAATAGCTTGAACCCAGGAGGCAGAAGTTGCAGTGAGCCAAGTTTGCGCCACTGCACTCCAGCCAGGGCGACAGAGCGAGACTCCATCTCAAAAAACAAAACAAAACAAAGTTTTATTTTTATTTATCTAATTATACACACATGCACAGACACCTACGTATACAGACACACACACGTACACACACACGCACACAAATATATATATGTGCTGATGCACTGGGGCTTCCACTGCTCTTACTTGATGTGGGTGATATTATCATCATTATATATATATGAGGGGGGAGAGAGAGAGAGAGAGAGAGTGAGAGAGAGAGAGCGAGAGCGAGAGAGAGAGAGAGAGAGAGAGAGAGAATCTTGCTGTGTTGCCGAGACTGGTCTCAAGCTCCTGGCTTTAGGCAATCCTCCCACCTTGACCTCCCAAAATGCTGGTATTACAGTATTTATTTAATTTTTAGGTGTTTTTTTGTTTCTTGGGGGCTGTTTTTTTGGAGATAGGGTCTTGCTCTATTGCCCAGGGTGGAATGCAGTGGCTGTTCTTCACCAGGGCCATCATGGCTCACTACATCCTTAATCTCCTGGCTCAAGTAGTCTTCTCCCCTCAGCCTCCTGAATAGCTGGGACTACAGGCGTGTGCCACCACACCTGGCTATCCTACGCAATACGAGACTGGGTAGGGGGGGGCAGTCTAAAACAATATGGAGAGTACCTTTAGATCCGGATTTCGGGGCTCAGCCTTGCCATGGGAAGGAGGCATGGTGTGTAGCAGTGGTTACCAGACTTCTTTCAGTAGTTTAAAACAATTAAAAAAAAGATGAAAGACTGATATAGTGCTGTTCTCCTTTAATTTTGCCAAGGAAAGTCTTTTTTAAAAAACCTCTGTTGTTCCTGTCACTTAACACTAAAACGTGGAAAAACACATTCTCAACAACAGCAAAATAGCAGCCAGGCATGGTGGCACTTGCCTGTAGTCACAGCTACTTGTGAGCCTGAGGTGGGAGGATTGGTTGAGCCTAGGAGTTGGAGTCTGCAGTGAGCCATGATCCTACCACCGTGCCCCAGCCTGCTACTGCTAAACAGGTTAGCGGTGTCAGGAGGGTCTTCCCTCTTGCTGCTCGGTGCCTAGAACATTCTTGCCCAGATATTTGCATAGCAGCACAGCTGGCTCCCTCATCTTTTATTCAGGTCACCTCATGAGGCCGCTCCGGTCTATTTTAAAGCTGCAAGCTTCTTGGTTGTGTTTTTTGTTTTTTTTGTTTTTTTTTTTTTTTGAGACAGGGTCTTGCTCTGTCAACCAGGCTGGAGTGTAGTGGCATGATCACTGCTCACTGCAGCCTCAACCTGCCAGGCTCATGTGATCCTATCACCTCGGCCTCCAGAGTAGCTGGGATTACAGGTACAGGCCACCACCTGGCTAATTTTTGTATTTTTAGTAGAGGTGGCGTTTCACCATGTTGGCCAGGCTGGTCTCAAACTCCTGACCTCAGGTGATCAGCCTGCCTTGGCCTCCCAAAGTGCTGGGATTACAGGCGTGAGCCACCATGCCCGGCCAGTCCTCTCTAGCTTAACCTTCACAAAGAAACTTTGAAATGATATTCAGTTTTTGTTACTGCTTTCCTCAGGCCTTTTCTGTCTTTAGCACCAACCTCTTCTGCTCAGCCCATTGAACACTCATTCTGGGCCCAGGGGTCTAGGCTCATGCCTGTAATCCCAGCACTTTTGGAGGCCGGGGTGGGCAGATTGCTTGAGTCCAGGAGTTCGAGACCAGCCAGGGCGACATGGCAAAACCTTGTCTCTACAAAAAAACCCCAAAAACTAGCTGGGTGTGCTGGCACACACCTATCATCCCAGCTACTAGGGAGGTGGAGGCAGAAGGATCACTTGAGCCAGGGAGTTGGAGGCTGGAGTGCGCCGAGATTGCACCACTGTGCTCCAGCCTGGGCAACAGAGTGAGACTCTAACTCAAAAAAAAAAAAAAAAAAGAAACACTCATTCTGTTTCACAGAATGGTTTATAGAATGGTGTGTTGCCTGATTCTGTAATCACAAAAGTCAGTTAAGAGCTTTAAAGTAAATGTTATTCTGTCTTTTGGTAATAGCAATTACCACCATCCAAGGTACTACTGTAAATAATTATTGTTTATTCCCTCCTCCACCTCCTCAGCACAGGTACTTTGTGTTTTTTTGTTTTGTTTTGTTTTTTGAGGAGGAGTTTCACTCGTTGCCCAAGCTGGAGTGCAATGGCGCAATCTCAGCTCACTGCAACCTCCGCTTCCCGGGCTCAAGTGATTCTCCTGCCTCAGCCTCCCAAGTTGCTGGGATTGCAGGCATGTGCCACCATGCCTGGCTAATTTTGTATTTTTAGTAGAGACAGGGTTTCTCCATGTTGGTCAGGCTGGTCTTGAACTCCCGACCTCAGGTGATCTGCCCGCCTCGGCTTCCCAAAGTGCTAGGATTACAGGCGTGAGCCACTGCGCCTGGCCTTACTTTTGTTTTATACTCTGTTGTACCCTCAGCGTAGCACACATTAGGCACTTAGGAAGAATCTGAGAAACGAATCAGTTAATCCCTACTTTACCAATAATGAATAAAGACTGAGAAACTCGGGCCGGGCGCAGTAGCTCACACCTATAATCCTAGCACTTTGGGAAGCCAAGGTGGGCGGATCACTTGAGGTCAGGATTCAAAACCAGCCTGGCCAACATGGTGAAACCCTGTCTCGACTAAAAATACAAAAAAAAAAATATGAGCTGGGCGTGGTGGCGGGTGCCTGTAATTCCAGCTACTTGGGTGGCTGAGGTGGGAGAATCGCTTGAACCTAGGAGGCGGAGGTTGCAGTAAGCCGAGATCGCACGACTGAACTCCAGTGTGGGCGACAGAGTGAGAGTCTCAAAAAAAAAAAAAAAAAAAAAAAAAATAGACTGAAAAATTACGCAACCTGTCCAAGAACACTACAGCGACAATTAGCAAAGCTGGGATTTTAACCCAGGTCTATCTCACAGCCACAGCATAGTATTTTCTTTTTTTTCTTGCTGTGACTGCACGTTACGCCATACATGGCATTCAGGACGCAGAGGAATTAGTATTTACTGTTTTTAACATTCCTTACATGGGAATCACGTAAAGAATCAGGTAAACAGGATTCAATTTGTGACTCAACCATTAATACTTTGTGACACTGGCTAATTTATTTCACTTCTGGATGTCGGTTATGTTTTTTTTGAGACAGGATCTCGCTCTGCTGTCACCCGGCCTGGAGTTCAGTGGAGGGATCTCTGCACCGTCAACTTCCTGGGCTATCAAGCGATCCTCCCACCTCAGCCTCCCTGGTAGTTGGGACCACAGGTGCCCGCCATCATGTCCGGCTGATTTGTAAAATTTCTTTTGTAGAGATGGTGACCTTGCTCTGTGGCCCAGGCTGGTCTCGAACTCCTGGACTCAAGCGATCCTCCTGCCTGGGCCTCCTAAAGATTCAGCTGCTTTTGGATCAACCGATCGCCTTAAGACCTTTTAACTCGAACACCTGTCACATCCTAGGATCCGCGAAGGACTGAAACAGAGTTTCTGAAGCGTCCCTCGGCGCAGTAGCTCCGCTCCACCTCCCATTCGCGCTACCACCGCGGCCGCAGCCCCAGGAGTCGCCGCGGAGCCAGCGTCGCCCTCCAGCTGTTGCGCGTCGGAAGCCGGAAGCAGGGACTGAGCGACAGACTAGGAAACGCCGGTTTCTCCGGGGCTCCCCAGCGCCCCACCTTTACCCCGGAGGCCGCCCTCTTCCATTTGCTCTTGGGCGTCAGGGCGGTACCCCACTCCGCTCGACCCTTTGGATCCACTCGCACTTCCTCCCGTCCAGAGTCAAAGGCCCCGGAAGTGACGTTTACGCGCCGCGCGTAACGTGCGTTCGCTGGCGGTGCCGGGGGCGGGGCGAGCAGGAGGGTGGGTGTGAGGCGGGAGCTGGCCGCGGAGCCCAGACCTACCCGGGCGAAGCGGGCGAGCGGTGGTTTGGACGCCGGCGGAGACGCGGGCGAGGTACGGAGCGGACGGACTGGGGCTGAGAGCTGCTCGGCTCTCAGCTACAGGAGCGGGGCGGCGGGGCGTCTCGGGCTGGGGGTGGCAGGGCGGTCGGTCCGTGCCATCCGCGCGGCTGGGGCAGTTGCGCGTCGGTGCCTCCCGCTGTCCTTCGTCCCACATTCCGTCTCCGTCAGCGCCGCCTTCCCCGTTCCAGGCCGCCCTCGGCTCCCTTAATCCTCAGAGTGCGGCCTCTCCGTCCCAGACGCTAGTTGCCGGGATCTCCAGCGCCAGCCGAGCCCCGACGGCCTGACGCGGAGCATTTCCTGGCCGCCTCCCTCTCCGGCGGCTCCCCTCGCCCCGGCTCCCACCTTCCGTCCAGGCCGCTGGCTCCGAAGCAGCGTCTGTGGTCGCACGGGGCCCCTCCCACAACCTCCCCGGAAAGCGCTGGTATGGGACGCTCGGACCCAGACCACAGCCCCCGGCCGCGGCAGGGGCGCGGGGACTTGATCCCACGTCACCCTAGGGGGCAGAAGTGTCCCGGAGTTGGGAGGGGATTTGAAGCCTGTGGTCCTGACTTCCACCCCGTGGCTGAGGGCGAGGCTGCGGGGCCGGGGTTAGGAGCAGAAGTCCCTGCTTCCGAACCGTCTGGGAGGAGAGCCGAGGGATGCCCATCACGGCAGTTTAGGGAGAGAGAGGGAGGGACTCTGCCGCTTTGGAGGCTAGGTCATAGGCAGCTGGCGGTGTCTCAGCGCGGGTGACCAATCCTTGCGGTTGGGAAATGTGTCGTGGGCGCCCGTGGGCTCGTTTTGCCTTTGAGATTAGGTAGGAAATTTTCCCAGGACGAGTTTACCGGAGCACCTTGGGAGTTGGTTTTTGGCCTGGAGAGCTGCTTTCCCCCCTCTAAACCTAGAACTGCTTTGTTTTTATTTATTATTTTTTTCGACATGGGATCTCACAGTGTTGCCCAGGCAGGTGTGAAACTCCTGGCCTTAAGTGATCCTCCCGCCTCGGCCTCCCAGAGTGTTGGGATTATAGGCGTGAGCCATTGCGCGGCTTTAACTGCTGTTAAAGAGTGTGTTCCGGCCGGGTGCGGTGGCTCACGTCTGTAATCCCAGCATTTGGAAGGCCAAGGCAGGCGGATCATGACGTCAGGAGCTTGAGACCATCCTCCCTAACACGGTGAAACCCCGTCTCTACTACAAATAAAAAAAAAAAAGAAAAAGAAAATTTGCCGGGCATCGTGGCGGGCACCTGTAGTCCCAGCTACTCTGGAGGCTGAGGCAGGAGAATGGCATGAACCCGGGAGGCGGAGGTTGCAGTGAGCCGAAATCGTGCCACTGCACTCCAGCCTGGGCGACAGAGCTAGACTCTATCTCAAAAAAAAAACTAAGAGTCTGTTCCTTAAAATTGTTGTACCAAGAAACTTGCCAGAGATGCAAGAAAATGTGATTATATTGTTAATATTTAATGATAAATAACATTTTGCTTTTAAGAGTCACTGATTCATATCCGCAGGATTAAGAAATGTTCAGGATTTGAATTTTTAATGACCTTCCAAGCAGTCATGTTTCTGCTCTCTAGAAGTTAGCCAGTTGAGGAGAAGGGACAGTCAAGATACTTTCAAAACAGTGTGGTAAGGAATGTGAGCTAAGATGGAGCACCGAGGAAGGAGCCGGGCATTTAGGCCATGCTGTTGGGTGTGGAGCCTGGAAGGGATCAGGGAATACTTTCTGCATGTGTCTTGAAGAATGACTAACATTCAGACTAACAGGGTGGAGTGAGGGAGAGGGGGGAATCAAAGGAGAGGAGGCCAGTAACTACAAGGAGGTGCCTATTAATTTATTTATTGAGAGAGAGGGTCTCACTTTGTCACCCAGGCTGGAGTACAGTGACACGATCACGAGTCACTGAAGTCTCAACTGCCTGTGCTGAAGTGATCCTCCCACCTCAGCCTCCCGAGTAGCTAAGACTGCAGATGCGTGCCACCACACCCAGCTGATTTTTAAATATTTTGTAAAGATGTTGTCTTGCTGTGTTGCCCTGGCTGATCTCAAACTCCTGCACTCAAGCAATCTTCCTGCCTCAAGCGTCCCAAGTGCTGAAATTACAGGCATCAGCTACCGAGCCTGGAGGGTCGTTACTAAAGTGAAAAAGTGCAGGACAGAGATGTAGGAGCTCAGGCTTCCTCTGATGGTGACAGAACCAGGGGAAGTTTTTTAGCTGGGTCCTTGTGTGGTTAAAATGGGTCTCTCTGGCCAGGCGCGGTGGCTCACGCCTGTAATCCCAGCACTTTGGGAGGCCGAGGCGGGCGGATCACGAGGTCAGGAGTTTGAGACCAGCCTGAGCAACATGGTGAAACCCCATCTCTACTAAAAACACTAAAATTAGCTTGGTGTGATGGCGCCTGCCGTAATGCTAGCTACTCAGGAGGCTGAGGTAGGAGAATTGCTTGAACCTAGCAATTCTAGGAGGTTGTGGTGAGCCAAGATTGTACCAATGCACTCCAGCCTGGGCGACAGAGCGAGACCTCGTCTCAAAAAAAAGAAAAAAATTTAAAAAAAAAAAAAAGGCTCTCTCTCTCTCCCTGTCTCCCAGGCTGGAATGCAGTGGCAGGAACACAGCTCACTGTAGCCTCCACCACCCATGCTTAAGCTATCCTCTTGTCTCAGCCTCCCAAGTAACTGGGACCACAGGCCTGCCACCTACTAATTTAGCTTGCCTGGCTAAATTTTTTTTTCTTTTTTTGATACGGAATCTGGCTCTGTCGCCCAGGCTGGAGTGCAGTGGCGCGATCTCGGCTCACTGCAAGCTCCCCCTCCTGGGTTCACGCCATTCTCCTGCCTCAGCCTCCTGAATAGCTGGGACTACAGATGCCCGCCACCATGCCTGGCTAATTTTTTCTATTTTTAGTAGAGATGTGGTTTCACTGTGTCAGCCAGGATGGTCTCAATCTCCTGACCTCGTGATCCGCCCTCCTCGGCATTCCAAAGTGCTGGGATTACAGGTGTGAGCCACCACACTTGGGCTAAATTTTTTTGTAGAGATGGAATCCTTGTATGTTTCCCAGGGTGCTCTCCAACCCCTGGCCTCAAGTGATTCTCTAGCCTCGGCCTCCCAAAGTGTTGGGATTACAAACATGAGCCACTGCACCCGGCCCTAAAATGGAATTTTATGTAACTCTTACACACAGGCTGCTATGTAGCTGATAAGGATAAATGTTTTCAGTGTAGTGCTTGATTATTTGCTTTTTTCTTTTCTTTTCTTTTCTTTTTTTTTTTTTTAAGACGGAGTCTTGATCTGTGACTGGGCTGGAGTGCAGTGGCATGATCTTGGCCACTGCAACCTCTGCCTCCTGGATTCAAGCGATTTGTGTGCCTCAGCCTTCTGAGTAGCTGGGACTGACCATAGATAGGCGCGCGCCACCACGCCCAGCTAATTACTGCTATCTTGTATTTTAATTTTTTCTGCTTATTAGATGTTTGAAATGGTGGCTCACGCCTGTAATCCTCGCACTTTGGGAGGCCAAAGTGGGAGGATTGCTTGAGGTCAGGGGTTGGAGACCAGCCTGGGCAAAATAGCAAGACTGCATCTCTACAAAAAAAAAAAAAAGATAGCCGGGCGCAGTGGCTCACGCCTGTAATCCCAGTACTTTGGGAGGCTGAGGCAGGCGGATCACGAGGTCAGGAGATCAAGACCATCCTGGCTAACACGGTGAAACCCTGTCTCTACTAAAAATACAAAAAATTAGCTGGGCATGGTGGCAGGCGCCTGTAGTCCCAGCTACTCGGGAGGCTGAGGCAGGAGAATGGCGTGAACCTGGGAGGTGGAACTTGCAGTGAGCCGAGATGGCGCCACTGCACTCCAGCCTGGGCGACAGAGCCAGACTCCGTCTCAAAAAAAAAAAAAAAAAAAAGATGCTTGACGTGAATGTATACTCATTTCCTAGTTGTTTCTTTCTATAAGGATGTCTGACCTGGCTAATTTGTAAACAGGAATTCTGCATTCATTTCTCTCTTTGCTTTCTCAACCCCAATTGAGCACACAAGTGTTTAATGAGTACTTAACTGATTTGATAAGAATAACTCATTGATTTCTTTGATTTTTTGTTGCTGGTTTTCAGTGAAAAAAATGTTATCAGCCGCACACGGTGGCTCACGCCTGTAATCCCAGCACTTTGGGAAGCTGAGGCGGGTGGATCATGAGGTCACGAGATCCAGACCATCCTGGCTAACATGGTAAAACCCCATCTCTAATAAAAATACAAAAAATTAGCCGGGCATGGTTGCAGGCGCCTGTAGTCTCAGTTACTCAGGAGGCTGAGGCAGGAGAATGGCGTGAACCCGGGAGGCGGAGCTTGCAGTGAGCCGAGATTGTGCCACTGCACTCCAGCCTGAGCGACAGAGCGAGACTCCATCTCAAAAAAAAAAAAAATGATATCAGTACTTACTCATTGTGATGTCTACATATAGAACTAAAATTCTGTTTACTTATGTGAGTCTTTGGCTAGAGACATAGAATTTCAGTCTTGACTGTGTGAGCTTAATTTCTGGCATGTGGGTTTTTATTGGCTGCAGAGGAAACATCTCTAGCAGAGATGACCTATCCCTCAAATGTAGGAAATACCTGTGTAAACCTAACACCTGTGACTCAGAATAGAAATGGTACCAAGTGAGTGGCTTCTTAGCCCATCAGTAAAGTTATCACACCATAGGCTGGGTGCGGTGGCTCACACCTGTAATCCCAACACTTTGGGAGGCTGAGGTGGGCAGATCACTTAAGGCCAGGAGTTTGAGACCAGCCTGGATCAAGATGGCAAAACTCCGTCTCTACTAAAATGCAAAAAACTTAGCCAGGCATGGTGATGTGCGCCTGTGATCTCAGCTACTCGGGAGTCTGAGGCACAAGAATCTCTTGATCCCGGGAGGCGGAAATTGCAATGAGCCGAGATTGTGCCACTGCACTCCAGCTTGGGCAACAGAGTGAGACTCTATCTCAAAAAAAAAAAAAAAAAAGTGATCACACTAAAACCAAGAGTTTCAGGCTGGTGCAGTGGCTCATGCCTATAATACCAGTGCTTTGGGAGGCCAAAGTGGGAGAATCGCTTGAGCCTAGGAGTTCCAGGCTGCAGTGAGCTGTGATCAAGCCACTGCACTACAGCCTGAGTGACAGAGTGATACCCTGTCTCTATAAAAAGAAGTTTCATAGTACAGGCCAAACATCTTGAAAATCTTATTAAATGTACACTTCTTTCATAGAGCACTGTAGAAACATCATGTGTGTTGTTTCACATGGCTGAAGTGAGTTTAAATGATCTGGACTATTGTTACAATATGTAAACATGTGAAATAACAGTTATCCCACTTAATATTATTTAACTTATGTTTATCTCTTTGATGTTTGGATAAAGCTCCTAAAATGCTTTAGGAAAACATTATACTTTTATGGTGCTGTTTTGAAGTTTCCTGTGAAATTCCTGTTTTCAATGAAGTTACTGTCAGTGGGATAGGAAGTGTGATTTTTTTTTTTTACTTTTCTTTTTTTCTTTTTGAGACGGAGTCTTGCTCTGTTGCCCAGGCTGGAGTGCAGTGGCGCGATCTTGGCTCACTGCAACCTCTGCTTCCTGGGTTCAAGGATTCTTCTGCCTCAGCCTCCCGAGTAGTTAACCACCATACCCAGCTAATTTTTTTTGTATTTTTAGTAGAGACGGGGTTTCACCATATTGGCCAGGCTGATCTCGAACTCCTGACCTCGTGATCCACCCGCCTCGGCCTCCCAAAGTGCTGCGATTACAGGCGTGAGCCACCGTGCCCGGCAGGAAGTGCAATTTTTATTTATAATATAACCTTTTTTTTTTTTTTTTTTTTTTGAGAACAGAGTCTTGCTCTGTCACCCAGGCTGGAGTGTGGTGGCACGATCTCTACTCACTGCAACTTCCACCTCCCCGGTTCAAGCGATTCTTGTGCCTCAGCCACCTGAGTAGCTGGGAATATGGGCTCCTGCCACCACGTCCGGCTAATTTTTTTTTTTGCTGGAGTGAGACTGAGTTTCAGCCTTGTTGCCCAGGCTGGAGTGCAATAGTGCGATCTTGGCTTACTACAACCTCTGCCTCCTGGGTTCAAGTGATTCTCCTGCCTCAGCTTCCCAAGTAGCTGGTGTTAACAGGCACGCGCCACCATGCTGAGCTAATTTTTTTATTTTTAGTAGAGACGGGGTTTCACCATGTTGGCCAGGCTGGTCTCGAATTTCTGACCTCAGGTGATCCACCTGCCTTGGCCTCCCAAAGTGCTGGGATTACAGGTGTGAGCTACCGTGCCCGGCCCTAGTGGAACATTTTAATTTGTTTCTGGTAGCATAGCTCTCTTGGCAATGGTCATTAAGAGGGCCAAATACCATTATTATGATCAATTAATTAAATGTGGTTAAAAGTCAGAAGTTAGAATAAGTATGTGTTCATGAATGCGTAAAATATTACACACTGAGAGAGTATTAAGCTTTTTAATTTTCCCCCAGTAACAGTGAGCAGATTGCTGAAATCTCTGAAGCAGGAATGTAACAAGAGTTTTGAGGGCTCTAAATTCTCTGCTGTTTCACCCTAAGGAATGGTTTGGCAGCATCCTCTATGCTAGGCACAGAACAACTCAGGAGGAATTGTACAAAGACCTTATGAACCACATTTGAAGCTAGTCTGTTCAGTTCCCATTCAAAATAAATACACAACTGTAATTGAATTTATGGTGATTTGGTCTGTATGCTAAAATTAAAAATCGCTTTTGGGGGATTTTCACATAGGGGTATATTTATAATTTTCTGTGTGCTTTGCAGTTAAAAATACATAGTGAAAGTTTTATTTTTGTAGTTCCTCTGTTGTACAGAGGAAATTTAAATTCTTAAAATTAGAATTTTCTAATTTTAAGCACTTTCATTTTTCCTTTAGAAGGTACTTTGGAGCACATAAAAGAAAATGCCATTAGAAATTGAACATAGAAAATGTTTATTAATCGAAGAAAATGTTTTCTTATTGTGCTATAATTTTTTTCAGTGGAACATATCATTTACTTATTCCATTATTCCACATCTTGTTCCAGAAAGGGTTTGTAATGACTTACAAAGATACGTGCGACATACTGTTGGTAACATAACAGATAAGTGGGTGAGGAATGCAGGACTGAGGGAAAATTAAGATGGAAACAGGAATGAGCTGTGTACACAGAGCACTTGGACTGAAGTCTTAAGTGCAGAGGGCCACAAATTTGGCTTTGCTTTTGAGTAGCCAATTAAGAGAGAAATATAATCAGTTACATGGGTCAGTGACCATACGACAAAAGAGATCATTTCTGCTTTGGATTCCCAAAGACTTTCCAGCATGCGTTTCAAAGGGCTGGGTGTCGAGTTTTACTTTGTGTGTTAGTAAAACTCCTTATTGGCTTTTTGTGTAAGACGGTGACATAACATCAAAACATTCCGTAAAAGCATTTCTCTTGCCTGCAAAATAATGTGATCCGAGTACTTAGATCTCTAGGCTGATTTAAGGATCTGTTTTAGATTATCTAGATGAGTAGGTGGATTGCACATTCTTCACCTACCTTCCATACTTTCTCAGTGGATCTTTTGTAATGAATTTATCAGCAGTGGGGTTTGAGTTTGTGCTTCCTCACAAGTTCCTTGAATGCATCTGTTTTCTGTTGTTGGTGAATCACGGAACCATATGTTTTAACAGGCATGGTTTATCGTGGGGGTATCACGATGGAACAGTCTGACAAGGGCACATATTTGTTTGTTTGTTTTTTGAGGAAAATCACTTTATTCTAATTAACTCAACAAAGAATAAAATCATAACGGCTAGTTCAAGGGTGCCACACAAACATCTACCCAGCCATCTTAATGAAATTCTACACAGTAAGAATTTCCTTTTCCATTGCAGTCCTGAAGCAGGGACGCTATGAGAGAGGAGAGGTTTACCTGATGATTACACTTTATACCTTCACTATCAATTGTATTTTTGTGCTAAATCACTTGGTTATGAGAGCTGATTTTCCATTTCTCCAATTCGAACTTTCTGATTAGACCAATCTGTTTGCAAGTCTGCACTGTTTCAGCACCTTATTGAAACCCTCACAGAGTTTTCTGTCACCCTGGTTCTGGGCACTCTCCAAAAACTGTTTTATGTCATAAGAGCAAGGCCGCTGCTGCTTTGCTGGCTGGGTTCCCTGAGGCTCTTGGTAGGTGATATCAGGCCTTCAGGCTCACCGTGACTTCCTCCACTGAAGCCCTGGTGGTGGCATGACCCAGTGTATGTCTGACAGGGGCACATATTTGAATGAAAGCCACCTCACCTCCATACAGAGATGGGCTGAGGGAATACCAAATATGAAGATGGGAGCAGATCCAGATCTACTCGTCTCAGATGAAATGTCCAGTAAGTTGTATTG